>NC_000003.12:51828181-52131212 GCF_000001405.40 Homo sapiens
AGCTACAAGATGACTTCCAATACCATGTTGAATAGGAGTGGTGAGAGAGGCCATCCTTGTCTTGTGCCAGTTTTCAAGCGGAATGCTTTCAGCTTTTGTCTGTTCAGTATGATGTTGGCTGTGGGTTTGTCATATATGGCTCTTATTATTTTGAGGTTATGTCCCTTCAGTACCTAGTTTATTGAGAGTTTTTAACATGAAGAGATGTTGAATTTCATCAAAAGCTTTTCCTGAATCTATTAAGATAATCATGTGGTTTTTGTCTGTAATTCTGTTTATGTGATTAATCACATTTTATTGATTTGCATATGTTGAACCAACCTTGCATTCCAGGGATGAAGCCTACTTGATCGTGGTGGATTAGCTTTTTGATGAACTGCTGGATTCAGTTTGCAAGTACTTTGTTAAGGATTTTTGCATAAATGTTTGTCAAGGATATTGACCTAAAGTTTTGTTGTTGCCAGGTTTTGGTATCAGGATGATGCTGGCCTCATAGAATGAGCTGGGGAGGGGCCTTTCCTCCTCAATTTTTTGGAATAGTTTCAGTAGGAATGGGACCAGCTCTTCTTTGTTCATCTGATAGAATTCAGCTGTGGATCCTTCTTGTCCTGCGCTTTATTTTGTTGGTAAGCTATTTACTACTAATTCAATTTCAGAGCTCATTATTAGTCTGTTCAGGGAATCAATTTCTTCCTGCTTCAGTCTCGGGAGGGTGTATGTGTCCAGGAATTTATCCATCTCTTCTAGGTTTTCTAGTTTGTGTGCATAGTCTCTGATGGTTATTTTTATTTCTGTGGGGTCCGTGGTAACATCCCCTTTGTCATTTCTAATTGTAAATGTCTTATAAAAACATTTACATTAAATGTTAAAACACCTTAATGTAAAAGGTAGACCAGAATCTAATAGAAAAATCTATGATCCTGGATGGAAAAGCACTTTATTAGAAAACTACAAAAGCAGAATTGTAAAGGGGCAATGGATTTGAGCATATCAAAAATTAAAGATAACTGTGGAAGGAAAGGCAACCATGAAAAAAGTTAACAGGCAGATGACAATCTGAGAAATGATATTTGCACAATTTTTCCTCAACAGAGAGTTGCCCAAGGAAGTCAACAGGAGAGCCAGGTATTTTCTCTTTATCCATCAACTTTGAGCCTGGAAAAGGCACTGTGGCCCCTGGTCATAGTTGCCTTTGTGACATCACGGCCATCTCTTTCTCCACCTTTCCTGCCCCTGCCAAGATCAGGAAACAGCAACCAGAGGGAGATGATCACCTGAACCACTGCTCCAAACCATGGGCAGTAAATGCTGTGTAAGACTCAGGCACACAAACTCCCCCAGGGGTGGGAGTTGTCCCATGGCCCAGGAAAGCACCAGGCCACTTCTTAGGACCCAGGCAAAGAATGGGGAACTGGGCCTGTGGGGACTTTGCAGTCAGGCTGGTCCTCACCCATGCTCCCCCACACCCATATTCCGATTGCAGAAAGGTGGTCCAGATGAAGATGCAGTAGAAAGACAGAGGCGGCAGAAGGTAGGTGGGGCCCAGGAGGGTGAGAGAATTGCAGATCATTGACTCTTTGATCCCAGAGTTCTTAGAATGGAGATCCATCTCTGGCTCAGCATTGCCCTCTTATCCCCTCAAGCCCTCCCTCTCCTTGGTGAACTGAGTAAGGTATGGAGATAGACAGTAAAAGGGGAGGAAGTTTCGTGCGCACAGCCACCTGATAGGTGGGGCTCAGCACAGGAAGTGGAAAGGCCCAGGAGAATGAGGAGGGACTGAGACATGGTAGTGGAAGTCCACAAAAGTGAGATGAGGGGAGACCCCAAAGGGCTGCAGCACCACGCAAGACATTAGGAGGCAGCATCATGGCTGGAGTTTGGACCAAGACACAGGCCATAAATGCAGAGGTTCATGGATTCTTATAAGAATCCTTCAGTTCCTCACACCCTGGTCTTCCAGTTGGGTCTTCTGGACCAGAAAGTGTCTCCGCTAGTCCCATAAACCCGAGAAGTCCACAGATCAAACATATCCCGATTTCATAGATGAGGGCACTGGGACTGTGAGGGTGTCCAGAGCCATGAACAGGACAGAAGTAGAGGACAAACCCCACCCAGGTCTCCTGGGTCCTCAAAACCAGCAGGGAGAGGGCTGATTCTTTAGAGAACCACCTGTGCTTGATGGTGATAAATTCACTGGGAGTCCTCTGCTTTGCTTGGCCAGTTGCTTCTTGCACAACTGCATCACAGAAAAAGGGTGAAGGCAGCTGGGCAGATCCAGGCCTGGTGGCGTGGGGTCCTGGTGCGCAGGACCCTGCTGGTTGCTGCCCTCAGGGCCTGGATGATTCAGTGCTGGTGGAGGACGTTGGTGCAGAGACGGATCCGTCAGCGGCGGCAGGCCCTGTTGAGGGTCTACGTCATCCAGGAGCAGGCGACGGTCAAGCTCCAGTCCTGCATCCGCATGTGGCAGTGCCGGCAATGTTACCGCCAAATGTGCAATGCTCTCTGCTTGTTCCAGGTCCCAGAGAGCAGCCTTGCCTTCCAGACTGATGGCTTTTTACAGGTCCAATATGCAATCCCTTCAAAGCAGCCAGAGTTCCACATTGAAATCCTATCAATCTGAAAGGCCTGGGGCATGGAGAACAGGCTGCACTACCCTAATAAATGTCTGACCAGGTTGTGTGAGTCTCAGTGATTCCCCTCACCACAGGGACCCCTTGGATTCATACCCCACTCTTTCTCTGCTTCTCTACGTGGGGAAAGACTTCAGCGTAAGTACTTCCTCGTTCCCCTCTCCCTGCCCCAGCAGGGACTATGGCCCCTGTGAGGACTGACAGTGGCCATATGCTGCTGCCTTTACATGCAAATTAGAAATTGCAGCCCAAGGCTGTCCTCGTGTGCAGAGCCAGATGTCTCACTCCACAGCCCTGGCATCATTCCTGTCTCCTGAGCTTGGAATCAGAAGGGTATGGGCTTCACTTTCCTGAAGAATCTGGGCACTCTCTTGGAAGACAGTTGTGTCTGAGGCCATGCTCTTTCATTCAACCATCAGGAGCCAACTGGGGCTTGCACAGGTTGGGTTTCTATTTGCCAAGTCCCTGACAGAAGTCAGGCTGTCAGGCCCTTGGAGCACTCTCCTTGGAGCAGTGTTGTCCAGGGAAAGCACAGGAGGCTGTCCTTAGTGGCAACTGTGTGCAAGGTTTGTAAGCCTCATGCTAACGTGGAGGTTGATGGACAGGAATACCCCTTTTGGAAGCAGCTGATACCACGATCTTAAGGCACCTGAGCTCTGACTCCCTCCTGCCTCCTCAGCACCTGCTTCCCCAGGGCCCTGAACACAAACAGGGCTCCTACTGCCCTCACCTCCTCCCTGTGTGTGGCACCATAACCAGGGATTTCGGCATGGACTGTGATGCTCCCAAACCCCCTGTTTTTCACCTCCAGTGATTTTTACTTCCCTCTGATCTCAGTCACCCACCTTAGACCATTGTCTCCCAAGCTGTCCATGGGGAAGGACCACTTCTTAAAAATGTCCAATTCATCACAGACCAGTTCATATGTAAAACATTAAAAATGAATTATGAGAAAAATATATGGAAAAGTCATAGAGAACAAAAGCCTTATTTTTATTTATTAGAACACATAATATTGGTATTTCAATTTGTTATAATAGTTTCTCCATGCTTATCCTCAATCTCTGTACTTATATCATTGGTAACAAACAGTTCATACGCTGGGTCTGGTCCACAGACCACACTCTGGGTAGCATTGCCCCAGCCCTTGTCATCATTCATCAGTGACTACAGCAATAACATTCATTTCAACCACCCTGGTCTCTGATTTGTTGTTGTTGTTGCCTTCTATCCTCTAGGGCAACAACTTGTGCTTGTGATTAGCATCTGAAGCATGAGGCAGTCTTGTGGGACTGAGCCCCCAAGCTATGGGATCTGACGCTATCTCTACGTAGATATTGTCAGAACTGAATTGAGGTAGGGGACACCAAGCTGGTGTCCATTGAAGAATCTGCCAGAGAATTGCTTTGTGGGGAGAAATCCCTGCACACTTCTTGGTGACCAGAGGCGAAGTACTGTGTTGAGTATAGTTGGATGTAGGATAAACTAAGTTTTTTTTTCTATATCTTTAGAATAGCCAAAAAAGTGAACCAACCCAAATGGGTGAATGGATAGACAACCTGTGGTACATGCATATCACAGACTACTCTTCAGCTATAAAAAGTGTTGACCTAAAAGGAAGAGGCTGAGGCACAAAATATAATTTAAAGAGTTTGCTTGAGACAAAGTTAAGACAGCTGCCTGGAAGACTCAGATGCAGGTAACCTTGGATATGAGCTCCATTTGGGCTTTGTTTCAATCAGGTTTTTAAAGGCAAAGAGAATATAGTTGGATCTTACTTTTTGATTTAGTCTGACAGTATCTTTTTAGACCATTAATATTAAATGTAATTATTGATGTGATTGTATTTACACCTGTCATTTTATTATTTGTTTCATATAAGTCTTATACCCATTTTGTTTCTTTCTTCTTTAACCATCTTTTTTGTGTTAAATAATATTAGCTTGCCATTTAAATTCCTGTTAATTTTTAAATTATTTTTAAGTTGTTTACTTAGTGATTGCTCAAGTTGTTGCAATGTTTATTTTAACTTATTCCAATTAGTCAGTTAGTTCAGGTCCACATTAATTTAATCCTGGTTAAATATAGTGAATTTGCTCCAATATAGTTTCATTTTCTCTCCCCATTTTTGTGCTATTATTGTCATATATATTACCCTTATATATGTTATAAACCCCAAAATGCAGTGTTTTAATTATTGCTTTATACAGTCTTATGTCATCTCAAGAAATGAAAAGGAGAAAAGAAAAATACATATTTATCAGTATTTTATAGTTACTGAAATATTTACTATTTACAATGTACTTCATTTCTTTCTGCAGATTTGAATCATCTTCTGGTGTCATTTTCTTTCAGGCTGAAGGACTTGCTTTAGATTTCTTGTAAGACAGATCAACTAGCGATGAATTATCTCTGTCTTTGTCTGGAAATGTCTTTATTTTGCTTTCATTTTTGAAAGACAGTTAAACTGGATATGGAATTCTGGGTCATAAGGGCTCCTCCCAGCCCCCAGCATTTTAGAGTTGCTGTTCAATTGTCTTCTGGTTCCATTGTTTCTCATTAAAAGTCAGCCAACTTCGTATTGTGGTGTCCCTATATGTATATGTTCTTTTTCTAGCTGTTTTTAAGATTTTCTCTTTTTCTCTGATTTTTGGCAGTTTTAATATTATGTGCCTGAATGTAGATTTCTTTGTATTTCTCTTATTTGGGGTTTGTGGACATTCTTTTTCTTTTTTCTTTTCTTTTCTTTCTTTCTTTCTTTTTTTAATTGAGGCAGGATCTTGCTCTGTCACCCAGGCTAGAGAGCAATGGCATGATCACAGCTCACTGCATCCTCAATCTCCTGGGCTCAAGCAATCCTCCCACCTCAGCCTCCCAAGGAACTGGGACCACAGGTGCTTGCCATCATGCCCAGCTAATTTGTAAAAAATTTTTTGTAGAGATGGGGTCTCACCCAGGCTGGTCTCAAACTCCTGGGCTCAAGTGATCCTCTCATCTCAGCCTCCCAAAGTGTTAGGATTACAGGCATGAGCCACCATAACTGGCCCATTCTTTTTAATTGACAGATAAATTTGTATTTCATGGAACTTCTTGCAACTGTAATCTAACTGGAGTTTTTTGTTGTTGGTTGGTTGTTTGTTTCCCTTTGTTTTTTTTTTACTAAATTTGAGGGATTTCTAGCCATTATTTCTTCAAAATTTTTTCTACTTTGCTTTTTCTCTACCTTTCTTCTTGGAGTTTAATTACATATATGTTAGATCACTTAATATTGTTCCAAAAAGCACTAAGCCTTTGTTCACTAATTTTTTAGGTAATTCTCTACATGTTATTCAAGTTGGATAATTTGTATTGATCTATCTTTAGGCTCACTGACTCATTTTTCTATTGTCTTCCATCTGTTGATAAACCTATCCAGTGAGATTTTTATTTTATTTTGGTTATTGTGCTTCTTAATTCTACAATTATTTGTTTTTTATCATTTTAATTCTACCAGTACGATTCCCCATCTGAAGTCCCCGAGCACACTTATAATGGCTGCTTTAAAGACCTTATCTGCTTATTCTAAATATTTGTTATCTTGGGATTTGCTCCTTTTGGCTACTTTTTTTCTTCACCATGGGTCATACTTTCCTGGGTTTTCATACATCTGATAGTGTTTTATTTGTGTGGTGAACATTATAAATAACATTTTATTAAGACCCTTGATTCAGCTATATTTCTCTAAGGAATGTTGATATATTTTCTACCAGGTTTTAAATTTTTTGGAATCTAACTCCAAATTTTGCCTCACATGCAGTGGCCAACAGTTGAAATCTCTGCCAAGTTCTTTGAGCTACCAGCTTGTCTCTCTTCTGGGTCCTCTGGAGTCTCTCCCCCATGTTTATTGTTCAATGGTCAGCCAAGTGGTTGGGAAGAGCCTACATGCAGATTCTGGGCTTGTCCTCTCTGAAGCTCCCTTCTTTCATGGATTTCACTTTCTACTCCCTTTCCCTCATTTGTCAGCCACTCTGCCATAGCTGACTTCTGTCTTCTGAACCCTAAAGCAAAAAGACTGGCTTTTTGCCACCCTTCACTATGAGGATTTGGAGTGTCCTGAAGAAAAAAAAGATACAAATATTCTTAACTCAACCCGTGCAGTTTGTATGTTTCAGACCTCAACTTTCCTCCAGTTTCTGCCTCCTTTGGGCCACTCTCCAGTACCTTCAAATAGTTCTCTTTTATCAAAATATTTTATCCAGATTTTATATTGCTATCTATGGGAGGGTTAATATCATCAAGCTATTATTTCATTAATTGAAGCTGCAGCCATGATATTCTTTTTAAAGGGTTTTTTTTCTTTTACACATACTGCAACCTGAGGATAAAGAGCTTTTAAAAAAATGGAAAATATCCCCCTTTTAGACATACATGTAAAGAGAATAATGAACCCACATGTATCCATCAGCTAGCTTCAACAATTGTAAACTCATCACCAATCAATCACCTTTAAAATATGCCACATAAAACCTGGCCCTGTCCAGATTCAAATGGTATTTTGTTTCTTCCGCTTTTTTCTTCATTTGTTAGTTGGTATTACTCTAAATAGAACAATTTATCAATTCATCAACAATTTTATTGTCCTGAAATATAGTTTGTGCAGAAAAGACAAGATCAAAACCTTTATTCTTTCCCTTTCTTTTCCATTGTTTATCTGGCATTCAGAAGTGACTAATGATTAAATAGCAGACAGGTGCTTCACAAAAAAAATTAATAAAAAATTTTAAAATGACTAGTGAGTTTTTTTTGCTTTTTAATATTATTACGAAATTATGGATTTTAACATAGTTGATTTGTTTTATTCCACTGATATTATACTTTTGAATCTTAAACTCTCCCATTTTAGGCCCATGGCAGCCCCTCCAAGTTGGCTTCTGTCTCCTTTTAAAATAGTCAGAGTAGTCTTTGATAACGTTCTTTCTTTCTAGTATAAGATACTCAGGTTCATTGCATACATTTTCTTCACTAGACCTGAAATCAGCCACTTCTCCAAAGACCTCTGATTGCTTTTAGTGGGAAATGGTGTTTACAAACCACAACTTGGGTGTCAGGAGTTTTTGGGGTTTTGTTTGTTTGTTTGTTTCGTTTTGTTTTGTTTTGACGGAGTCTTGCCCTGTCACCCAGGCTGGAATGCAATGGCGTGATCTTGGCTCACTGCAACCTCTGCCTCCCAGGTTCAAGCGATTCTCCTGCCTCAGTCTCCCAAGTAACTGGGATTACAGATGCCCGCCACCACGCCCAGCTAATTTTTTGTGTTTTTAGTAGAGATGGGGTTTCACTATGTTGGCCAGACTGGTCTCAAACTCCTGACCTTGTGATCCGCCTGCTTTGGCCTCCTAAAGTGCTGGGATTACAGGAGTGAGCCACCGCACCCAGCCTAGTGTCAGTTTTTGTTGCTATTAAGTTGGTCATTTCAAGAAACAGAGTTAGAAAATCTCTTTTAAAAGAAAAAAAATGAGTCTATATTAAAATTTCCAAATCAAATTTAAGATTACAGATTTTTACTTGTTATTTTATATTTCTCTTTCTCCAATGCTGAAACATCTTCATTTCTATGCCATTAGCACAATTAATTATTTTCTTTACACTTGTACTTTGGGTTGCACTAGAAGCAGATTCTGAAATAAGGATTCAAGTGTGAGTAGTTTGGTTGAGAGGTGATCACAGCAAACACTGTAGGAGTGAGAAAGAAACAGAAAAGTGAGGCAGTGAGGAAGAAAATAGAGAAGGGAAAAAAGCCTACAAAAAGTACTTTCTATAGCAAGTTACTCATGTGAGCCATGGGGCTCAACTTTCTGGTAATTCTGGGACAGTGTACACCACACTTGAGTTATTCCACATAAGGGTAACGAGAATATTTATCCACCAACTCTCCATCAATCATTGCTTGAGAGCTGCTTCAGGGAACATGAACTTCTCCGCAATTTCATTTTTCTCCATGAATGAATTCCTTATTCGCTTACGACCAGGAAAGGGCCCTCAGGCAGAAAGTGTCAGACATCCTCAATAAGCAGTTCTGTGTCTAGAGATGAGTGTTGAGTAGACATGAGCAGTACACCAACAGCTTCTGCCGCTCAGATCCATACCTGCCCCATGGCAAGTCCACTCTGTTTTGTCACTGAATCCTCAAGGTAGTGGCCAATCACAATACATAAAAAGTTTACTACAAGGTAATTACTAGAGCAAGCTATTATCCCCACTTCTCTTAATCTACAGGCTGTAATTCATATTAATCATCAACCTCCTCTAACTTCCTTTCTAGATTCTTCTCACTCTAAGCCAGCCGTTTGCCTGGTCTAGGTTGCTTACCTAGTGGAGTAATCCAAACCTTCCTTTCTCTTTATCATGTCAGGCCATATATGCTGTAGATGCTTGTCTCATCACTAAGCATGAACTATCAAGAAGCTTTTCAGCAAATCTGCATTCCAGATATATTCCTTCCTACTTCCATTAACTACTAACATTTCTATCTTGGGATACTCAGAGTCAATTACCCTGGCCAATATAGAAACTCCTATTACAGTGAAAATTTGTGTAGCCACAGCTTCAGATTTAGTGGGACCCTTGTTCTGTCCCTTAATAGAAGCATCCTCCATGCATGAATTAGGGCTTTTAATAACACAGAGCATAAAGTTGGAAATGGAAAGTACAACTTCCCACGTGGGTCACGGAATAAAGGTAAGATGGGCTGCTCCTACTTCTACCCTTTATTTCCCAGATCCTTATATTCTAGCTATAATACAAATACATAGACCATATAAAGTTTATTAATTCAAAGCATATACCTCAGGCCAGACAAGGGGGCTTACATTTGAAATCCCAGTGCTTTAGGGGGCCAAGGTTGGAGGATCACTTGAGCTTAGGAGTTCAAGACCAGCTTGGGCAACATAGGGAGACCCCGTCTCTGCAAAAAAAATTAAAAAATTAGCCGGGAGGCCAGGTGCGGTGGCTCATGCATGTAATCCCAGCACTTTGGGAGGCCAAGACGGGTGGATCACCTGAGGTCAGGAGTTCAAGACCAGCCTGACCAACATGGAGAAACCTCACCTCCACTAAAAATACAAAATTAGCTGGGCGTGGTAGCACATGCCTGTAATCCCAGCTACTAGGGAGGCTGAGGCAGGAGAATCACTTGAACCCAGGAGGCAGAGGTTGCGGTGAGCCAAGATCGCGCCATTGCACTCACCCTGGGTAACAAGAGTGAAACTCCATCTCCAAAAAAAAAAAAAAAAAAAAAAAATTAGCAAGACATGGTGATGCATGGCTCTGGTCCCAGCTGTTTGGCTTGCTGAGCTGGGAGGATCACTTGAGCCTGGGAGGTGGAGGCTGCAGTGAAATGTGATTATGCCACTGCAGCCATTGTCACTGGGTAACAGAGCAAGATCCTGTCTCAAAAACAAAAACAAAGAAACAAAGTATATACCTCATCATTAAGTACAATATCTCAACTCCCAGAGTGTCATTCCCAAGCTAGTGCCTTAGCTATGCTTTCCTACATTCTGTTAGGTCAGAAACGTTTTAATTACATGGTAGGACCACTTCGATCCAATGTGCTCATGTGTCCATTGGTCACATTTCTTTTCCCAGAATGTGGGTCCCTTGATCCAAGGTTGTTATATGTATCCTATATCAGTAAATCAGACCCTTTGTGCTCCTGGGTAGTAGTTTTGGCCAAGATACTGAAGTTAGCCAAGACCAACCCATTCCAGCAATATGTACAAATTCTAATAAAGAACATATTGCTGTCCCCTCCATGGGGAACGGTCTCATGTAATTAACCCTGAGCGATAATGCTGAAACACAACCAATAGAACCCTTAGAATCTTGGACAAAGCTATGACACACAGTAAGTGAAGTAGAAATTTCAGAACTTCCCATGAAAGATAGTGAAAGAAGATATCAAAAGGCTTAAAGGAGCAGTGGGCATGCTACAGTAAATATATAAAGCCAGAAAACCCACCAATTGACTATATCCTGTGGAAAACCCAAAGGACATTTTGTTTTCTGAATCAATAAAAAATGTATTAGTGAGAATAGCACCAGCATCAATTTTAATAAGCTTAATGTAGGCCAGGCACGGTGGCTCATGCCTGCAATCCCAGTACTTTAGCAGCCTGAGGCAGACGGATCATTTGAGGCCAGGATTTTGAGGCCAGCCTGGCTAACATGGTGAAACTCCATCTCTACTAAAAATACAAAAATTAGCCAAGAGTGGTGGCACTCACCTGTAATCTCAGCTACTCAGGGCACTGAGACACAAGAATCAATTGAACCCGGGAGGCAGAGGTTGCACTGAGCCAAGATCACACTACTGCACTCCAGCCTGGGCAACAGAGAGAGACTCTGTCTAAACAAAAAAACAAAAAACAAAACCAAACAAAACCACAACAATCTGTTTCCCTATCCTCAGGAATTCTGGAAGAAAGAAAAAGGAGAGAAAACTCAATGTGGTATCTCCTTGGTAGGCAAGGGCTACTGGTAAGAGATGCTCCTATACAACAGGGGTCAGTGAAAGCAATGCAGATAATAGGTTCCTAAATTGATACAGGCAGGAGCATGCATCTATCATAAACCAGATGGGTACAATTAATGTGAAGAATGGCAAAGGTGGGGTAGCAGTCACAGGTCTTGACCCACAGAGAGATCTGGAGACAGATGTGGTAAATCTAGGTGCAAAGCAGATAGGCAGCCAACAAGAGTATGCTTAATATATACAACCAGAAGAAATCAAAGATAGATTGTCAGGAGGCTGAAGTTCACCATCCCAATAAAGAGTCACAAGCATTTATCTGGTTTCTGTATCTGAACCAGTTTAAACATTATGCTTATTGATGAAAAGAGAGCCTGGGACCTCAGAAGGAAGGACTCTGCAACACAGTAACAAGTGTGCATGGTAATAATTGACCCCGTTTTTCTGTATATACTATGTGACCATATCCTAGGGAAAGGAAAAAGGGCAGTGAGTCTGAGTTGACATTGATACCTGGGGATCCAAGGCATCATCAATGGCCCCCATGTTAGAGTAGGGTCATATGAAAACCAGGTAATAAATGGAGAGCTCATGAGAAACCACTGGGTCCATGAACTCACCCAGTGGCTAGTTCCCAAGATCCCAATGTCCATTTGGGATGAACATACTTGCTAGTAGACACAACACCTGCTTTGGTTCCATGGCATATGAGGTAAGAGGTATCCTAGTGAGAAAGGCCAAGTGGAAGCCTCTGAAACTATCTGCTCTCCTGGCTAAGAAAGTAAATCAAAACTAAAATTACATTCCAGGAGGAACGATTGAGATTACTGAGATGAAGTGGTGGTCCCCATTAAATTTTATTTCACCAAACTGGCCCCAGCCAAAACTAGGTAGATCCTGTAGGATGACAGTGGACCAGATTCAATAAACTAGCAGCCCCAGTTATTTCTACTGTACCAGATGATGTATATTGTCTAGAGCACTTTAACATTGCCTCAGTACCTATGTTATTTAGCCATTGATCTGGCAAGTGCCTTCCTTCCCAGCCCTATCAGAAAGTTCAATTTTATTTGTAACGGCCAACCGTATGCCTTTTACTATCTTGCCCTAGAGCAATGTTAATTCTTCTGCCCACTATTACAATATATTATAATATAATATTCCACAGAACATCACACTGGTCTACTCTATTGTTGACATTGTGCTAAGCAGACTAGATGAGCAGGAAGTGGCAACTACATTGCAGGACTTGGTAAGGCATGTGCACTCCAGAGAAGACAGATAAACTCTATGAGCATTGAGACTTTCACTACGTTAGTAAAAAAGCAAGTGGTCGGAGACATACCGGGGCATCCTTCCAAAATAAAGGACAGATTATTATATTTCATACCTCCCATCGTGAAGACCGAAACAGAACATCCAGTATGACTCTGGCTTCTAGGAGCAGTATGTTTCACTTCTGGGAATACAGCTGTAACCTGACCATATTTCAGGTGGCATAAATGGCTGTCAGTTTTGAATAAGACTCAGCAGGAAATGTTCTGCAGCAGGTCTGGGTCATGGTATAAGTAGCTCTGCCACTTGGGCCACATGATCTGGTAGGTCTTAGAATATACTTCTAATGGTGGTGGGAAAAGATGCCATGTAAAGTTTATAGCAAATTTTATTGCTTGAATCATAGCACAGGTTCCTAGGATTCTGGAGCAATTCTATGCCACCTACAATAAATTGTACACCTTTTGTCAAATAGCTCCCAGTGTGACACTGGGCTATGATAGAGATGATGTGCCCAACCATGGAACTCCAAGTGATCAATCAACCAGAAATGCCCATCATAATTTAGTTTTTGTCATATCCACAGGGTGAGTGAGCCCAGCATCAATCCATCATAAGATGGAAGTGGGATGTTCCTGACTGAGCATGAACAGAGCTGGGGGAAACAAGAAAGCTGCGTTAGCGGGTAGCCCAGAGCTCCATGTCATCTACCACCATTCCATCAGTGCCTCTCCCTTAGTTTACACCTGAGTGTGCATGGGGATTCTCTTATGATCAGATATTGGGAGAGGAACATATTGATGTTTGTTCCTAGATAGGTTGACTCAATGTGTGGGTACAAGGCAAAATTGGCCTGACAGTGTAGTATGGTCTCACTCAAGCCTGGTCTTAAAAGATGGGAGTGAGGAGAAGTCCTCCTAAAGAAGAGAGCTTAGGGCAGTGGACCTTATCATCAGTTTGTGGGGAACTGAAGTTAAAATATATTCAGATTCATAGACAGTGGTAAATGGTTTGGTCCATCGGTCAGGGACCTCGAAGGTAAAAGACTGGAAGATTAGGACAATGAGCTCTGTAGTAGAGGCCTGTGAATGAGCCTATGGGAATGTGAACAAAGTGTAAAGATCTTTGTAAGACATGTCAATACCTGCCAGGGAGTATCCATCATGGACGAGGCACCAGGCCATCCACGAAACTGAAAACTTGGCTTAATAGGCAGGAATGAGCCATGTTCATCTCCGCTGTGCCTTTTAACTTGTTTTCCATTATCATCTGCCTCTGGATTCCTCAGATCCAGTATTTTTTCCTACGGCTTTGAACGGAAGCTTGGGATTGAGTTTGGGACAAAAATGTGTCTCAGGAGGGTTGCATAGACCCCTTATCATAAGCCAAATGCTAAGGTGCGACTGTGGAACTGAGTCCTCCTCCAACAAGGGAGAGAAAAGGATGTCTTGTGACATGCCCAGATAACTGGAGACTGTAGTTATGTTTTCTAGGATTTGGGTGCATGGAGCTTGGCTTTGGTTAGCTCCCTTGGTCTTACTTTCCCAAAAAGGAAACCTCTGAGTGATGGGCATCCTATTTATTCCCATCACCTGGCAGGATTTGCAGGATAATTGCTCAAAACTACAATATTGATCTAGATTTTTACATTACCCATCCCCTTCTTCTTTCTGAACTGCAGCCGGAGATTGCTGGTTGGTTCACAGGAAAAAGCAGGATTAGTCTACAATGCAGGCGAAAACTTAAAAACATTTAGTAACTTTAGAATTTAAAGACAAATGTATGATAAGTTTTGGAACATAATTTCTCTTTCTCCAGTCCTCATGTTTGTTAAGAAACAAATGATCATAGGACTGAGTGGTTTGCAAAATAGACTTTAGTTCTATATGTAGCCTGATTATTTGCATAAAGTGCAGCAAGAATAACTATTTCTACATAGGCCTTTTGGATTGGCTTTGATAGAAGTCTGTTCCACAAGGAATCTCAGATAAAACCTTTTAAAGCCGAGCCCAGCCATGGGTTTCTATCCTCAAATACCTGCAAGTTGGCTGATCCTCTCCTCTTAAAGTCCCAAGATAAGCTTGGAGCTCTGGGACCTGTTAGAAAGTGACACTCTTTTTTTTTTTTTTTTTTTTTTGAGATGGAGTCTTGTTCTGTCACCAGTCTGGGAGTGCAGTGGTGCGATCTCACCTCACTGCAACCTTCACCTCCCGGGTTCAAGCGATTCTGCTGCCTCAGCCTCCAGAGTAGCTGGGATTACAGGTGCATGCCACCATGCCTAGCTAATTTTTGTATTTTTAGTAGAGTTGGGGTTTCACCCTGTTGGCCAGGATGGTCTCAATCTCTTGACCTCGTGATCCAACCGCCTCAGCCTCCCAAAGTGCTGGGATTACAGGTGTGAGCAACTGTGCCCAGCCAGAAAGTGACATTCTTTACTGACCACAGGTCAGGAACCCTGTACAGGGACTGTGTAGATGAGGGTATGAAGCCGGTTTCCCCACTGGGCTTCTATTGGCTCTACAAATCAAGCTTAACTCCTTAAAGGGAAGCATACCTTTCCAGTCAAATCTTTGGTAAAATAACCATTTTTTCCAATTGTGTCCTATTGCAAAAGAAAAATGGATTCTTATTGGACTGATGCAAACAACTATATTGCCATAAGTTAAGAATACTCACAGACACTTTCCAAATTCTAGGGGAACCGGGCAGAGAGAAACAAAGATGCTCCAAATTTTGATTACAGGAGTATACCTTGCTTAATTATTAAAGGCTGTAAATAGTTCAAAATACGTTTCCTTGGCTCTGAGAAACAAAACAAGGATCAGCAATATTCCAATCAAATGTCAAAAAGATTGCTTCAGCTTTCTGAGTTCAGTCCATTTAGTCAATTCTTGTTTTGCTTGATATTTGTGAACATTTCAGCTCTTCCTAAGTCCTGTACTTTTTCTTTATCCCTATGTCACAATCTCCAAAGTTATCAGAAATCTGTATTTGAGAGCACCTGTCAGAGTCCTATAGCTTATTATAAACCATCTTTTGAAAAGGATTAAAACAAGACAATTGTCTGTGAATAACAAAGTGTCCTGGGTAGTTACAGTTAGAAACACAATTGACAAAGAAGTTTGGTTTTCTCTGTGGTTTACAATAACTTAACAACCTTAATTATGATTGATAGCATATACTCAGACACAAGAATTTTAGAAATCCCATATAATGTTGGAACATATATTAGCATTCACCAAAATGCAACCTGAAGAAGACTGAACATCATTTTGGCAATCCCATGTACCTAAACATGTCAAATAATACTGTTTACCTCTTTTCTGGATGTTTCAGGGGCTCTCTGAACCATCCAAAAAGCCAGGCATCAGGAAAGACAATTTTGAAACAGAAGTTTGATTTTGGGAAGGCTGTTAAATATGTTCAAAGTTTAAAACACTTGATATTGGTCAGGCCTGGTGGCTCACACCTGTAATCTCAGCACTTTGGGAGGCAAGGCAGGCGGATCACAAGGTCAAGAGATCAAAACCATCCTGGCCAACATGGTGAAACCCCATCTCTACTAAAAATACAAAAATTAGCTGGGCGTGGTGGCACACGCCTGTAGTCCCAGCTATTCAGGAGGCTGAGGCAGGGGAATCACTTGAACCCAGGAGGCGGAGGTTACAGTGAGCAAAGATTGTGCCACTGCACTCCAGCCTGGCAACAGAGTGAGACGCCATCAAAAAAATAAATAAATAAAAACTTGATATTATGAAATAGAATTCCAGATTACCATAAACTATTTATTTTGCCAAAATGATGACTCCAAAATTTTAAAGAAGCAAAAACCTTCTATAATCCTTTACAAACTTTGCCGAAGAGCAGATTAGTGCCTTAAGAATACCTCGTTGTGCTTTTATTTCAATGCTCCACTTACAGAAATACCATATAATACCTTTTGAACTTAGTCAATACGTTCACACAGAGAACTCCTTTGCAAGATTAATTTCCACAATCCTTCCACCACTTGTTTGAACCTTCAGCTTTATCTTAACTAATTTAAAACAATTCTTTAACCCTAGGCAAAAATTTCCATTTCCATGCCTTCTTACAACCTTTTGCTGAAAAACACATTTTATTGTTCTTACACACCTTGCATGTAAATCTATTTCCAGTAGTCTCAATTACATGTTACAATGGTAACTCCTAGCAATTTTTAATTTTAATGTAAAACCTGGTACATTGTTTTAATTTTGTGCTAGGTGCAGACAAGGTTTGCCTTCTTAATTAACGGTGTGGTTAGTTCCATATGTCCCCAGGCCTTATCAGTTGTGAAGCCAGTAAATCAAATAGTTGTCAAAACCCAAAAAGCAGTTTATCACCTTAAAACATTTAGTAAACCTTGCATCCAACCTGCATAATCTAGTTCACCTATTTACATTTTAATGACATCTGCATTTTACCAGTAATCTTTAAGGCTGTTTTTATTTCTCAAAGATTAGTCACATGAACTGAAAGGTACTACATATTTTATCTTCTCTTTAAAAAAATATTGGATCCAAGCGTTTGTTTTTCTTTAGGCCAAATTAATTATAGCTCTTTTTACAGACATCACACACAAACACACACACACGCACATACACACACACACACAACGACAGGCAGGAGAAAACCCAGTCGCTGGGTGGAGCCCTTTAAGAAACAGGGCCAGAAAGGAACTTTTTCCTTAAGGCAGGATTGCTAAACAAAGCCTTGCCCCCAGAGTTACAAGCCATGCCCTCAGGATGTAAAACAAGATGGAGGCTTGCAGGGAAGTTTGCTATGAGCCATATAGACATGCAAAACACACCAGATCGGCTATAGCTTAAGACCAGCCCCGCAAATCCTTTTTCGCAATTAAAGCTTTACAGAGAATATAAACAGTGATAGTTCCAGGGGCTGGCCTAGTAAAATGTCTTCTAAAAGGGGGGAAAAAAAACTTGCTTAAAAGTTAACTGCTGGTGGGGTGGAGAAAAGGAAAGAAAAAATGTTTAAAAATGCCTGCAGAAGAACCTCTTATTCTTATGCAAGTCCACCAGGGAGACAAGTTTAATTGTTGTGGGTCAGAGCGGGCTTCCCTGGTCCAGGGATGGAGAGACTCCATGGGCACGTGGCAGAATATGCCAGCTAGCTGCCTGGGGCACCTTGGGCCCTGTGTCCCAGCCCCGGCAGGGAGGGAAGGGTGGAAGGGAGCCACTGCTTGCTGGTCTGTCCTGAAAAAGGGAGGAAAAGGTCATGGAAACCAAGGCCGATCTTACCAACCCCTGGGAGCAACAGAGGTGGAGGCATGGTTTCCCATGAGCTCAGAAGTCTGTGGATGAAGAGGCGTAGAAATGACAGCGAGAGGATTGAGTCTCCATTTCACTCACCACTTCTCCAGCCCCCATGTTGCATGCCAAAAATGTTGCAGGACTTTTCCTTAGTTCAGCTAAAAATGGGGTCCTTGTCACACAGCCACAAAGATTTAGACTTGCAGATGATTTGACGGGTGAGTAAGGCAGGGTTTTATTGGGTGAAAAGGGACAAAGGGAAACAGGAACCCTCCACAAAGCCAGAGTCCCTGCTGGTGTGCTTCCCACCTCACAGTTTGAATCTCAGTTTCCACACAGGAAGAGGAAGAGCTAGGCTCCTCCTTGCTGTGGGCTCCACCTCAGTGTGCAGTCCTCCCAGTGTGCAGGTTGGTTGGAGGTTTTACCAGGGAGCCCTTCCCACCTGGCTGTCTCAGCCCTGTCTAACAATGTTATAATTTTGTATTTCAGCAGTCATACATATTTTAAAGAACTTAAGATGAAAGTAATTTATTATATTTGACAAGATATTTCCCATTTTGGATGCTCTCCTTCATTTTAACGTTCCAGATTCCCCTTTGTCATCATTTCCCTTCTGCCTGAGTAACTTATTTTAGCATTTCTTTTAAAGAAGGTCTACTGGAGATGAATTCTTGTGATTTTTCCTTCACTGAGAATGTCTTTATTTTTCCTTCTGGATGAGTATTTTCAATAGATATAAAATTCTGGGTTGACAGTTGTTTTTACTTGGCACTTCAAAAATGTTGTTCCACTGTTTTATGGTACTCCAATGACATAAATATTACATCTTTGCATATTGTACCATAAGTCTCCAAGGCTATGTTTCTTTTGCTTCTATTTGTCTTTCTCTGTGTTCAGATTTAAGAATTTCTGTTGCTTTATTGTCAAGTTCACTCTTTCCTTTGTCATCTCCATTATGCTATTGAGCCACTCTAGTGACTTTTTTATTTAATTACTGAATTTTTCAGTTCTAAAATTGTATTTTAAAAAATGCTTCTATTTCTTTGCCAAGAACCCTATATTTCCATTTGTTTCAATATTATTCAGTCTTTCTTCTTGAAATATATCTGTAATAACTGCTGTTGAGTCTGTGTGATAATTTTAACATGTGGGTCATCTTGGGGTTGACATCTTTTGATTGCCCTCTCCATTGATAGCTGTTCATGTTTTTCTTATTCTTAGTAGGTTGAGTAATTTTGTGTTGTATTCTGAACATTTTGAATACTATGTTGTAAGATACTGGGTCATCTTATAACCTTTTCATTTGTTGGTTTGTTTGTTTTAGCAGGCAGTCAATCCAATGAGATACAGCCCATTTTTTTTGTTGGCTGTAGTTCCAATGTTAATTTTTTTTCAAAGCTTTTGGCATGCATTTCTAATCTATCCTGCATGTGTGCCACCCTTGGATCAGTTTAGGATCTGGGCAGTGATATTATCAAAGAAAAACTAAGCTGGACACTAGTTAAAGTGATAAAGACAGATCTTAATCAGTAATAACTATTGCAAAAAAGAACAGACTCCAACAAGAGTTGAACTCAACTTCTATTTGTAAACAGCTAACTGGGCATTTTAAAGGGAGAATGAGGGAGGGGGCTAAGCAGGGACTCAGTAGAGTCAGAGAAAGCAAAAATTACAGAAAACAGTAAGGTACAGGGGTGGGGTTTAGTCCATGTGAAGCCCATCTAGGTTTGCTAACTGGTAGTTCCTTCTGGGAGCAGAATCTAATAGAAAAACATCATCCTAGATGGGAAAGCACTTGTTTAGAAAATTACAAAAACTGAATTGTAAAGGGAAATAGATGTATTTGACCATGTCAAAATTTAAGACATCTGTGGAATAATACCAGACAGAGCAACTTAAAGGAAATAATTTTTAAACACATAGTAAAAGAAACAATAAGGCAATTAAAATGGTACACTAGCAGATATCTACTTAACACAAAGGAAGGCAGTGATGGAAGAACAGGAAACACACACACACAACCTATAGAAACAGACAGCAAACTGGAAGAAGTTCTTTCTCATTGGTAATTATATTAAATTAAAAGTAAAAGCAGAGATTGGCAAAATGGATAAAATACATGATCCAACTATAATTAAGTATAAGAGACTGGTTTTAGATTCAAAGACACAAATAGGTTGAAAATAAAGGAATGGAAGAAGATATGCTTTGCAAACAGCAACCAAAACAAAGATGAAGTAACTATACTAATATCAAACAAAATAGATTTTGAGACAAAAATTATTACTAGTGACAAATAAGGACATTATATAGTGATAAAAGGGTAAGTTCATCAAGAAGATAAATACATATGCATCTAACTGTGGAGCACCAAAATATATGAAGCAAAAACTGACAGAATTAAAAAGAGAAAGAAATAATTCAACAGTCATAGTTGGAGGCTTTAATATTGCATTTTAGCAAAAGATAGAACAGCTAGACAGAAGATCAGCAAGGAAATAGAAGACTTGAAAAACACAATAAAAACCGACTACACCTAATAGACCTCTATAGAATACGTCATCCAACAAGAGCAGAATATGCATTCTTCTCAAGTGCACATGGAACATTCCCCAAGATAGAACATATGTTAGAACAAATCTCAATACATTCTTTAAAAATTGAAGTAATATAAGATATGTTATCTGACAATAATAAGATGAAATTAGAAATAAATAATGGAAGAAAATTTGGAAATTAAACAAAACATTGCTAAATGACTAATGGATAAAAGAAATTTAGAAAACATTTTGAGATGAATGAAGACAAAAACTCAACATACCAAAATTTATGGAATGCAGCAAAAGAATTGCCCAGAGGGAAATTTGTAGCCATAAACACCTACATTTTTAGAAAAGAAAATGTACAAATCAATAACCTAACCTTCTACCTTAGGAAACTGGAAAAAGGACACACTAAACCCAACACAAACAAAAGAAAGAAAATAATAAAGGTTAAGGCATAAATAAATAAAGGATAATTTTAAGATCAAAAAAGAAGGTCAATGAAATGAAAAGTTGGTTCTTTGAAAAGAAAACAAAATTGACAAAACTTTAGCTAAGCTGAGCAAGGAAAAAGAGGGAAAGACACAAATTACTGAAATCAGGAAAGAAAGGGGGAGCATTACTACCAACCTTACAGAAATAAAAAGAATTACAAAAGAATATTATGGTGAATGAAATGGACAATTCTATGCCAACAATAGATATCATAGATGAAAAGGACAAATTCCTAGAAAGACACAAACTACTAAAACTGACTCAAGAGCAATAGAAAAATATTAATAAATCTATATCAAAGAAGTACAGAGATTAAATTAGCAATAAAGCCACTTCCCACAAGGAAAAACCCAAAACCAGATTGCTTCATTGGTAACTTCTACCAAAGTTTAAATAACAATTAACACCAATTCTTCACATACTCTTCCAAAAAACACAAGAGGAGGGAACACTCCCACTCATTCTATGAGGTTAGAATTACCCTGATACCAAACTTAAACAAGGACGTCACAAGAAAAGGAAATTACAGACCAATATTTCTTATGAATAAAGGTGAAGAAATTCTCAACAAAATACTAATAAACCAAAAACAGCAGCTTATAAATAGAATTATTATGCCATACCCAGGTGAGATTCATCCAAGGGATGCAAGATTGGTTCAACAAACAAAAAACAATTATTGTGCCACCGTATTAATAAAATAAAGGAAAAAATCCCATTAATCATCTCAATTGATATATTAGAAAAAAAACTTTAGACAAAATCTAACACCCTTTTATTGTCAAAAAGCAAAAACAAAAAAAAGAACTGGACAGACTAGGAATAGAAAGGAACTTCCTCAACCTGATAAGGGGCACCAGTGAAAAATTCACAGCTAACATTGACAGGTGAAGCTGGCTGGGCTTCTGGGTCAGGTAGGGACTTGGAGAACTTTTCTGTCTCGCTAAAGGATTGTAAACACACCAATTAGCACTCTGTGTCTGGCTAAAGATTTGTAAATGCACCAATCAGCACTCTGTAAAAACGCACCAATCAGCGCTCTGTGTCTAGCTAAAGCTTTGTAAACGCACCAATCAGCACTGTGTACAAACGCACCAATCAGCGCTCTGTGCCTAGCTAAAGGTTTGTAAACACGTCAATCAGCACTCTGTAAAAACGGACCAATCAGCACTCTGTAAAATGGACCAATCAGTGCTCTGTAAAATTGACCAATCAGCAGGACATTGGTGGGGCCAAATAAGGGAATAAAAGCTGGCCATGTGAGCCAGCAGCGGCAACCCGCTTGGGTCCCCTTTCACACTGTGGAAGCTTTTTTCTTTTGCTTTTCATAATAACTCTTGCTGCTGCTCACTCTTTGGGTCCACACTACCTTTATGAGCTGTAACACTCACTGCAAAGGTCTGCAGCTTCACTCCTAAAGTCAGTCAGACCATGAACCCACCAGGAGGAACAAACAACTCCAGCCACCTTTAAGAGCTGTAACACTCACTGTGAAGGTCTGTGGCTTCACTCCTGAAGTTAAGCAAGACCATGAACCCACTGGAAGGAAGAAACTCCGGACACATCTGAACATCTGAAGCAACAAACTCTGGAAACACCATCTTTAAGAACTGTAACACTCATCGCAAGGGTCTGCAGCTTCATTCTTGAAGTCAGCTAAGACCAAGAACCCACCGGGAGGAACCAATTCTGGACACATTTTGGCACCCAACGTGGGGCTATCATCTATCACCAAATGGTGAGTACCATCAGACCCGTTTCGCTTGTTATTCTGTCCTATTTTTCCTTAGAATTTGGGGGCTAAATACCGGGCACCTGTCGGCCAGCTAAAAGTGACTAGCATGGCTGCCAAACTAAAGACACGGGTGTCAGGCTTTCTGGGAAAGGGCTCTCTAACAACCCCCGACTCTTCGCAATTTGGAGCGTTGTTTGCCTGGAACCAGCTTCCACTTTTCCTGTACTTCTGGGCTGAGCTGAGGGTCAACAGACAGGAAAGCCATTCAGCTCCGGGGTTCCGACAATGAGTTGGCTGACTCTGCGGCCATAAGCAGAACTCTTAAACTCATGTTGCCCAAGTGAGACTTGCCCATCTATCCTATCTATGATGACCCTTGCCTCCTGGGTCCTAATGCTTGTCAGATAAACTTCCTCTCGCCTCTCTTCTCTGAAGCTAGTCCCACTTCTAAAAACCACTCCCTGTCTCTGGTGCTTTTCTAGTTTCTCCTATAAGAATGATTTCTAGTATAAACTCCAGGACTCTGTTACCTTCTTTAGGCACCCAGGCTCACCAATCAGAAAGACATAATTTTTGCCCAAAGCTCCACTGGGGCAGGGGACTATCTTATCTGGAATTTTAGGATCCCTCCTCAGACTAGCAGGCCTAACAAAAGCTATTCCAGAAGCTAGGATATGGGGAGCTTCAGAAATTATAGCCTTCCTATTCATATAAGTGAGGACAAAAATGCATCACTCTTCCAACTCTGGAGATCCCTCACCTCCCTCAGGGTATGGCC
The DNA here is from genome assembly GCF_000001405.40 of Homo sapiens. Taxonomy (NCBI): domain Eukaryota; kingdom Metazoa; phylum Chordata; class Mammalia; order Primates; family Hominidae; genus Homo; species Homo sapiens. Next base: position 51,851,435 of record NC_000003.12, read on the forward strand.
CTCCACTTCATTTTGGGGGCATAACATCTTTATAGGACGTGGGTAAAGTCCCAATACTAACAGGAGAACACTTAGGACTCTAACAGGTTTTCGAGAATGTGTCAGTAAGAGCCACTAAATCCATTTTTTCTCAGTCCTCTTTGTGGTCTAGGAAGACAGGCAAGGGTGCAGGTTTTTGAGAATGTGTCAGTAAGTGCCACTAAATCCTATATTCCTCGGTCCTCCTTGCGTTTTGGGAGGAAAACTAGTGTTTCTGCTGCTGCATCAGTGAGCGCAACTCTTCCAATCAGCAGGGTCCAGGAACCGTTGCAGGTTCTTGGGCAAGAGGTATTTCTGCTGCTGCATCAGTGAGTGCAACTATTCTGATCAGCAGGGTCCAGGGACTGTTGCAGGTTCTTGGGCAGGGGGAGAAACAAACAAACCAAAACCACGGGTGGTTTTGCCTTTCAGATGGGAAACACTCAGGCATCAACAGTCTCACCCTTGAAATGCATCCTAAGCCATTGGGGCCAATTTGACCCACAAACCCTGAAAAAGAGGCGGCTCATTTTTTTTCTGCACTACAGCTTGGCCCCAGTATGCTCTCTCTTATGGGGAAAAGTGGCCACCCAAGGGAAGTATAAATTACAATACTATCCCGCAGCTTGACATTTTCTGTAAGAGGGAAGGCAAATGGAGTGAAATACCTTATGTCCAAGCTCTCTTTTAATTGAAGAGAATACACAACTATGCAACGCTTGCAATTTACATCCCACAAGAGGACCCCTCAGCTTACCCCCATATCCTAGCCTCCCTATAGCTCCCCTTCCTATTAATGATAAGCCTCCTCTAATCTCCCCCACCCAGAAGGAAACAAGCAAAGAAATCTCCAAAGGACCACAAAAACCCCTGGGCTATCAGTTATGTCCCCTTCAAGCTGGAGGGGGAGGGGAATTTGGCCCAACCTGGGTACATGTCCCCTTCTCCCTCTCTGATTTAAAGCAGATCAAGGTAGACCTGGGGAAGTTTTCAGATGATCCTGATAGGTACATAGATGTCCTACAGGGTCTAGGACAAAAGTTCGATCTCACTTGGAGAGATGTCATGCTATTGTTAGATCAAACCCTGACCTTTAATTAAAAGAATGCAGCATTAGCTGCAGCCTGAGAGTTTGGAGATACCTGGTATCTTAGTCAAGTAAATGACAGAATGACAGCTGAAGAAAGGAACAAATTCCCTACCAGTCAGCAAGCTGTCCCCAGTATGGATCCCCACTGGGACCTCAACTCAGATCATGGGGACTGGAGTTGTAAACATCTGTTGACCTGTGTTCTGGAAGGACTAAGGAGAATTAGGAAAAAGCCCATGAATTATTCAATGATGTCTACCATAACTCAGGGAAAGGAAGAAAATCCTGCCTTTCTTAAGCGGCTACAGGAGGCCTTAAGAAAATATACTCCCCTGTCACCCGACTCACTCGACGGTCAGTTGATTCTAAAAGATAAGTTTATTACCTAATCAGCTGCAGATATCAGGAGAAAGCTCCAGAAGGGAGCCCTGGGCCCTGAACAAAATCTGGAGGCATTATTAAACCTGGAAACCTCGGTGTTCTATAATAGGGACCAAGAGGAACAGGCCCAAAAGGAAAAGCGAGATCAGAGACAGGCCACAGCCTTAGTCATGGCCCTCAGACAAACAAACCTTGGTGGTTCAGAGAGGACAGAAAATGGAGCAGGCCAATCACCCAGTAGGGCTTGTTATCAGTGTGGTTTTCAAGGACACCTTAAAAAAGATTGTCCAATGAGAAACAAGCTGCCCCTCACCCACGTCCACTATGCCGAGGCAATCACTGGAAGGCACACTGCCTCAGAAGACAAAGGTTCTCTGGACTGGAAGCCCCCAACCAGATGATCCAATAACAGGACTGAGGGTACCTGGGGCAAGTGCCAGCTCATGTCATCACCCTCATGGAGCCCCAGGTATGTTTAACCATTGAGGGCCATGAAATTGACTTCCTCCTGGACACTGGTGCAGCCTTCTCAGTGTTAATCTCCTGTCCTGGACAACTGTCCTCAAGATCCATTACCATCCAAAGAATCCTTGAACAGCCTGTAAGCAGGTATTTCTCCTACCTTCTCAGTTGTAATTGGGAGACTTTGCTCTTTTCACGTGCCTTTCTTATTATGCCTGAAAGTCCCACACCCTTATTAAGGAGGGATATATTAGCCAAACTTGGAGCTATTATTTACATGAATATGGGGAGCAAGTTACCCATTTGTTGTCCCCTACTTGATGAGGGAATCAACCCTGAAGTCTGGGCATTGGAAGGAACAAACTCAAGCTCCAGCCTTAAGCCTTCCCACAGGAAAAAACTTCTCTTTATACATCACAGGGAGAGCAGGAATAGTTCTTGGAGTCCTTACTCAGATTCATGGGACAACCCCACATCAGTGGCATACCTAAGTAAGGAAATTGATGTAGTAGCAAAAGGCTGGCCTCACTGTTTACAGGTAGTTGTGGTGGTGGGAATCTTAGTGTCAGAGGCTATCAAAATAATACAAGGAAAGGATCTCACTGTCTGGACTACTCATGATGTAAATGGTTTACTAGATGCCAAAGGAAGTTTATGGCTATCAGACAGCCGCCTGCTTAGATACCAGGCGCTACTCCTTGAGGGACCGGTGCTTCAAATACACACATGTATGGCCCTCAACTCTGCCACTTTTTTCCCAGAGAATGGGGAAACCAATCAAGCATGACTGCCAACAAATTATAGTCCAGACTTATGCCGCCCAAGATGATCTCTTAGAAGTCCCCTTAGCTAATCCTGACCTTAACCTATATACCGATGGAAGTTTATTTATGAAGAATGGGATATGAAGGGCAGGTTATGCCATAGTTAGTGATGTAACCATACTTGAAAGTAAGCCTCCTCCCCCAGGGACCAGCACCCAGTTAGGAGAACTAGTGGCACTTACCCAAGACTTAGAACTGGGAAGGGGAAAAAGAATAAATGTGTATACAGATAGCAAGTATGCTTATCTAATCCTACATGCCCATGCTGCAATATGGAAAGAAAGGGGGTTCCTAACCTCTGGGGGAACCCCCATTAAATACCACAAGGAAACCATGGAATTATTGCATGCAGTGCAAAAACCCAAGGAGGTGACAGTCTTACACTGCCAAAGCCATCAAAAGGGGAAGGAGAGGGGAGAACAGCAGCATAAGTGGCTGGCAGAGGCAGGGAAAGACCAGCAGAAAGGAAAGAGAGAAAGAGACAGAAAGTCAGAGAGAGAGAGAGAGGAAGAGAGAGACAAAGAGGGAGTCAGGGAGAGAGAGAAAGAGAGACACAGAAAGTCAAAGAGAGAGAGGAAGAGACAGACAAAGACGGAGTCAGAAAGAGAGAGACAAAGAAGAAGTCAAAGAGAAAGAGAGATAGAAGTAGTAAAGAAAAAACAGTGTACCCTATTCCTTTAGAAGCCAGGGTAAATTTAAAACCTATAATTGATAATTGAAGGTCTTCTCTGTAACCCTATAACACTCCAATACCACCTTGTTGTCAGTGTAAACAAGGGTATAGCCTGAAAGCACTGAGGCCACTGACAACACGTAGGCTTCCTATCAAAAATCCTTAACCCAGCAGGTTTCCTAACAGGGGATCTAAATCTTAATTAATTACCATACAAAGGTCAGACCAGATCTAGGAGGAACTCCCTTCAGGACAGGACGATAGATGGTTCCTCCCAGGCAATTAAGGAAAAAAGACACAATGGGTATTCAGTAAATGATAAGGAAACTCGTGTAGAAGCAGAGTTAGGAAAATTGGCTAATAATTGGTCTGCTCAAATGTGTGAGCTCTTTGCACTCAGCCAAACCTCAAAGAACTTACAGAATCAGGAAGGAGCCATCTATACCAATTCTAAGTTAATATGGACTGAACAAAGTCTTATTAATAGCAAAGAATAATTGAAATCCCAAACTTACAAGGTTTTCAACAAAAGTAAAGTTTGCTAAAAGTTAACAGTGTAAACATATATCATCCTAACTTCTAATCTTGTGGAAATCAGACCCTATCAGTACCCCTCAAAGCTCAAGTCCATCAGCACAGAGCCATACAACTAATACCCCTACTTATAAGGTTAGGAATGGCTACTGCTACAGGAACCGGAAGAGCCAGTTTATCTATTTCATAATCCTACTACCACACATTCTCAAAGGATTTCTCAGACAGTTTGTAAGAAATAATGAAATCTATCCTTACTCTAAAATCCCAAATAGACTCTTTGGCAGCAGTGACTCTCCAAACTGCCAAGGCCTAGACCTCCTCACTGCTGAGAAAGAAGGACTCTGCACCTTCTTAGGAGAAGAGTGTTGTTTTTACACTAACCAGTCAGGGAGAGTACAAGATGCCACCCGGCATTTACAGGAAAAGGCTTCTGAAATCAGACAATGCCTTTCAAACTCTTATACCAACCTCTAGAGTTGGGCAACATGACCTCTTCCCTTTCTAGGTCCCATGGCAGCCATCTTGCTATTACTCGCCTTTGGGCCCTGTATTTTTAACCTCTTTGTCAAATTTGTTTCCTCTAGGATCGAGGCCATTGAGCTACAGATGGTCTTACAAATGGAACCCCAAATGAGCTCAACTAACAACTTCTACCAAGGACCCCTGGACCAACCTGCTGGCCCTTTCACTGGCCTAAAGTGTTCCCCTCTGGAGGACATTAAAACTGCAGGGCCCCTTCTTCACCCCTGTCCAGCAGGAAGCTGCTAGAATGGTCATTGCCCAATTCCCAACAGCAGTTGGGTTGTCCTGTTTAGAGGGGGGATTGAGAAGTGAAGCCAGCTGGGCTTCTGGGTCAGGCGGGGACTCAGAGAACTTTTCTGTCTAGCTAAAGGATTGAAAACACACCAATCAGCACTCTGTGTCTAGCTAAAGGTTTGTAAACGCACCAATCAGCACTCTGTAAAAACGCACCAATCAGCACTCTGTGTCTACCTAAAGGTTTGTAAATGCACCAATCAGTACTCTGTAAAAACGCACCAATCAGTGCTCTGTGTCTAGCTAAAGTTTGTAAACACATCAATCAGCACTCTGTAAAAAGGGACCAATCAGCACTCTGAAAAATGGACCAATCAGTGCTCTGTAAAAGGGACTAATCAGCAAGACATGGGCGGGGCCAAATAAGGGAATAAAAGCTGGCCACCCAAGCCAGCAGCGGCAACCTGCTCGGGTCCCCTTCCATGCTGTGGAAGCTTTGTTCTTTCGCTCTTTACAATAAATCTTGCTGCTGCTCACTCTTTGGGTCCACGCTACCTTTATGAGCTGTAACACTCACTGCAAAGGTCTGCAGCTTCACTCCTGAAGTCAGCAAGACCACAAACCCACCGGAAGGAACAAACAACTCTGGACACACCACCTTTAAGAGCTGCAACACTCACTGCGAAGGTCTGTGGCTTCACTCCTGAAGTCAAGTGAGACCACGAACCCACTGGAAGGAAGAAACTCTGGACACATCTGAACATCTGAAGGAACAAACTCCAGACACACCATCTTTAGGAACTGTAACACTCGCTGCGAGGGTCTGCAGCTTCATTCTTGAAGTGAGTGAGACCAAGAACCGACCAGAAGGAACCAATTCTGGACACAACATCATACTTACTGGTGAAGTACTGAAAGCTTCCTCCCTAAGAACAGGAGCAAGACAAAAATGTCTACTCACCACTTGTATTCAACATTGTACTGGAGATTCCAGCCAGAACACTTAATCGAGAAAATTAATAAAGACATACAGATTAGGAGAGAAGAAGTAAAACTCACTATTTGCAGATTACATGATTCAAGGTTGCAGGATATAAGATCAATAACAAATAATGGTTGTATTTGTATATCAGCAATGAAAAAGCCAAAAATGAAATTAAGAAAACAATATCATTTACAACAGCATCAAAAAAGTACAATACTTAGGAATAAATTTTACACAAAAAGAGCAAGATCTGTACACTGAAAACTCCAAAACATTGTTGAAAGAAGTTTAAGAAGACCTAGACAGCGGAGGCCTAGGTGGCAGACAGGGGGCCCGGGCCGCTGCGTGTTGTCCACCCAAGATGGAGTTCCTCCTGGGGAACCCGTTCAGCACACCAGTGGGGCAGTGCTTCGAAAATGCCACACAAACACAACCATGGGTATTTAGCTCTACTGAAACAGATGAGGGAAGTAAGGCTGACAGAGGAGCTCAAATCAGTTCTGATTTTTCTCTTCATAAAAGAATTTCCATTCTGCAGCATTCATTCAGGAAGCACTCATGAAGAGCCTACCAGGTGCCGGCCCTGGCCTGGGGCTGGGCTTAGAGCCGGGGCAGGATGGCCCAGCATCTGCTCCATGGAGCTCACAGCCCAGCCTAGGCTGGCAACTCCAGTCTGCCCCAGTTTCCAGTTCTGTCCATTCCCCTTGCAGCTCAGCATGGATGAAGCTTTGAAATCCAGCTCTCCCTCTCCCTCTCCCTCTCCCTCTCCCTCTCCCATCTCCCCACGGTCTCCCCCGTCTCCCCACGGTCTCCCTCTCCCTCTCCCGTCTCCCCACGGTCTCCCTCTCCCTCTGTTTCCACGGTCTCCCTCTCATGCCGAGCCGAAGCTGGACTGTACTGCTGCCATCTCGGCTCACTGCAACCTCCCTGCCTGATTCTCCTGCCTCAGCCTGCCGAGTGCCTGCGATTGTAGGCACGCGCTGCCACGCCTGACTGGTTTTCGTATTTTTTTTGGTGGAGACGGGGTTTCGCTGTGTTGGCCTGGCCGGTCTCCAGCTCCTAACCGTGAGTGATCCGCCAGCCTCGGCCTCCCGAGGTGCCGGGATTGCAGACGGAGTCTCGTTCACTCAGTGCTCAATGGTGCCCCGGCTGGAGTGCAGTGGCATGATCTCGGCTCGCTACAACCTCCACCTCCCAGCCGCCTGCCTTGGCCTCCCAAAGTGCCGAGATTGCATCCTCTGCCCGGCCGCCACCCCGTCTGGGAAGTGAGGAGCGTCTCTGCCTGGCCGCCCATCGTCTGGGATGTGAGGAGCCCCTCTGCCTGGCTGCCCAGTCTGGGAAGTGAGGAGCGTCTCCGTCCGGCCGCCATCCCATCTAGGAAGTGAGGAGTGCCTCTTCCCGGCCGCCATCCCATCTAGGAAGTGAAGAGCGTCTCTGCCCGGCCGCCCATCGTCTGAGATGTGGGGAGCGCCTCTGCCCCGCCGCCCCGTCTGGGATGTGAGGAGCGCCTCTGCCCGGCCGTGACCCCATCTGGGAGGTGAGGAGCGTCTCTGCCCAGCCACCCCTTCTGAGAAGTGAGGAGACCCTCTGCCTGGCAACCGCCCCGTCTGAGAAGAGAGGAGCCCCTCTGCCCAGCAGCCACCCCGTCTGAGAAGTGAGGAGCCTCTCCGCCCGGCAGCCACCCCATCTGGGAAGTGAGGAGCGTCTCCGCCCGGCAGCCACCCCGTCCGGGAGGGAGGTGTGGGGGTCTCCCCCCCGCCCGGCCAGCCGCCCCGTCCGGGAGGTGAGGGGCGCCTCTGCCCGGCCGCCCCTACTGGGAAGTGAGGAGCCCCTCTGCCCGGCCAGCTGCCCCATCCGGGAGGGAGGTGGGGGGGTCAGCCCCCCGCCTGGCCAGCCGCCCCGTCCGGGAGGTGAGGGGCGCCTCTGCCCGGCCGCCCCTACTGGGAAGTGAGGAGCCCCTCTGCCTGGCCACCACCCCGTCTGGGAGGTGTGCCCAACAGCTCATTGAGAATGGGCCATGATGACAATGGCGGTTTTGTGGAATAGAAAAGGGGGAAAGGTGGGGAAAAGATTGAGAAATCGGATGGTTGCCATGTCTGTGTAGAAAGAGGTAGACATGGGAGACTTTTCATTTTGTTCTATACTAAGAAAAATTCTTCTGCCTTGGGATCCTGTTGATCTGTGACCTTACCCCCAACCCTGTGCTCTCTGAAACATGTGCTGTGTCCACTCAGGGTTAAATGGATTAAGGGCGGTGCAAGATGTGCTTTGTTAAACAGATGCTTGAAGGCAGCATGCTCGTTAAGAGTCGTCACCACTCCCTAATCTCAAGTACCCAGGGACACAAACACTGCGGAAGGCCGCAGGGTCCTCTGCCTAGGAAAACCAGAGACCTTTGTTCACTTGTTTATCTGCTGACCTTCCCTCCACTATTGTCCTATGACCCTGCCAAATTCCCCTCTCCAAGAAACACCCAAGAATGATCAATAAAAAATAAATTAAAAAAAAAAAAAAAGAAGTTTAAGAAGACCTAAATAAAGACATCTGTGTCTGTAGGTTAGAAGACTTAATATTGCTAAAATGACAATATTCCCCAAATTGATCTACAGATTTAGCATAATCCCTATCAGAATTCAGCTGACTTCTTTTGCAGAAATTGACAAGCTGGTTCTAAAATTCATATGGAAAGTCAAGGGATTCAGAATAGCCAAAGCAATCTTGAAAAAGAAAAACAAAGTGGGAGGGCTCACACTTCCTGATTTCAAAACTTACTACGAAGCTACAGTAATCAAACTGGTTTGGTACAGGCACAAACACAGACATATAGGTCAGTGAAATAGAATAGAGAGTCTGAAAGAAACCCATATATCTATGGTCAATTTAGTTTTGACAAGGGTGCCAAGTCCATTCAATGGGAAAACAATTGTCTTTTTGACAAATTATGCCAGAACAACTCGACATCCACATGTAAAAGAATGAATTTGAACCTAGCCTCACTCCATACACAAAACTTAAAATGGATCAAAGATCTAAATGTAAGAGCTAAAGCTATAAAACTCTTAGAATTTTAAATCGGCCAGGTATGGTGGTTCACACCTGTAATCCCAGCACTTTGGGAAGCTGAGGTGGGAGAATCACTTGAGCCCAGGAGTTTGAGACCAGCCCAATCAACATAGTGAGACCCCATATCTTAATAAATACATACTTTAAAAAATAAAAGAACAAAAAAATGAAAAAAATAAATAGCCAGGCATGGTGGTGTGTGCCTGTAGTCCCAGCTACTCAGGAGGCTGAGGTGGGAGGATCACCTGAGTCCAGGAAGGTCAAGCCTGCAGTGAGCCAAAGTTGCACCACTGCACTCCAGCCTGGACAACAGAGTGACACCCTATCTCCAAAAAAGAAAAAGAGAGAAAGAAAATCATTTTCTCTTAGTGTTCAAATTTGTCACCATCAATATTTCCTTGTATTTATTTAAATTTCCCTGTGGCTATTTCACCTTTTTCATTCCACTTCATTCTCTTGATTACCCAGGTTGGTAAACTGTGTATCTTTAAAACTGGTCTTGTCAGAATACTGCCTTTTAAATTTATTTTCCACTACCCATCTTTGTTTTCTATGCATTAATTTAAGTTTTGATCTTTATTTGACTGCTTTCCAGATTCATCTGGTGTATCTTTTTCTAGTTTCCTAAGGCTTTGTGAGGCACCGAGTCAAGGGAAGAGAGGAAGTGCTAAATCTCACCAGACGCTAGAGAGTGATATGGGGATGCACCGTCATGGTCCTCCCTGCTTTGCCATGCTGATGATAATGAGAAGGGACTGTGGATGGACTTCACATGAGGAGAGCCCTGCTATGGAATGGCACTCAAGTGCTCTATTTTTCCACCCTCAGCTCTGACACATCTCTGACAGGAGGCAAGCAGACACATGGTACTGAGGAGAGAGGCCATTTCTCTTACTGTCTCCTGTCTCTGAAGAGAATGAGGAAGTAAAAGCTGAAGAACAACAGGAATGAAGTCAGTGGCAAGACCAACTGGTGCCACTGACCAGACCTGAGATTGAAAGATTAACCCTCCCCACCCCCAACTCTAACCACATGTGCTCTCAATCTATCACAACACTTTCACATGGACCCCTTAGAGTTGAAAGCCCTAAAAAGGGCCAGGTTTCACATGGACCCCTTAGAGTTGAAAGCCCTTTAAAGGGCCAGGAACTCTTTCTTTAGGGAGCTCGGTTCTTGAGATGCAAGTCGGCCAATGCTCCCGGGGGAATAAAGCCTCTTCCTTCTTTAACCCAGTGTCTGAGGGGTTTTGTCTGCAGCTCATCCTGCTACAGTACAAGTTCCCCTGGAGTTTGTTTCTGACAGAGACACATCTCTGTGGCAGATGTCCCAATCCCTATGTCATAATGCAATTGTGAATTCAGAGCTCTCTCCTCACTCACGTTACTCATGCCAGACCTTGGGAAGCAGAGAAATCAGGGCTAATGAACCATCTAAGGACAGGCCATGAGGGTTCGATTTTGTGTAAGAGACATGGCCAGATCTATTAGGTGGACCAGGAATGGGTGGGTATCTCCCTGGGCTTTACAGGACTTGAGAAAAGAGAGGATGTTAAAGTAGTAATTGTCTTTGTATAGAGCCATAGAGAGAAACAGTCTTAACTCATTTATGTACTTCCCATTTAATTCTGATGACAGACCAAAGGCAATTTAATTTTGGTTATAATTGAGGATGTTGAAGAAAGCATTGAATGGAAGACATTGCAGAAGAAGAAACAGCAGAAAATCAAGGTGAGAAGAATTCCATGTACTTAAGAGAAATCCAGAACATTTATAACTACATCATAAGGTGTAGGACTTTGCCTCTTATCAATCCAGGGTCTAATTAGGAGTCAACTCAATGTTGGCTCATTTTTCCTCCATTCTCTTCTCAGTCTGGGCTGTCTGGATCTGGGCCTGACTGAGATATTGAGAGTGATTGGAAAGAATGAAAGCCTTGGGAGGCCGAGACAGGCAGATCATGAGGTCAGGAGATTGAGACCATCCTGGCTAACACGGTGAAACCCCATCTCTACTAAAAATACAAAAAATTAGCCGGGTGTGGTGGTGAGTGCCTGTAGTCCCAGCTATGCTACTCAGGAGGCTGAGGCAGGAGAATGGGTGAACCCGAGAAGCGGAGCTTGCAGTGAGCCAAGATCACGCCACTGCACTCCAGCCTGGGCAACAGAGCGAGACTCCTTCTCAAAAAAAAAAAAAAAAAAAAGAATGAAAGCCATCAAGAAATGCATAAGGCTGAGAGGTGAGAATGTGAGAACTTGGAATTAGAGAGTAGACTGTTCAAAATATGGAAAGACTTGGAGTAGAATATGTGGTCAGGGTATTGAAAACCTACCATAGTATCAAAATATGGTCATAGCAGACAGAAATCAGCCAGTGGTGGTTTGGGGCTGGAATTAGCAGATAATTACCAGGCAGAAGGTTATGAGGCCTTTCCAAACCCAGTGAGCACCAAAGAGGTGAGTGTGACTAACAAGGTCCCACACATCCCTATTGCACCCTTCTAGTTACTAATGGTTTTTCCCTTGATCCATGCACTGCAGAAATAGTCTGCAGAAGAACTCTGTGACTCTAAGATTGAAGTGATGTGCCCACAGTGGCAGAGGAAGGTCACCACCAGGTCTGATGGCTCCTAGTCAGTGTCCTGCTAACTTCCCTGAATTCTGAGGAAGGGCTGTGTTTTGAGAGAGAAAATCCAGGCTCCTTCCAGGAAGATCCTAGAAGTTGGTGGCAGGAAGTTTTCTGACTGATCGCTCTTGTCTCTGCCTAGGAAAAACTTAGAATAAGAACAAAAGCAGCTGTAAAGATCCAGGCCTGGTGGCGGGGCACCCTGGTGCGCAGGACACTGCTGCATGCAGCCCTCAGGGCCTGGATAATTCAGTGCTGGTGGCGGATGACGCTGTCGAGGGTGCTGGAGAAGAAACGGCAGGCAGCTCTGATCGCCTACGCAACCAGAGAGAGGGCAGTGATCAAGCTCCAGTCTTTGGTCCGTATGTGGCGTGTCCGCTGGCGATACTGCCAGGTGCTCAATGCCATCTACATCATCCAGGGCCACTGGCAATGCCACAACTGCCAGACCTGCGCTCTCCTCCAGGGCCACTGTGTGGTCACAGCCACTCACCTGCAGTTCCACATTGAGATCATCAACTCCTAAGGGCTGGCAAGAAGGGCACTGTGTCTACTGTCCCTATTAAAGGTCTAACCTGGTCTGGTGTGTCTCATGGGCTCCCCCAGCTAATGGGATTCTTGAGACTTGGACCTTGCTGCCTCCTCTTCTCCCTGAGAAAGAATTTCAGTGAGGTTTGCCCCCTGTGTCCAAGGACCCTGTTTTGGACTGACAATGGCCATAGGAAGCCCCAGTCTGCTCTGATATATGACAGAGCCAGAAATCCCAGTTCCCATCCCCAGCCTTATTTTCTTCTCACCGGGGGATCTGGGAGGCAGTTGGGCTCCATCTTCCTGAAGATTCTGGGCACCTCTGCACATATGGATGGACTATTGGGCCCTGCTCTGTCAACCTAGAATCAAGGTCGGCTGGGGTTTGGGATGCCTCAGTTTCCTCTTTGGCAAGCACCTAGATGGAAAGGCAATATTTGGCTGATTCTCCTGGGAGCAATGTAGTGCAGCCCCAGGTGAAGGATAAGAGGCTGGCCTTACTGGTAGGTGGGGCTGGGGCTAGGCATGCTAATGATTAGGTGGTGACCCTAAGGACTAGTGGAAAACAGAAGTTTACAGAAGTTCATCTTTTCTCTACAATTTCCTCACTAGAACTCGTCTCCCCAAGGGCCAGGTGACAAACAGGGCTCCCTCTGATATTACCCCCACCCCTACTCTTATCTCAATTATTGGTGATTTTATCATTGGTCAAGATGACCCTACAATCTCCTCCATTCTAACCTCAAACCTTTTCTGCTCTTCTCCTCAGCTATTCACTCCCACAGTCATACCAAAACAATGCTATTCTATGGAACTTCTGTGATGATGGAAATCTCTCTCTATGCTGTCCAACATAGTAGCCACTAGCCACATATAGTTGTGGTGCACCTGAAATGTGCCTAGTGCAACTGAGGAGTTGAATTTTTTATTTTATTTAAATTTAAATAATCATTGGACAATGATGCTCTAGACCTCATCATCACCAATAATTGTACTATTGCTCAAATTGCTTTTTCTAATTTTCCATTCTTTGATTACTTTCTTCTTTCAGTTCACCTTTTCAATAACCCCAATATTTCTTCAGATATGATAAGGTCTTCCAGTTTATTGATGCTATCATTTTTTTACAGCCACCACCCCTGACATGCTCTTGCATGTTTCTTTACCTAGTGCAGATTCCATGGTTAATTATCATCTCTCCCCTGCACTACCTCACTTCCTTGGCCCACTTTCTTTCTGCAAACATGTATGAGATGAAGGCAACCGTCTCCCTGTTCCATGCCTACAGAATAAGGGAACATGGCTGGGACAAAACCAACAACCATGAGGCATGGTCTTCATTTATATTCATGACCACATATATCAACTGGACTAATTTCCCAATGAATTTATTTAGTATGTTTGCATTTATATTTTCCGAGTTGAATAATTTACACCACCTCCTCTCCAAATGTTTGTTATTTCGGTTGGAATAAATGGTGTCAGAAATGAAACCTGAAAAAGAACACTATTGGAAGGGATTGGCAATTCTTGGAACTGGTGTGCAGGACCCACTAGAGCCCTTTGAGCTCTCTGCTTCCAAGGCTTGCCTGTTCTTCCCTGGTGAGTCTTCTCTCAGGCTGAGCCTCTCTCTTTTTGGTATTATTTGATATTATTTGGGATCTGGTTTGGATCACGCAACCTTAATAAAGACCATACATCTCTCCTTGAATGATAAAAAGACTTTTTGCCTTTTCTGGTAAGTTCTTTCTTGTATAAAGATGTGTGTCTTTCTGAATTGAGTACTCTTAGTTTCTACAGAATTTACAGTCAGCCTGTGAGGCATGTCTTTTCTGGTTTGTGGAACTCATTTAATATTTTGATCAGGATGCATAGGTTACAATTTTTGCAAACACTCTTATACTGGTTTCTTTTGATTTGGCTTAACTCTTTAGTTTCTGAAAATCTTCTGAAAGCAAAAACAAACATTCTGGATGGTGGGTGCAGGATGGCTAATTAAAAGCCACTAGGGCAGTCCCCACCATCTAAAGCACCAGCCTAAACTCCTGAAGTTCCCTAACAGGATTTATAGAATTTTCTTTGCTCTTGAGAGATTAATAAGAAACAGAGTGGAATTCTCAAACATTAAGGCATACCAGGTTTTCTGGGACTCCAGCTGGCCGCATATTACAGCCCACTCTTGTGAACATTTTAAAATTGATGAGCAAAATTATTTATTTTTATTTTTACTTTTTATTTTTGAGACAGTTTTGCTCTGTCACCCAGGCTGGAGTGCTGCGGCACCATCTCAGCTGACTGCAACCTCCACCTCTTGGGCTCAAGTGATCCTCCCCCCTCAGCCTCCCAAGTAGCTGGGACTACAGGCATGTGCCACTGCACCTGACTAATTTTTGTATTTTTGTAGAAATGGGGTTTCACCATGTTGGCCAGGCTGCTCTCGAACTCCTGGCCTCAAGTGATCCTCCTGCCACAGCCTCCCAAAGTGCTAGAATTACAGGCAGGAGCCACCACACCTGGCATCTGATGAGCAAAATTAAATCAGCAAAAATTCAGAACTGAAATGATAAATATTCTAAAAGCCTGCAATTGTAAAGTTAACATGTAGAGTCTTCTAAGTTCTCTGTGCATTTTTTTCTGCCTACTTTGAACCTGCTGACTTTTCTACTAGTGTTGAGATAAAACCTACTCCTTATGGCATTCTGGCCAAGTTTTTTTAAGCGTTAAAAGGCTTTCAAATTAATGACTTTACAAATTATAACAGTTTCATAGTAACCAAAACTTAGACACCTTGTAGAACTATAAATTTAGGGCCGGGCATGGTGGCTCATGCCTGTAATCCCCACACTTTGAGAGGCCAAGGTGGGCAGATCACCTGAGGTCAGGAGTTTGTGACCAGCCTGGCCAACATGGCGAAACCCTGTCTCTACTAAAAATACAAAAATTAGCTGGGAGTGGTAGCAGGCACCTGTAATCCCAGCTACTCGAGAGGCTAAAACAGGAGAATCACTTGAACCCAGGAGGTGGAGGTTGCAGTGAGCCAAGATCACACTACTGCACTCCAGCCTGGGCAACAGAGTAAGACTCCATCTTTAAAACAAAACAAAACAAAAAAAACTATAAATTTAGGTTTGCCTGACTAATAATTGCATATGGTAATGGAATGCTTAATTGAAAATTTAGTAATCTCAAGGAAAATATACTAGATAAATGTTTATAAAAGTTAGGCTCTCACATCAAACAGGTCAAAATCTTGAGTTCACAGCCATGCTATAAGGCATCTCTGTCCAGCATAAAAATTTTACTTTTTCGGCCACACAGAGGCCAAAGAGAAAAAGCTGGAAAAAAATTGCTAAAATCTTTCCCCTCCTGCATATGCTAATCAGGAAACCAGACCAGCAAACAAAAGATAGATTTGTTACTAGTTTAAGACTACTTGGAGATTTTGTTTTCCTTATACAATTCAGCCAGTCTTAGCTAAAATGTAAACCTGGAAAATTTAACCCTAAACTTTGAAATTTAAAAAGGACAAAAAGAAGGTAGGGGTGAAAGAAGCTTTTAAAAATCAATCTGCTATGGAAACTGCTTTCCCCAAAATTTTAGTTCACAGGCTTCATTAGAATACCTATAGGAAAAACAAAGTTAAGCCATATGAGTAGGTTCCTATTTTCTCCAAAATGTAATTTAGATCCAACTGTCTTTCATAAACCAGTGAGCTTGTGTTATTGTCTCATGAAAAAAATTCTAAAATGAAAGCTGTAGATCTCTCTCTCTCTGTCTCCTTCTCTCTCTCTCTCTCTGTCTCTGTGTGTGTGTGTGTGTGTGTGTGTGTGTGTGTGTGTGTGTGTTTGGATGTGTTTATGTAAGTATATATGTATTATATGTTTTGTCAACATGGTAAAATCTGACATAGTCATTCAGAAATCCCTTAAATTTGTTTTATTTAGATTGAATTAGGCAAACGGGACTGTATATAAAATATATAGGAATTAACCCACATGATTTTTAGTTCCTGTGACTTAAGTAAATATTTAATAAATAAGCTAATTTTAAAATTGTTTGTAAAATTGTAAAATGTGTTCAAAATTGTCAGTATACATTTTTGCCTGGATTTACTGGTCAGTTTTATATTTGTCTCTAAAAGATGTTTAAGGTGTCAGAGTTTGACACAATAGTTACAGAACCATAAACCCAGCCTAAAACAGAATTTTCTTTGTTTGTGTAATTTTTTATAAATAAAACCAATTTAATATTGTTGGTTTAGTGAAAATAGCTGTATCTTCTGAATTACCAGCAAAATAGCCATATATTTAACTTTAAGGTTCCTACTTAGGTGAACACTTGATATTCACAGGCTATAAAAATGGTTAACAAGAAAATAATGTGAAATAATGACTAGTTTGTCTAATATTCCATTTCTTGTAAGTAATACAGGTAAGCACTAAAAATAAATAAGTAATGCAAATATAAGCTAGATAAATGCATATAAATGAACTTTTAATGTAATTTGATGTCTTAAAGTTATGTTAAATTAAATAATAGATACCCACTAAACATTTGGGTTATTTCCACATAAGACTAAAAAATACTAAAACAAATTGCTGAACATAAATATGAGTTTGTTCTTGGCTTCTTAAATTCTATAGAAAGCCTAAATATATTTTAGACTCAATATACATTTTTAAACTATGGGGAAACATGTTTCTAAAAATTATAAAATGGTTCTCATTTATAAAATACTGATATGTGACAGACAATTCAAGGTTTCTTATTTCCAAGGTTTTTCACTACAATTTAAGTTTACTAAGAGTTAAAAATTCTAATTGATATATAATTGGCATGTAAAATGTGCCAAAAAAGTAAGATGTGCTTCATGTACCCTAAAACTTAAAGTATAATAAAAAAAGAAATAAATAAATAAAAAACCATTGACTTTTTAAAAATGGGAAAAAAAGTAAGATGTGCTTTTGATCAGAAAAAATATATAAGAAAAACATTAAAATATGTTCTTTATTTTAAACTAAATCACCTAATTTTGAAGCTATTTAAAGATTATTTGAAAATATGAAACAAGATAGGAAGCAGTAAAGAAAGTTATGGATATGAAGATGTATTTTTGGTAATGAAGGTTAAAAAGAAAAGATAATATTTTTGTATAAAAATCTTATGTGGCCTGGTGCGGTGGCTCATGCCTGTAATCCCAGCACTTTGGGAGACTGAGGTGGGTGGATCACGAGGTCAGGAGATTGAAACCATCTTGACTAACACAGTGAAACCCCATCTCTACTAAAAATACAAAAAATTAGCCGGGCACAGTGGCGGGCGCCTGTAGTCCCAGCTCCTTGGGAGGCTAAGGCAGGAGAATGGTGTGAACCCGGGAGGTGGAGCTTGCAGTGAGCCGAGATAGCGCCACTGCAGTCTGGCCTGGGTGAAAGAGCGAGACTTCATCTCAAAGAAAAAAACAAAACAAAACGACAACAACAACACAACATGAATAGAAGGAAATTACCTCAACATAATAAGGAGTATATGGGAAAAGCCCACAGCTAATAGTTGGTGGCAGCCAAAGCAACTTTATCTTGGATATTAATTCACCATGTTCACTTCCAATTAACCCCTGGTTCCAGGAATGCTTCTGATATGATTTGGCTCTGTGTCCGCACACAAATCTCACCTTGAATTGTAAAAATCCCCATGTGTCAAGGGTGGGACCAAGTGTAGGTAATTGTATCATGGGGCAGTTTCCCCCATGCTGTTCTTGTGATAGTGAGTCTCACAAGATCCAACAGTTTTATAAGCATCTGGCATTTCCCCTGCTTGCACTCACTCTGTCCTGCCACCCTGTGAAGAAGGTGCCTGCTTCTCCTTTGCCTTCTACCATGATTGTAAGTTTCCTGATGCCTCCCCAGCAATGCAGAACTGTGAGTCAATTAAACTTCTTTCTTTTATAAATTACCCAGTCTCAGGTATTTCTTCACAGCAGCATAAGAACAGACTAATACAGTTTCTAAGATTTCTACTTTATCTACTTTTACTGTAAATCCTTCCCTAAGGCAGATTCACATAGCATTCTCACCTTTTCCTGAGGGGTTGGTTTCAATCATCCTACACATTCCTTCCCTGTGATAGATAAGCCCTGGGTCTGGAGGGTGATGGTGCAGGGATCCACCATCTTATCTTGCTGCTACCGGAGACACAGACACGGCTTCTGTTTGTAAGGCCATATTAAATGTTTCTTTCTAAGAAACTGGATTTGTCATCCTCTTTCTTCAACCTCTCAGTTTCCTCAGACTTTGGGGACAGGTTTGCATAGATCTGCTCACCACAGAACATATCCTCAATGGTGGAAGACCGAAAGCTTTTCCTCTAAGATCAGGAACAAAGCAAAATGACTGCTTTCACCACTTCTATTCAGCATAGTATTGGAAGTTCTAGCCAGGACAACTAGGCAATAAAAAGAAATAAAAGGCATCCAGATTGGAAAGGAAGGTGTAAAATTATCTCTGTTTACACACAATATGATTTTATATGTAAACCCTGCAGATTACACACACACAAAAAAAACTTAGAATAAATGAATTCAGCAAAGTAGTAGGATACAAAATCAACACACACAAAAAATCAGCTGCATTTAAGGAATAAAAGACTAGAGAAATTAATAAATAAAATTTTTTAAATTAAAAAAAATTTAAATCAGTTGCACTTCTGTACACTAACAATAAACAATCCAAAAGGGAAAGTAAGAAAACAATTTCGGCCAGGCCTGGTGGCTCATGCCTGTAATCCCAGCACTTTGGGAGGCCGAGGCAGGCAGATCACGAGGTCAGGAGATCAAGACCATCCTGGCTAACACAGTGAAACCCTGTCTCTACTAAAAATACAAAAAATTAGCCGGGCATGGTGGCGGGTGCCTGTAGTCCCAGCTACTCAGGAGGCTGAAGCAGGAGAATGGCGTGAACCTGGGAGGCGGAGCTTGCAGTGAGCCAAGATCATGCCACTGCACTCCAGCCTGGGCAACAGAGCGAGACTCCGTCTCAAAAAAAAAAAAAAAGAAAAGAATTTCATTTACAATATCATCAAAAAGAATAAAATACTTAGGAATACTCTTACCCAAGGAAGTGAAAGACTTGTACTTTGAAAACTACAAAATGTTGCTGAAAGAAACAAAAGAAGGCACAAACAAATGTAAGGACATCCTGTGTGCTAGACTACAAGACTTTATGTTGTTAAAAATCCAGTACTACCCAAAGGAATCTACAGATTCATTGCCATCCCTATCAAAATCCCAATGACATTTTTTGCAGAAATAGAGAAATTATCCAAAACTGGAGAGAGGTATGAAAAAAAGAAAAAAAATGTATTCTAAAGTTTATTAATTTTTTTTTTTTTGAGACAGAGTCTTACTCTGTCACCCAGACTGGAGTGCAGTGGTGTGATCTGGGCTCACTGCAAACTTCACCTCCTGGGTTCAAGTGATTCTCCTGCCTCAGCCTCCTGAGTAGATGGGATTACAGGTGTGCCATACCACACCCGGCTAATTTTTGTGTTTTTAGTAGAGATGGGGTTTCACCATGTTGGCCAGGCTGATCTCGAACTCCTGACCTCAAGTGATCCTCCTGCCTTGGCCTCCCAAAGTGCTGAGATTACAGGCATGAGCCACCACACCTGTCCTAAAATTTATATGGAATCTAAAGAGACCCCAAATAGCCAAAATAATACTGAAAAAGAAGAGCAAATTTGGAGATCTCACACTTCCAAATTTCAAAGCTTATTACAAAGCTACAGTGATGAGCGTGGTACTGGCATATTAGACAGATCTTTAAGCCAGTAGAATAGAAGAGAGAGACCAGAAATAAACCTTCATGGATATAGTCAAATAATTTTCAACAAGGGTGCCAAGTCCATTCAATAAGGAAAAACAGTGCCTTCAACAAATGGTGACAGGAAAACTGGATATCCACAGGCAAAAAAAATGAAAAGGCACCATTACCTTACACCATATACAAAAATGAACTCAAAACATATCAAAGACCTAAATGTAAGATATGAAGCTATAAAACTCTTAGAAGAAAACATAGAGGAAAACCTTCATAACACTGAATTTGGCAATGACTTCTTGGATATGATACCAAAAGAACAGGAAACAAAGAAAAAAATAGGTAAATTCAATTACACCAAAATTTAAAACTTCTGGCCAGGCGCGGTGGCTCACGTCTGTAATCCCAGCACTTTGGGAAGCTGAGGCAAGCAGATCACTTGAGGCCAGAAGTTCGAGACCAACATGGTGAAACCCCATCTCTACTAAAAATACAAAAATTAGCCGGGTAGGGTGGCATGCCTGTAATCACAGGTACTTGGGAGGCTGAGGCAGAAGAATTGCTTGAACCCGGGAGGTGGAGGTTGCAGTGAGCCGAGATCATGCCACTACACTCCAGCCAGGTGACAGAGAGTGACTCTGTCTTAAAAAGAAAAAAGAAATTTAAAACTTCTTTGCATCAAAAGACAAAAACAACAGAGTGAAAAGCAATCCATAGAACGGGACAAAAATCTTTATAAATCATATATCTGATAAAGTATTAAAATCCTACAACACACTAACAGGACCAAAAAAACCCAATTCAAAAATGGGCAAAGAATTTGAATAGACATTTTTCCAAAGAAAATATTAAACTGCCAACAAGAACATGAAAAGATGTTTTTCACCGCTAATCATTAGGGAAATACACATCAAAAATAATGAGATGTCACTTCATACCCATTGGAAGGACTGTTATGAGAAAAGCAGAGATAACAAGTATTGATGAGGAGGTGGAGAAATTGGAACACTTGTGCACTGCTGGTAGCAATGTAAAATGTTACAGCTGCTATGGAAAACAGTATGGTAGTGCACTATGCTAATGTGTTGTCCACACTAAGTTTCGCATCAATATGGTGACCTCCTAGGAGCAGGGCACCACCAGGTTTCCCTAGCAGGAGTGAACCATCCCAGACTGAAAATGGAGCAGGTCAAAATTCCTGTGCTGATCAGTAGTGGGATTGCGCCTGTGAATAGCAACTGCACTCCAGCCTGAGCAACATAGTGAGAACTTGTCTCTTAAAATAACAAAAACAAAACAAAAAAATTAAAAATAGAATTACCATATGATCCAGCAATTCCACTTCTGGGTATATACCCAAAAGAATTGAAAGTAGGATCTCGAAGAGATATTTGCACATCCATGTTCATAGCAGCGTTATTCAAATCGCCAAAAGGTGAAAGGATCCTAGTGTCCATCCACAGATGAATGAATAAAATGTAGCATATACATACAATGGAATTTTATTCAGCCTGAGGAAGGAAAATGTGACACATGCTACAATATGGATGACTCTTGAAGACATTATGCTAAGTGGAATAAGCCAGTCACAAAATGAGAAGTACTGTATGATTTCACTCATAGGAGGTACTTCGAGTAGTCAAATTCATAGAGACAGAAAGTAGAATGGTGGTTGTCAGGGGCTAGGGGAGGGAGGACTAGGGAGTAATTGTTTAATGGGTACAATGTTTCAGTTTTGCAAGATGAAAGAAGTTCTGGAGATGGATGGTGGTGATGGTTGCACAACAATGCGAATGTACTTAATGCCACTGAACTATACACCTAAAATGGTTAAAATAGTAAATTTTATGTTATGTATATTTTAACACCATGTTTAAAATAAATCGTTAAAATGTATTTTAAAAGGTTGGGCACAGTGGCTCACACCTGTAATCCCAGCAACGTCAGAGACCACGATAGGAGGACTGCTTGAAGCCAGGAGTTTGAGACCAGCCTGGGCAACATAGTTAGACCCCCATCTCTACAAGAAATTTTTTAAAAATTAACCAGGTGTGGTGGTGGGCATCTGTGGTCCCAGCTACTCAGGAGACTAAGGCAGCAGGAAAGAGTTGGAAGCTGCAGGAAACTGTGATTGAACCACTATACTCCAGCCTGAGCAACAGAGCAAGACCCAGTCTCTATAAATGAATGAATGAATGAATGAATGAATGAATGAATGAATGAATGAATAGCAAAGGATGACACAGTCTTCCATGCTGCACAACCACAGGGTGTTCCATTTACATAGTCTCCCTAGAGTTGGTTGACTTAGTGACCCTGAAACCCCAACTCTTCTACCTATGGCAGACATTGCTAATCAATCACAGGTCCTACTCATCTCAGACGGCTCTCAGAATCCTTCTCCACATGGAAACCAAGACAACCCCTGCTGATTCCTCACAGCTGACTTGTGACATGCCTAGTATTTCCCATCATTATCTCAAACAATGACCTCCTGAAAATACATCTGATGAAGAGAGCTGGGGACACAGATATAGCAGACCTGGTCATTCTTTTAATGGAAGGGGTATGCATTGTTGCACCTTACAAGCCTGTAAGCCCAAAGAGATTTCAAGTTGAATATTAAGTTGGTTTTCTTTGAGTTCATAGTGGCCCTCAATAAAGACACGGGAATGGCAGCTGTGCCAGCGCCAATAGACCTGGATGATGCGGACAGCGTTGAGCAAACGACAGTAACGCTGGCGGACACACCACATGCGGACCCAGGACTGCAGCCTGACTGCTGCCCATTCCTGCTGCACATAGAACTCCAACACCATCCTCCGCCTCTTTGCCAGCAGCTTCTCCAGCACCTGCCTCCACCAGCACTGAATGATCCAAGCCCTGAGGGCTGCATGCAGCAGTGTGCGTCGCACCAGCATGCCCCGCCACCAGGCCTGGATGAAAACAGCTGCAGACCTTTCTGTCATGATGGTCTTCTCTTCTGGGCCTTACAAGAGAAAACAGACACACTCAGGGTATGCTAGGAAGGGGCCCTGATCCTCTATCAATGATGGCTCCTTCCTCTAAAGTTCAGCACTGGGCAGGGCAACAGCTGAACCCAGGAGACCAGGTAGGTGTCCCCCCTCTGCCACCCACAGGTTAGTGGATGTGCTCACCTCACTTGACCTCTGAGTTTCAATGTCCCCATCTGCAAAATAGGTGTACATCTGCCCTAGCTACCTCATTCCATTTTCCATGGACCTTGCTGGCCAGTCTAGAGCAAGAACACTGTGACTTAGAGGTAAAAGAGCTGCCATCTACCTGGGATCCATGACTCTTCCCTTCAGAGCCCTCCCATCCGCTGAAGAAGTGGTGTCCTTTGCTCCTCCTGCCCTCTTTACTCTGACTTCAAGTCAAACCCACAAGCTGCTGTGTTCCTTCCTCCTCACCAAAGTGGTAACAGATTCCTCCACCTCACACACATTGTGAACAGCTTGAACTTCAGCTATGCATGCATCTGTACAAACATGCACACTCCACACACTAACACACATTTTGCCCCTTGGTCCTGCATTCCCCACAGTCCCCACTTGCAGCCCCCAGCCCTATATGGTCCGGGATCACACTCCTCTGCCCCACTCCTGGCCACAGTCTCCACTCCGTATCTCAGCCAGACTCACATCTCTCCGCCTGACAAGAAAATGGGGGCAAGAGACAGCCAGTCCCCATTCATTCCAGCTCTGCATACCCTGACGTTTCACCCCAGTTTTTCTGGAACACCCTGATTGATGTCAGGTAATGAGGACAGGTGCCTGTTTCCCTCACTGAAGCCACTCTTTGTACAATAAATTACAGGGTCATAGATCTTTGAGTCACTCTGCTGGACCACAGGGGTCAGAGATGTCACTAGTTAAGGCTCTCTGGACCCAGCCACTCACGGAGTTGTGGGTAAGGGTGTGGCCTGGTAGGGGTGAGGGTGTTGGGGGTGGAGTCGCTTCCCTCTTCTCCCCTTTGTTCCTTCCAGCTCTGTTCTATCGATGTGATTTCATCATTATGTTTAATGATCATTTAAAACAGCTTGCCATCCTTCTGGAATCAGAGTGTATGGGGGGAAATAGGGAAGAAAGTGAAAGGTGCTCTCCCACTGCTAGGTGCCAAGTCAAACACCATTCTCACTGTTTCTAGACAGCTTCCTGGCTTTCTCTAGGACTTCAAACATGGAGGGGGGTCCTGTCATGAGTAACTGTGGGGAACTTACTCTCCCCTCAGAAAGCTAGTGTGGTTCTGACTGCCTCTTACAAAACATCTGACTGGGGACAGGTCGTAAAATTCGCACAGGTCTGGACTTTACTAAATTACCCATGGTTAGGGGCTAGATGGTCCCATCACCCTCCGGCCCGCACTCCTCCGATCAGGACTCCAACAGGAAGAGTGGAGGAAGGGCGGGACCTGTGATGTCATAAGGGCACCTGTGATGCAGGCACCAGGACAGCTTCCAGCATATGAGCCTCTTCTAAGGAAAACCTAGAAGACCCCAAGTACTGACCCATTGACACAAAGGTATATAATGCTGCTCATTAAAATCTGGCTGGTATTCATTAAATGCCTTTCAGTTCCTTTACACCCTGGTATTCCAAATAACTATTAGAATGGGTTTGCTCTCTATGTACAGATATAGAAAAGTACAAGATTTCATAAGTGAATCAAATCAAGATGAAAGGCAAGGTGATCCCAATATAAACACACATTTATACACATGTGCTGTAAAGGCATTATCTTAAAAAGGGGGGATAGAAGGATGTACACAAAAACTAACAATATCTCTGATGAGGACGGTGGAATTGGAGGGACACGAAAAACTCCTTCACTGTTGCTAAGCCCCCTATGTCTGACCTATCTGCAGGTCAGTCTGTTTTTAGGCACCTGAGAGGACAGGACACACACAGGCCAGAAAACTCCTTGAGGCCCCCAGGACTAGCCTGGGCTCCATCCAAAGCTCAAATGGGTTAAAGTGCTCTCCTGTCTTCCTCTGTCCCTGAGCACCTCAAGGCCACGATCAGATAGATGAGGGTGGCCTCTGCAGAAGCAGGGCCCCTTTCTGCCTGATTGCAACCTCTTAAGACCCAGCTGGACGTGGTGAGGCACAGCCCCCGTGGTCACTGAGGAATGCACTGGGAATGTGTAGGGTGAGTATGGGAGAGGCCGATGTGGATCTGTAGGGGGAATGTAGGGAAGAGGAGGAGGTGCTTTGAGGATGGCGGGGGTGTCAGTTTGAAGTTAATGGAATGAGGGAGTGGGGAAGACAGCAATGAGGTGGGGGATGGGGAAATAGTGGGGTACAATGTGTAGGACAGAGAGGGAGCAGGAAGCACCTATTTGAAGATAAAGATCTTGGCCAGGCCCCCGGGAGACCTCTGTCAATTTAGTGCCTCCATCAGTCTGGCTCCTGAGTCAAGCCACTAGTCACCACATTCCTGTCCGTGGTAATAGCAATGCAGTGATATTAGTCCCACTTCGCAATGGAGGTGCAGAGATCATGCCTGGCTCACGTCACCCTGTTTCATAGCTGGTCAGCTGTGGAGCTAGCATTTGGTCCCAGCTCTGCTCCACCCTGAGCCTTGGCTCTAAACCACCACATCATGCAGACCCCAGCATCTCCATGTTTTCCCAAAGCTTCCGGTTCTCATCGTTTCTAGAAAAATCCCGCTAAAAAACCTCCATCCTGAATCTTAAAAAATTAGCCAAGCAAAAGAAGCCAGACTCTGAAGAAGGCACACTGTGAATCCATGTGTGTGCACTGCAGTGGGGACAGCTGTCGTCAATGGGGACACAGCAGTGGTTGCCCAGACTTTGAGATGGAGACTGAATGGGAACTATGTGGGTAATGGAATGTTCTAGATTTTTTCTTTCTTTCTTTCTTTTTCTTTTCTTTTCTTTTTTTTTTTTTTTTTTTTCGTGAGGCAGGGTCTAGCTGTGTCACCTAGGCTAGAGTGCAGTAGCACGATCATGGCTCACTGCAGCTGCAACCTCCTGGGCTCAAGCAATCCTCCAACCTCAGCCTCCAGAATAGCCACCACACCCAGCTAATTTTTGTATTTTTTGTAAAGACAAGGTTTCACCGTGTTGCCCAGGCTGGTCTCAAACTCCTAAGTTCAAGCAATCTGTCTCAGCCTTCCAAAGTGCTGGGATTACAGACATGAGCCACCACACCCAGCCTGCAATGTTCTGTATTTTGGTTGCCAAGATGGTCACACAGGTGTATAAACTTGTCCCCAAAAAAATCAATGAAATGTACATCTAAAATGGATATATATGTATGTAAATTATGCCTCAATAAAAGCTGATTTAAATACCTCTACCCATCTCATTTATAACACAGAGATCATCATACTAGGATCCAAGTGTGTTTGGGTGTTATGAGAAGGATAAAGGTCCCTGCACTCCAAGGGCACAGGAAAGATCCCATTACTAGAGCCCAGAGGAACAAGGGGGCTGGAGTCCAGAAAGGAGGGAGATCCAGACAGGAAAGAGGCCCAGGGGCTGGGGCATTGGTGGATGAGGTGACCCTAGAAGCAGGGTGGGTGCTGGGCCTTGAGTGCTACTAGAACCAGCTCAGCCTCTAGCCAGTGGGTAGGGAGGAGGCACCCCAGGGGCTGAGGAGCAGAGGAAGATGCCTTCCAAGGGGAGGTTGGAAAGTGTGCTGGGTGAGGGGCCTGGTGTGAGCATGGTGGAGTGAGCCTCCTGGAGCTGGGGTAAGGCATGCAGCACAGGGAGCAAGACACAGGCCCCTCAGGGCCACTGTGGGTGAGCGCTGAGCACAGAAGTACCAGCATCCTAGGGTACCATTCTCCCATCCCACCCCCACCATTCTCCACCTCCTCTACCAGAGTTTCCTCCAGAGGTTCTCAGTAGGCCCCTTGCAGGACGGCTGGAAAAAGGAGAAGAAAGCAGGACTCAGTGAGGGTTCCAGTGGGACCAGCCCTCTGCATGTGCTCCCAGCCCCATGGCCTGCAGAGGAGGAAACGCAGGTCTCCTGGGAATGGGCTGTTCTAAGGCAACCCTCAGCCCCTGCCTCAGGCATTTCTTCTGCAGCAGCCCCAGCCCCATCCCCAGATAAGTGACCCTCACATGCAGCCCCTGGCACAGCAGCCTCCCAGGAGGACCCAGGAGTTTACTTGGTGGGTCCTGCACCTTGGGAAGCCCCGTGGCCCCCTTTAAAGATCTCCACCTGATCTATATCCACCTGTGGTCCTCACCTGATCTTACACAGTCATCTGTTTGCTGACTGGCCCCTTTTCTCACTGGTTCCTAGAGGGCAGAGGCTGAGCATTCCTCATGTTTGCGACCCCAGAGGCTGCACAATACCAGGACATAGTAGGTGAAAAATAATTGTTCACCGAATGTATAATGAGTGGATGAATTAATGGACTATCTACTCATAGCCCACCTCTCTGAGGAGACCTGGAGCCCCCAGGGTCTGCATTCCTGGAGACAAATTCTGTCATTCCCTCCTCTGTCTCCTCTACCCTGGTAAGGGTGGGCATGGGCATGGAATGGACATGGGCTGGTGCTGAAAGTCCCAGATCAGAGGTGAGGAGGCTGGGCACTTTGGGACTGGAGGAGAAGGATGACACGGGGAAGGCAGGGGAGGGAGAAATAAAGAAACCTGGAGGGGTCGGGCACAGTGGTGCTCCCTGTAATCCCACCACTTCGGGTGGCAAAAAAGGGAGGATCACTTGAGGCCAGGAGATCAAGGCTGCAGATCGTGCCACTGCACTCCAGCCTGGGCAACACAGTAAGACCCTATGGAAGGAAGGGAGGAAGGAAAGAAAAGAAGGAAGGGAGGGAAGAAGAAACCTAAAGAGGGAAGAGAGAGGGGAAGCGTGGGGACTTGGAGTCTGAGGGAGAAAGGGGGAGCAGGGAGGAAGAAGGTGAAACAGAATGTGATTTATTTTTCTTTCTTTCTTTTTCTTTCTTTGTTTCTTTCTTTGTTTGTTTGTTTCTTTGTTTCTTTGCTTCTTTCTTTCTTTCCTCTTTTTTTATTTTTATTTTGTGACAGGGTCTCGCTCTGTCACACAGGGTAGGCTACAGTAATGTGATCTCAGCTCACTGCAATTTCCGCTTCCTGGGTTCAAGTGATTCTCATGCCTCAGCCTCTCAAGTAGCTGCGATTAAAGGTGTCCACCACCACGCCCAGCTAATTTTTGTATGTTTAGTAGAGACGGGGTTTCACCATGTTGGCCAGGCTGGTCTTGAACTCCTGACCTCAAGTGACCCGCTCACCTTGGCCTCCCAAAGTGCTGGGATTAGAGGTGTGAGCCACCGTACCCAGCCTTATAGTATTTTCTTATAGCAGCCTGGACAAACTAAGACAGGGGACTAGAACAACAGAAGTTTAATTGGCTCACAGTTCTGGAGGTTAGAAACCCAAAATCAATGTGTCAGCAAGGCCATGCTCCTGAAACCTGTAGGAAAAGGACCTTTCCTTTCCTCTTCCTAGCTTTGGGGGATGTGCTGGCATCCCCCATGGTGTTCCATGGCATGTAGACACATCGCTCCAATCCTCTGTCTTCACATGGCATTCTCCCTGTGTCTTCACATATTCTTCCCCCTGTGCACATCTGTGCCTGTGTCCAACTTTCCCCTTAATATGAGGACACTAATCATATCAGATTAGGGCCCACCCAATGACTTCATCTTATTGACTACATCTGCAAAAGCTCTATTTCCAAATAAGGTCACTTTTTGAGGTATTGAGGGTTAGGACTTCAACATATCTTTTAGGAGGGATACACTTCAACCTATAACACCAACCACAAGCCAGTGATTGGCTGCAGGATTCCCCTTAGGAGAGGACATAATCTTGGTCAAATCTCTTCCCTATGGCCAAAAACAATTCCCAATGGATGACAGCAGTGACCGAGCAGCAGCCAATATTCCCAAGAGATGTGGGATGAGTCACCAGCTATGAAGAAAGGATCCACTACATCTGCAAATCCACTGCAGCCCAACCCTTTATGCCACTCATATCTACTTGCTTCCCATAGTAAATGTTCACCATTTAAAAATAACGATTCTGGTTGGTCTTGTCTCCTGGGAAAACTTAAAAGAGAAGAGTTATGTCTTTGCTATTGTGAATAGTGCTGCAATAAACATACATATGCATGTGTCTTTATGATAGAATGATTTATATTCCTTACAACCTAAATGCCCATCATTGGTAGACTGAGAAAATGTGGTACATACATATACACCATGGAATACTATGCAGCCATAAAAAAGAATGAGATTATGTCTTTTGCAGGAACATGGATGGAGCTGGAGTCCATTATCCTTAGCAAACTAACACAAAACTGAAAACCAAATACCACATGTCCTCACTCATAAGTGGGAGCTAAATGGTGAGAACACATGGACACATAGAGGGGAACAACAGATGCTGGGGCCTATTGGAGGGTGGATGGTGGGAGGAGGGAGAAGATCAAGAAAAATAACTTATGGGTAATAGGCTTATTACCTGGGTAACAAAATGTACAAGAAACCCCAATAACACAAGTTTACTTATGTTTAATAAACCCGCATGTGTACTCCTGAAGAAAAAAGAAAAGGGTCAAAAGGACAAGTTACAGGCCCATCATTTACTTTGAGACCATCAGTCACACACCTTTTCCCCTTCATCCACTACCCTTTCTAGATTCCTTTCCTGTTTGACTTGCATCTCTGCTGTCTACACAGGTTGCCAGTAATGGGAAGGGAAGTGGGTGCAGTGGTGATCCAGACCCTCATCCCTGGCTATAATTCTCTGGCTATAATTCTCAGGCTATGATTGCTGTATGGGTTAATCTACCATTACACCTAGGCAGCGAAGCACCAAGAAATTTTCCAGTGAATCATCCAAGCCACATTCATAGTCTTTCCTGCTCACCCCCACCTAGTGTAGCAGCAGTGCATCTTCTCCTAATGATCAGTGTTAATTATTCCTGCCAACAGAGTGACTCCTTTCATTATAGAGTGACTTCTTGTCTCTTGGCATAAGGAGGATAAAGTGACCAGGTCACAGCCATAGCTTTATGTTTAGTGAGACTCTTACTGTGACCCCTGATAAATGTCTTTCCTCCCTAGAATCTAGTACCTCCAGTCAGATGGAGCCTGAAGTTACAGGGACAGAATGCATAAATTCCCAAGTGAATAACTTGAGGCGTAGTCACAGGTCCACTATCATTCCACATATTGGTTCCTGTTAGGGGCTCAGCATTGTGTAATGGACATTGACTTGGGGCATGGTTGGGCATTCTACAACTGGTAGGTCAATACAGCCCACTGCCTGCCTGTTTTTGTACATCCTGCAAAGAATATTTGTACATTTTGCAGTGATTGGAAAAACTCAAAGAATATTATTTCATGACACATGAAAATTATACAAAATTCAAATTTCTGTGTCTATAAAGTTTTATTGGAACACTACCATGCTTATTTGCTTATATATTGTCTATAGCCACATTTGCACTACAATGACAGAGTTAAATATTTGTTGAAGGGGACCATACATGGCACTCTCCTCATTTCCCCTGCTGCTCAGCCCACAAAAATCACAGAGGTGCAGTTATAGCTAAACAGTGTTCTGTGTGCCACATATACTGCTGTACTGTGACCTATTTTTTAATTACCAGTGCATGCCCATCACATCAAAATAAGAAGAAAAGACAAAAGCAGACTTTAAATGTCGCACTTTTAAGACAATGGCAAAGCATTGTGTCCATTATGCAATGACACTATAGCTATGCTAAAAGAACACGATGTTATCCATCAACATTACCAGACTAAGCACTCCACAATATTCTTAACTTGCAAGAAGTTAATAATCATCAAAGTTAAACATTTTAAGTGGCATATCTCATCACAGTAGAATTTCTTTACAAAAACTAAAAAATCAAAATGAGACTGCAAGCAAAATAGGTTACCAAGTTGCTCATTTGTTAGCCAAGCAGGGAAAGGTTATTTTTATTACCAGTAGTGAGTTAATTAAATCATATTTGATTGCAACAGCTGAAGAAATGTGTCCAGAGAAAATAAACATCATTAGCCTTTTTTTTTTTTTTTTTTTTTGAGGCTGACTGTAGCTCTGTTACCCAGGCTGGCGTGCAGTGGTGTGATCTCGGCTCAGTGCAACCTCCACCTCCCAAGTTCAAGCAATTCTCCTGACTCAGCCTCCCGAGTAGCTGGGATTACAGGCATGTGCCACCACACCTGGCTAATTTTGTATTTTTAGTAGAGACGGGGTTTCACCATGTTGGCCAGGCTGGTCTTGAACTCCTGACCTCAGGTGATCCGCCCATCTCAGCCTCCTGAATGCTGGGATTACAGATGTGAGCCACCACACCCAGCCCATTGTTAGTCTCTCAATGAGAATAACTGCTCAAAAAGTCAAAGACATGAGTAACAATATCAATAGCCAATTAAACAACAAGGCAAATGATTTCAAGTGGTTTTTCTTGGCTCTTAATGAGTTGACAGATGTACCAATACGGCTTGGCTGTTGCTTATTGAAGGGTAACTGCCAAGTTTGAAGTGACAGAAATTAACCTCTATGTGTATGAAACAAACATGGATGAGAATATTTGTTGAAGAAATTGAGAAAATGCTAATTCAACACAGCCTGAAATGGAATCTGCCAAGATGTGATAAATCTGATAGTAGTGAAAATATGTGTGAGGCCGAACAAAGGCTTAGTTGAAAAAACAAAGTTTATGAAAATGTAGGTGCTTAAAGCCTATGGTTATTCATTGTATCATTCATCTGTAGGTACTTTGTGGAAAACATTGGAATCAATCCTGTTACTGAACCAGTAGTGTCAATGGTAGACTTCACATGGCATCATTGACTCAACCATCATCAGTTCCATGAACTTTTTTTAGAAATAGAAGCTGAATTTGCTGACTTGCCCAACCACACAGCAGTTCCATAGCTTAGCAATGGTAAGGTTTTACTGAGAACTTTAAAGTTAAAGGTCGAGATTGAAATTTTTCTGAATGAGAAAAACTGCCTTTAACTACTATTATCCAGCACTGAATAGCACTAGAAATAAGTTTTTGCTGCAGTCTTTATGTTCCTTAATGAATTAAACCTGAAGTTAAAGGGAAAAACAAAACTTATACATAATATCTATACTATGGTAAAGTCAAGTTGGCAACAATGTTGAATCACAAGTAATGTTAAGCTGCTCTAAGTACTTCCCGAGCTGTCAAAAGTTAAAACATGAAGTGAGATATCCATTCCCACACAAATTTGCAGGGGGTATCTTTTCTGAACTCAAACTGCAGTTCCAGCAGCACGTGCATTTCAGACTTCTATGCAAGTACAAGGGGAATTTCAACATTTCTAAATATATTTATTTAAGCAATTGAGTAGTGACCACCTGAACTTCAGCTGGAAGTAGTTAATCAACAATGTAATGACATGCGTACAGGCAAATGTCAAAAGAAGAATCTAATAGAACTCTTATAAGTATCTCCCAAGTGAAGAATATTCTCAATCAAAGTCATATGTTCATGGATTCTACATTAGCTCATTTTTCCACTGCTATAAAGAAATACCTGAGACTGGGTAACTTATAAAGAAAAGAGGTCTAATTGGCTCATGATTCTTCAGGCTGTACAGGAAGCATGGCAGCATCTGCTTGGCTTCTGGGGAGACCTCAGGAAACTTAACAATCATGGCAGAAGATGAAAAGGAAGCTGGCACTTCACATGGCTGGAGCAGGAGGAAGGGTCGCAGGGAGGAGGCGGGGGAGGTGCTACACTTTCAAACAACCAGATCTCATGGGAACTCACTATCACAGGAACAGCACCAAGGGGATGGTGTTAAACCCTCCATGAAGGACCACCCCCATGCTCCAATCACTTCCCACCAGGCCCCACCTCCAACATTGAGAATTACAGTTCAACATGAGATTTGGTGGGGATACAGATCCAAACCATATCAGATTCATATTAGTATTTGGCAGTACCAAATATTTTACATAGTGCCTATACGTGTAAAAAGACATTGCAAAGATGAAATATATAAAATTCATCACATATAAGCATGTGCAACTGATTTTGATGACAGGAAACACTAACTTTCAGCACTGATTAAACTAAACATGGTCCTTCTGCCCACCCCCAAAAATGCATTGTTTTCATTAGTCCACCTGTATTACAAAACTTACTCAATTTTTATTATATCTTTAATTTCATCAATAAAAATTTGTGGAAACTTGTTTTCTCTCTTGCTATATAACTACGTATACACGTCATATCATCAATTTTGCCTCTCAGCCCATGAAGCTGGAAATGTTTACTATGTATCTAATCCTTTACTGGAAAAGTTTACTAACTCGTTTCTCTAATGGCTAATGGTGATGAGCATCTTTTCATGTGCTTAGTTGGTATCCGTATGTCTTCTTAGTAATGCGTCTGCTTAAGTCTTTGGCCATATTTTAATGGGCTGTTTATTACTGTATTCACTGAGGTTCTCCAGAGAAACAGAACCAATAGGAGGTAGAGATAGAAACAGATTTATCATGGGATTGGCTTACTGCAACTATGGAGGCTGAGAAGTCTCACAATCTGCTCTCTGAAAGCTGGAGAACCAGGAAAGCTGGTGATGTAATTTGGCTGGAGTTGGAAGGGTGGGAAAGGGAGGACTGCCCTCTGGTGCAAGTCCCAAAGTCGAAAGCCAGAGAACCAGGAGCTCTGTAGGAGAAGGTGAATGTCCCAGCTCAAGAAAAGAGAGTGTATTCACACTTCTTCCACCTTTTTGTTCTATTTAGGCTCTCAACAAATTGGATACTGGCCACCACATTGGTGAGGGCAACCTCATTGACCCAGCCTACCAATTTCAATGCTAATCTCTTCCAGAAACATACTCACAGACACACCAAGAAATTGTGTTTTACCAGCTATCTGGGCATCTTTTAGCCCAGTCAAGTCGACACATGCATTAACCATCACAATTGCTAATTAATTTTGAGAGTTCTCTATATATTATGGATAAAAATTATCTGTGAGGTATGTGATTTATATTTTCTCCCATTATGTGGCTTATATTTTCATTTTCTTAACAGTATCTTTCATGGATGAAGTCCAATTAATAAATTTTTTTCCTTTATGAATTTCACATTTGTTGTCATATCTAAGAACTCCTTTTCTAACTGTAAATAATAAAGATTTTCTCATATGTTATCTGCTAAGATTTTATAGTTATGTTTTACATTTATAGCCATGAATCATTTTGAATTAATTTTTATATGAGGATTAGGTTGAGGTTCATTTTCTTGCATATGAATTTCCAGTTATTTGACCACTTGTTGAAAAGACTGTCCTTTTTCCATTGGAATCCCTTTGTATCTTTGTCAAAAAATGATTGGCCTTGTTTGTGTGAATCTCTCTGGACTGTCTAGTCTATTTCATTGATCTATGTGTCTATCCCTTTACCAATACCACAGTCTTAATTATTACTGCAGCTTTATAATAAGTCTTAAAATTAAATAATATGATTACTCTAAATTTATTGGTTTTTTCAGAAGTGCTCTGGCTATCCTAATTCTTTGAATTTTCCACATAAATTTTAAAATCAGCTTGTCTATATCTATAAAAATCTTTCTGGCATTTTGATTGGAATTACATTAAATCTATAGATCAATTTGTGTATAATTAACATCTTTACTTTGTTGAGTCTTTCAATCTGTGAACACAGTATGTTTCTCCATTGATTTAGGCCTTCTTTGGTTTCTTTTGTCAGTGTTTTTTAGTTTTCCAAATATAGATTTTTTACACGCTTTGTTAGATTTACTTAAGAATTTCATTTTATGGAACTATTGTAAACAGGACTGCTTTTTATTTTTAAGTTTCCAATTGTTAGTATACAGAAACATGACTGAATTTTGTGTTAACTTTGTTTCCCGCAATGTTGCTCAATTATCTTATCTATTCTAGAAGATTTCTGGCTTTCATTTTGTAGATTCCTTGGGATTTCCTACATGGACAATCCTGTTGCTTATGAATAGGGGTAGTTTTATTTTTTTGTTTCCAATCTGTATATCTTTATTTCTTTTTCTGGCAGGAACCTCTAGTAAACAGGACTGGCAAGAGAAAACACCCTTGCCTTGTTCCCAACCTTGGTGGAAAGCATTTCATCTTTCTCTATTAAGTAGGATGTTAGCTGTAGGATTTTTGTAGATAAACTTTATCAGGTTGAGAAAATTCCCTTCTAGTCCTAATTTGCTGAGAGTTTTTATTATGAACAAATGTTGAATTTTGTCAAATGTTTTCTGTACTTCAAATGATGTAACCATGTGGTTTTCCCCCTTTAAATTAATCATATAAATTACAATGGTTGGTTTTCAAGTATTGAAACTGTGCATTCTTGAAATATTGAAGTTGTGCATTCCTGAAATGAGGCACACTAGGTCATGTTGTGGTGTGTGTGTAATACATACATAACAGTCATGCACTATATAACAGTATTTCAGTCACATATACACCAGTGGTCCCAGAGTGCTATAATACTATATTTTTACTGTACTTTTTCTATGTTTAGGTACACAGACACTTACCATTGTGTTATAATTGTCTAAAGTATCCAGCAGAGTAACATGCTGTACAGGTTTGCACCCTAGGAGCAATAGGCTTTACCTCTTCTCTATAGCCTAGTTATGTAGAAAACTATACCATCTACATGTATGTAAGCACACTCTATGTTGTTCCCACAATGATGAAATCACCTAATGATGCATTTCTCAGAACATATCCCCATCATTAAGCCATATGTGACTGTAATATTATATACTTCCTGCTAAATTGGATTTGCTAATATTTTGTTAATAAATTTTTTGCTTCTATGTTCATGAAGTATATTGGGCCACAGTTTGTTTTTTTTTTTTTTCTGAGACAGAGTTTCACTCTTGTCACCAAGGCTGGAATGCAGTGGCACGATCTCAGCTCACTGCAACCTCTGCCTCCTGGGTTCAAGCATTTATCCTGCCTCAGCCTCCTGAACAGCTGGGATTACAGGTGTCCACCACATCCGGCTAATTTTTGTATTTTTAGTAGAGACGGGGTTTCACCATGTTGGCCATGCCGGTCTCGAACTTCTGACCTCAGGTGATCCACCCGCCTCGGCCTCCCAAAGTGCTGGGATTATAGGCATGAGCCACCAGGCCCGGCCTTGTTCCATAGTTTTCTATTCTTACGCTATCTTTGTCTGGTCTTAATGTCAGGATAAAATGAATTGAGAAGTGTCTTTCCTATTTTGCAGAAAAGATTATGTAGAATGGGTGTTATTTGTAAAATATTTGGTAGAAGTTGCCAATAAAACTATCTAGAAGGTTTTAAACTGCAAATTCAACCTTTTAAATAGCTATAGAATGACTCGTTATTTATTTCATCTTGGATAACTTTTGGTATAGTAGTTTTTTGTTTTCAAGGAAATGATCCATTTCATTAATGTAATGTATACATACTTACTTGTTCATAGTATTCCCTTATTATCCTTATCAAGTACCATAGGAAGCTCTGATGCTGAAATGGCCTGGCAGAATTGCCCAATTTGAATGCGGTGGTCAGGTGGTTATCCATTCACCTGGATTAGTCATTGTGGGTGGCATCTGGAAGGGCTTGACCTTGGGCAAGGCAGGCTTTCTGCAGCTGAAGCAGTACCTGAAGGAGCTGACAGCTGCAGTCAGCACTCCCAGGAGCTCATACAACAAGTCCTCTGTTGAAGGGGAGTCTGAATGGTGCATCTCCACATCCACCACAAGCACGATCTGTCTAACCTAGCTTGAGAGTCTCTCTCTCTCTTTCTCTCTCTCTCTCTCTTTCTCAGAGACAGGGTCTCACTCTGTTACCAAGGCTGGAGTGCAGTGGCATGATCACAGCTCACTGCAGCCTCAACCTTCTGTGCTCAAGTGATCCTCCCACTTCAGCCCCCCAGTAGCTGGGACCACAGGCACATACCACCATGCCCAGATAATTTTTGTATTTTTTTAGAGATGGGATCGTGCTATGTTGCCCAGGCTGGTCTAGAACTCCTGGGCTCAAGTGATCCTCCCGCCTTGGCCTCCAGAAGTGCTGGGATTACAGGTGAGAGCCACTGTGCCTAGCCAGAAGTCTCATTTTCTAATAGGTGGGTATTACTAATTTGCATTTACTGATTCCTAATATATCTGGCTTATTGCTATATTATTTTGTACTCTAAATCTATCATTTCTCTTAAGATTTATTTTTATTGTCCTGTCTTTTGTTGGATTAACCAGGTTTTCAGGGAGTTTTGAGATGGGTGAGGTTTTTTTCTTCCTACTGTTTTAGAAATTGTGTCAGATATTGTGAGTTGCTTACCCATACTGAGTCCCACTTCATCACTAAAAAGAACTGATTTTATTGGGGTTGGCAAAGTGCGCAATTAAAGGAATAGCGTTTCTCGGCCTCCCTTGCGACTGGAGTGGTCACGTGATATTCGCTGGCCAATGAGATGTCAGCAGGAGTCGCTGGGTGGGCCTTCTGGGACACCACTTTAAGGAGCCAGGCTGGGCTCAAATGGGCCTTTTTCCCATTTCACCTTAACCCTCTTCTTCCCTAGAATGTGAACTTGATGGCCAGCACTCTGGTAACCACTTTGAGAGCATGAGGACATGGGTTATCTCCCCAACATGGTGGGGAGGTGGTGCGGAAACAGTAGATGCTTAGTTCCGTGATGACATCATGGCGCTGTCCACTGAGCCTGGACTGTCCACTCTCAGACTTCTTTTAGGTGATGTAAACCAACCCTCTAATTTGTTTGACTCACTGTATTTTAGATTTCTGTGTTAGCTGAATGTAGCTTCTAATTTACCTAGACGTTATATACCTCGTTGCTTTTCTTCTAGTACTTGTTAACACAGATTTTATTTTGCCTATGGAGCATCTGAAGCAAATCAGTATCACTTGGGCCTCAAATTAGGCAAGAACTTTAGCCCAAGTTCCTTTTCTCCATACAGTCTCCAGCAACCTCCCATGTTGCCATCATTTGAGAAATAGACATATTTTATGGAAATATACATATTTTGGCCAGACGCAGTGGCTCACGCCTGTAATTCCAACACTTTGTGAGGCTGAGGCAGGCGGATTGCTAGAGCCCCGGAATTTGAGACCAGCCTGGGCAGGATAGTGAGACCCCATCTCTACAAAAAATACAAAAATTAGCTGGGCATTGTGGCATGCACCTGTAGTCCCAGCTACTCAGGAGGCTGAAGTGGAAGGATCGCTTGAGCCTGGGAGGTGCAGCCTGCAGTGAGCCATGATCCAGCTACTGCACTCCAGCCTGGTGACAGAGAGATACCTTGTCTAAAAGAAAAAAAGAAATATATTTTATAGGAAAATCTTATTCAGTCATAACAATAAATGTTAGTGGCATCTGTACTCATCACTACGTCTTGTGCCATTCTCCTGGATTTGTTTTCCTTTGTCATGGAGTTAATTTCCCAGAGTTACAGTCAGAGACTTTTGATGTAGACTAAATTTTGAATTAAAAGAATGCCTTTCACTTTGGACTTACAATTGAATGACATTTGGGGTAGTATAGCATTCAATGCTCACATTTACTTTCTCTCAGAACATTGGGAGTGTTGCTCCATTTTCTCCTTGCACTCAGTTTTGATGCTGAGAAAGCTGATGTGAATCTGAAACTTGTTCCTTAGGAGGTGATGTGTTGATTCCTTTTCCTCTTTAAATATTTAAGTATTCTATCTTCATGAGTTATGAGATTGTGCTGTGACCTGTGTGAAGCTCCATCTGTTTTCCTTCATCTTTTGAGAGCAAGTGAGTCTCTTTAAGCTCTGGAAAACTCATCAATGCTTTGAATGTTTCTGCCTCCATCTCTGCAATTTCTTTCTCAGCAATACACAGTCAACCATGACTGGAACTTCTGGATCAATGCCTCATTCTTTTATTTATTTTCTTTAAGCTTTTCATTTCTCTGACCTTTTGTGCTACACTCCAGGAGGATTCTTCACATCAAAATTTCCACTCACTAATCCGCGCTTTATACGTGCATTCTGCTATTCATCCCATCTGCTGGGTTCTAATTTTGACAATCATTATTCCTTTCTGAGATCCATAAATGGCTTTTTAATAAGGGCTTGTTCTTTTGTATCTAAGATGTCTTCCTCCACCCAATGAGGATATTAATTTCTCAAGTCTTTCCCTTGGTTATCAGGTTTCTGCTTGCAGAGTTTAAGAATGCTTTTTCCTGCTATTGGTTTCCTCCAAAGCTTGGTGGTTCTTGTTTGGGTGCTTATCTTTGTTTTTAGATTAGCCTATTGAGTGCCACATCCCTGACTCCATGGATTGCAGGGGAGGGGGGAGGCAATACTTGGATAACATCAGGGTGAGTTTATGATTCTGCACTGAGAAAGATTCTTCTGCAGAAAGTTGGGGCTGTGGCTCCACTCTCTCTCTTTGCAATCAGTGTTGTTGCTGAGAAAGCTGAAGTCACCCTGCCTTACTCCTTGGTGGGTAAGCCACTGGTTTTATTTCCTGTTTAAATGTTTCCGTATTTTGGAGGGGCGCAGTGGCTCACGCCTGCAATCCCAGCACTTTGGGAGGCCAAAGCAGGTGGATCACCTGAGGTCAGGAGTTCAAGACCAGGCTGGCCAACATGGTGAAACCCCGTCTCTACTAAAAATACAAAAATTAGCTGGGTGCAGTGGTGGGCACCAGTAATCCCACTTGGGAGGCTGAGGTGGGAGAATCGCTTGAACCCAGGAGGTGGAGGTTGCAGTGAGCTGAGATTGTGCCACTGCAGCCTGGGCAACAACAGCAAAACTCACCTCAAAAAAACAAACAACAAACAACAAAAAAAACAAGTTTCAGTATCTTCATTCAGTTTAACTTCAGCCATAACATATTTTGGGTTCCATCTGTTTTCACTCATCTTGATGCCATTGGTCAACTGTCTTAAACTGTAGTTCTTTCTAAAGAATCTCATTAAAACTCTCACTGATGATGGGAGATCCTCTCATTCATGCTTGCATGCTCCTTTCCTCCATTCTCCATCCTTTCTCAGAAGCACACATTCGACCAACAGTGGAACTTCTGGGTCTTCCATTTCAGTGAGGTGGCCTGTCAGGGTGGGACCTCTGTGGGTGGTCCTCTGGGCAGGGTCCCTGCTGTGCAAGGGTGTCACATGGCACCAGGCCCTGGGGGGGTCACAGAGCCCTCTGCCGTCAGCCACCGTCTTGCCAACTGTGTAGCTCAGCAGAGAGCTGGCTGCTCCTCCTATGGGCATATTCCAACCAGCGCCCTGCAGAGCCCACAGCCCTGCTGTCCCTGGGCCAGCTAGCTCCAAGCATGGAGAAACTGCATGGCCACTCTTGCCTTTGCCTTTGCCTTTTCTAAAGCTTTAATTTATTGTCTTTCAGTTTTTCCACATATACCTTCTGTCTTTTAGGGATTCCACATGCTTTCTATTCTCTGAAGGCCCCCTTCCTATATTTTAGGCACTAGTACAAACTTTTGAAATCAATGTATTTTTTCCTGTTATTCCTATGAATTTGTAGTGGGAGAGGAAGGCCTGAGCCTCAAACATTTTGATTCATTATTTCATGAACAATTTCCGGATCTTCTCTGTGGTTATGCTTGCTTGAGGTTTGAGGTGAAAACGTTGAAGCAGATGTTAGCCCATGATTGAAAATTTTCTTCTGCAGATGCTTTGTCTCCTTTTTTTTTAATTGAAAATTTAGTTTTCTCTTGCCCTTGCCTTCATTTTTTTTCCCCCTTTCCTTCCTGAATCACTCCGTCAGTCTGAAATCCTCAGGCTGGGCAGTGCAACATAGCTGCACCAGGGGGAAAGAGAGCCACCATGGAACAGAGCCAGGTGAGGGAGGGTCACAAGACAGAGGAGGAAAGCATTGTTCTAGGAGGGACCAGTATGGAACCCAGGCAGTGGGAGGAGGAGTTCACACAGGGATGTAAGTCCATACCAGTAATAGCGTCATATTGGGCAGGATGAGAAGGGCATCCTTGGTGGCATAGACCATCAGAACTTGAGCACAGTGAGGAGGATATCCACGCAGAGGGTAGCCTGACATTTTGTGTCAGCTCAGGTTGGGTGAAAGAGCATTTACCCCAGTCGTCAGACCAATGTAGGGAGCCACAGCCTGAGCCACAAGAAGAGGACAATAGACGGCATCGTATATCAGAGATCAAGAGAAATGGGCCATTGTCTCTGTGAGAGAGGGGCCAGCAGTAGCTGTGCAGAATTAGTTGCACAAAGGGAAGATCAAATAAGAAAATGTATTAAAGATCATGGGAGCTAGGGGTGTCATTCTCAGAAAAGAAGAGGTAGAAATATGGAAAGGAGGCCGGGCACAGTGGCTCACACCTGTAATCCCAACACTTGGAGGCCGAGATGGGTGGATCACTTGAGGTCAGGAGTTCACGACCAGCCCAGCCAACATGGCAAAACCCTGTCTTTACTAAAAATACAAAAATTAGCCAGTCGTTGTGGTGGCCGCCTATAATCCCAGCTACTCGGGAGGCTGAGGCAGGAGAATTGCTTGAACCAGGGAGGCGGAGGTTGCAGTGAGCCGAGATTGTGCCAGTGCATTCCAGCCTGGGCAACAAAGCCAGACTCCATCTCAAAAAGGAAAGAAAAGAAAAGAAATATGGAAAGGAGAAAACTAGAGTGAATTCTTAAATTTGGGATTGGAGGTATCAGTGTGAGCTCACAGATTTCCATATAGATAGGCACAGAAATGAACACAGATATAAATGTGCGATGCTTGTGCATATACACAAACATGTATTTCCTGGCTCTGTCCACTGAGGAGGCCTGGGAGTGGGAGTACCTCAACAATGATGAGCATGCCTCCATATGCTCTGCTGGGCCACTCCAGCTGACCCCAGAATTGGCTGCTTTTTCCATGGCTACCAGTATTTAAGGCTTGTTTGTGACCCCTTTCCTTGTTTTGATGCTGATGCAGAATTATTTTTTAGCTTTATTGAGGTATAATTAACAAAGTTAAATACAATGTAGGTGTACAAACTTGATGTTTTGAAGATGCTAGTTTTTATGGTGCTTGACTGTTTACCCTGGAAGGTGGGGAAGGTTAGCACCAGTTCACAGCTCAGGACACTGGTCTCAGAGAGGGGAAATCACTTG
Source organism: Homo sapiens (assembly GCF_000001405.40). NCBI lineage: Eukaryota > Metazoa > Chordata > Mammalia > Primates > Hominidae > Homo > Homo sapiens. The sequence goes on from NC_000003.12 coordinate 51,893,345, forward strand.
TCTATGGCCACAGGGCAATGAGAGGTGGAGCAGTCAGAGGTCAGAGCTCTGTGCCCTGATACTCTGAACACAGGACAACAGGGGCAAGGAGAAAGACAAGAATCCTTCAGAGTGGGTATGAGAGACCCAGGCCCTGAATGAGACACAAGGGGCAGGACATGGCAGGACAGAGCAGGAAATACAGAGCTCATGCTCGAGAGCTAGAGCCTGAGACTTCTGGGCAGCATCTCAGAACATCTATGAGCTGAGGGACCAGCTCTCCAGGGCACAGTCACTGAAGCAGGGCTGGACATAGGGCTGTGACCCAGACCTCAGAATCCTCCCTCTGTGCAGGGAACCACAGGACAGGGACAGCAGTGTTGACAGGCAGATGTTCAGCCTAATCTTAACCTCTTTTTTTGTTGTTATTAATTTTTTAATTTATAATTGACAATAATTATACATAATTATGGGGTACAATGTTATATTTCAATGCATGTATATATACTATAATGACCAAATTGGGATATTTACCATATCCATCACTTTAAACATTTATCATTTCTTTGTAGTGACAACATTCAAAATCTTTTTTTAAGTATCTAGAAATATATACTACATTGTTACCTGCTAAATGGCAAACAGGTATATGAAAAATTGTTCAACATCAGTAATCATCAGAGTAATGCAAATCTTCACCTCTTATTTGGCCCTTATCATCACCTGGGCCCCAACCCCACCCCAGCTGGCAGCATTTCACAGGGAGGGACTTTCAGAGGAGCCAGCTCTGCCTGGATTGGCCCTTGCAGAAGTTGGGCCAGTGGGGAGGGTAAGGAACACAAAACTAATGCCTCCTCAGCTCCTGCAGCTGTGATAGCCTGAGGTCTAACACTCACCAGAGGGTTGGGTTGGCAGCAAAATGCCCTCTCTCCCACCCCCTTGCCTGTGGAACCTCCCATACCAGCCTGGTCTGGAGGAAAATGAGTCCTAGTTTTCATACGGGGCTCGAGGGCAAGGGACAGTTGGGGTTTGGGGTTAGGATGAGGACTTGAGTTATGCTAACAGCTTCCAGTTTGGGTCTCAGATTCTTAGAAGCCAAGTATAAGGACATAGCCCCCAGTGCAGCAGGGAGACAAGATCACAGGGCTTGGGGTTGGGGGGCTCCTCTCAGTCCTAGGGGTTGGGGAACAAGCCCTGAGCAACTAGACCCAGACGAGTGAATTCCTGGAGAATGTGTTGCCATTGCCATGACCACCACCCGCCAGGCTTCCATTATACCAAGTCCTAGGGAGGGTGCACTATGTACACAGAATGATGTAAATACGAATGATGCTCCATGGAGTTGGCCAATTGACTGGTCTGTACCCCCAACTTTCCTTCCTACGGCACACATTGCTAATCAATCACAGTCTCTGCTCAGTCTAGAAAAGAGGCTCAGAGTCCTGCTCCACATGAGGCCTCAGACAAGCCCTGCCCATTCCTCAGAGCTGGTATATCAAATGCCAGGTATCTGCCATCCATTGCTCTGACCTGAAGCTTGTCAGAGACTATCTGGAAAAGACCACTTCATTCCTTTATTGAGAAGGGAATACACTCTGTCACAATGCAAGGCCCTGAGTCCAGCAAGATCTCCAGCTGGAGATGCAGCTGGTTGGCTGTGACTCTGTACTGGCCCTTGATGAACCCCCGGGAAGCACAGGAGCGGCACCTCCAGTAAGCCTGGATGATGCGAACAGCATTGAGCACCTGGCAATAGCGTCTGCGGATGCGCCACATGCGGGCCTGGGACTGCAGTGTGACTGCTGCCCACTCCTTCCGGGAGAAGGCCTCTAGCGCTGCCTGCCGCCTCTTCTTCAGAATCTTGGACAGTATCAGCCGCCACCAGCACTGAATGATGCAGGCACTGAGGGCTGCGTGCAACAGTGCCCGACGCACCAGGGTGCCCCGCCACCAGGCCTGGATCTTGGTGGCTACCGTATCTTTGTCAGAGAGCTTCTTTTGGTTTTCTGGGGGCTTTCAAGAAAAAAAGAGGGACCTTCAGAGAATGCTCCCCACTGGCTTCAGCTCTGGGGTGTGCCAGGAAAGGCCCTGATTCCCTATCAGCAACTGTCTCTTTTTCTGGAATTCAGGAGCACTGGGCAGGGCACTGGCTGGAACCAGAAGATCAGGTAGATGTCCTGCCTCTGCCATCCTCTGGTTGATAGCCACAAGCACAACAACTTGCCCCTGGGTCTCAGTGTCCTCCCCATCTTGGGGCACACCTGCCCTGGCTACCTCACCCAGTTTTCCATGGACCTTGTTGACCAGCAAGAACACTGTGATATAGGGTCAAAGGGTTACCATGTTCCACCCAGGCCTGATCCTTTCTTTCAGACCCCTTCCACCTACTGGAGAAGTCACATCCTTTGCCGGCCCTGCCTTCTCATCCCTGACAACCGTTCATAGCCACAGCCTGTTCTCTCCCTCTGTCATGTCTGAAGACTAAACCCTGATTTTTTCTATGTTGCCCAAATTCCTATCTAAGGGGTCTGGGGAGTCATGCCCCACAAATCATAACTTCTCATCAGATGGGTTTTATTTAACCCTATATATTGTGACTGATTTTCAAACCTGACCCTGGCATAACATTACCAGACAAGGAAGAAAAATATTTTATCCCAAAACATGTTTCTCTGCCATATTTTGAAATGGCCCTGCAAAGCTGTTCTTTGTGGAGGAAAATTTGCATCTGAGTCTCTATTAACATAGCTAGATCTTTTTCTTCCAGACCCTCTCAATCCTAAAGAGATTAACTAACATCTGAATAGGAAACATTTGTCCTCTGTTGTCTCTAAGGGGAGACACTACAAGACTTCAAAAGAACTTTGGTCTCCACAATCTTTTATCTTAACCCAAATGTTCCCTTTCTATGAATCTCAGGTCTTTAGACAAACTCAACCAATTGTCAGTCAAAAGATGTATAAATTCACCTGTAGCCTGGAAACACTGCCCTCTCCCCAGCCACCACTACGAGTTTTCCCACCTTTCTGGACCAAACCAATGTATTTCTTAAATGTATTTGATTGATGTCCCATACCTCTCTAATTTGTATGAAACCAAGCTGTGCCTGGACCACCTTGGGCACATGTTCTCAGGACTTCCTGAGGGCTGTGTCATGGACCATGGTCACTCATACTTGGCTCAGAATAAATCTCTTCAAATATTTTGCAGAGTTCAACTCTTTTTTCTTTCCGTCAACATGTCATAGTATTAAAAGTTCCTCCACCCCAAAGTTCAAACTTACATCTCTTCCCTATCATCATTTTTCTTAACTTTCACATTTTAAATCTTAATTTACAAGCACATATACATGCACAAGCTCAAACACGCGCGCACACACACACACACACGCACACACACACACACATACTTCTAACTGAGCCCAGCTTCCCATATCATGGTCATTCCATTCCACCAGCACAGCCCCCACATCCCCAGCCCCAGCCCTGTGTGGTTTGGGAGGTCATACTTTTTCTGATTTCTCATTGGCATTGTCCACTGTCTGTGTCTCAACCAGAACTGGAGTTTTAGCCTGAAAAGGAAATGGGGAAAGAGAACAGACAAGATTGAGTTGTTTATTTCTCTTCTTAGCCCAGCACTGTTAGATATGAGTTCTAAATTTCTCTTCAAAGAATCAGTATGTCAGTATGTTCAATTCTTTGCCTTCTACTTTTAAACTTAACTTCCTCATAAAGCAAGATTTTTCGATTACCGGCTCCACCCTGACTCATTCCCATTACCTGCTCAGTCTCCACCCTGACTCATTCCGATTTCCTGCTCTGCCATAACCATTTTTCCTGCCAAACCTCTCACCCCATCACTCTCTTTAAATTAGCTGATCAGAATTAGTTTAGCCTGTGCGGTCTAACCCTAGCCAATAGGGGAACGACACAGCAGCAGGGGCCACGGGCATCAGGGATAAGAACCCCTTCCCCTCCCTTGTCCAAGTGTGCACTCACCATTGCTCCGTCTGAAAGGGCGCACCCTTCTATAGAAGTGCATTGCCTTGCTAAGAATTAAAATTTATATTTGAGTGCTATTTCTTTTGCGGCACCGAAGCTTTACTTATAACAATTTGGGGGCTCGCCTGTGATTACATTCCCCTCCGGGGGTGGTCTCTGGTTCTCCAACGTGAGGAGGCATGCCCCACCCCCTTGTGGCAGCCTCAGGGGTGAAAAATCAGGACCCACCCAGTGTGAGGAATAACGCAACGCGAGCTCTCAGCAACGCGGAAAGAAACTGGCCAGCAACCTAGCTTAAAGGATCCTCACATACTGCGGCAACAACTCTGTGCACAGACCAAGGAAGGAGAAGCTGTGGGAGCCGATAAAGTACTTCCTTGGTGGTCAAATTCTGGAGGGCTAAATGTGTGTGCGTGAATGATCACAAACAACCCTATTTGCAGTGTTGTTCGTGTGGACAGTGACGAGTCCTACTGCTCGACGGAGTGAGTGGGTCCTCTCTGCAGTTCTGTAGCTACCTCTTACACTTAGGGCGGATCCTGCCATGGGATTTATACCAGCACGCCAACACTAAGGCAAGACACCCCCTGGTTTGAGGGGTTGAGCCTTCCGGGGCAGGCAAGGCGAGACGTCCCTGCTTTGAGGGGTCGAGCCTTCTACAAATTTCAGGGGGTTGAACCTCACACAAACCTCCAGTAGTAAGAAAAATATTCAGAACACCCCTTTCCTTTCTTCTTGAGGGAAGAAAGAGTAGCTCCACTCCCAACGGTACCTCCCCTAGGGGAAGGGGAAGGAGAGGGAAGAACAATAGTATAAGCGGCTGGCAGAGGCAGGGAAAGACCAGCAAAGAGGAAAGAGAAACTGGGAGAGGAAGTCAGAGAGAAACACAGTCAAAGAGAGAGAGAAAGAGACAGAAAGACAAAGAGGGAGTCAGAGAGAGAGAGAGAGAGAGATGGAAGTAGTAAAGAGAAAATAGTGTATCCTCTTCCTTTAAAAGTCAGGGTAAATTTAAAACCTATAATTCATAATTGAAGGTCTTCTCCGGGACCCTATAACAGTCCAATACCACCTTGTTGTCAGTGTAAACAAGGGCGTAGCCCGAAAGCACTGAGGCCACTGACAACCCGTAGCCTTCATAACAAAAAAATCCTTAATCCAGTAACCTGAGGGTGGCCCAAAGGCATTCAATCTGTAATGGCAACTGCTTTGCTAACAGAAGAAAGTAGAAAAATAAGTTTTAGAGGAAACCTCACTGTGAACACACCTCCTCAGGTCAGAACTATCCTAAGTCAAAAAAAAAAAAAGCAAAAAGGTAGCTTACTGACTCAAGAAACTTGAAGTATGAGGCTATTCTGTTAGAAAAAGATGATTTAACATTAACCACTGAAAATTCCCTTAACCCAGGTTTCCTAACTGGGGATCTAAATCTTAATTACCATACAAAGGTCCAACCAGACCTACGAGGAGCTCCCTTCAGGACAGGATGATAGATGGTTCCTCCCGGGTGATTGAGGGAAAAAGACACAATGGGTATTCAGTAAGTGATAAGGAAACTCTTGTAGAAGCAGAGTTAGGAAAATTGCTCAAACCTGCAAGCTGTTTTGCACTCAGCAAAGCCTTAAAGTACTTACAGAATCAGGAAGGAGCCGTCTATACCAATTCTAAGTTAATATGGACTGAACAGATCTTATTAATAGCAAAGAATAATTGAAATCCCAAACTTACAAGGTTTTCAACAAAAGTAAAGTTGGCTGAAAGTTAACAGTGTAACATGTATTATCCTAACTTCTAATCTTGTGGCCTTAGACAGTCTAGTCCACAGGCATGAAGGAAGTTCACATTGGAAAAGAATGGTTATCATCTTCGAGGAAAAAAAAGGGGGTGGGGGGAGAATTTATGTAAAAAGGGATATTATATGGTAAATTCTTGTCCTAAAATAAATTAACTGGTTGTTTAAAGAAAGGGGTGTTTGCAACAAGTCAGAAAATTGAGGCATGTTGAAGAATTATCTGTGAAAGTCATGAAAAAAAAGTTTTAAAAGGGAATTTATGCAAGAAGTGTTGTATAATTTAAAAGTAATTAGGCCTCCTGAATGTAAAACTATTGAAGAAACAGTTTATGTGCAAGGTGTGTAAGGAAAGTAAAATATACCTTTGGTAAAAGGATTATAAGGAGGCATAAGAATGTGGATTTTTACCTACATTAAAAGGTTAAAAATTTTTTTTGTTTTAAAGGTTTAAGCAAGTTTTGAAACATTAATTGTAAAGGAAGTTCTGTGTGTAAACATATTGGCTAAAGTTAAAGGGGTATCATCCAGTTTTTCTGTGAACTGGACATTAAAATAAAAGCACAACAGGTTTTTCTTAAAGCATTAACCTGCTCTTTAACAAAAATTATAAAAGGTTAAAAACAGTCTATAAAATTCTTACCTTATGGTCAGACATCAAAAATTGGATAAATATGTCTACAAGGTTTTATTAAAATTAAGTTTAACATTAATAACACACTTAATATAAAGGTGAAATTTAGCTTATCTGGTATAAAAATCATACAGGAAGCTTGTCAAATATAAAATGGTGTTTGGCTTTCTTTGGTCTAAAAACTAATAAAAATAGGTGCTAAAGGAAATTTCTCAGTAAGAAGGCACCAAGGACAATAAAGTCCACTGCTGATGTCCCCACATTTAAAACAAAAGGTCAGTTTCTTAGAAATCATATACTCGGTTTATCTTCCACTTTCCTTTCCCTCAAAACTAAAAGTCTTTTAGCACAGGTACCACCCCTAGAATTTCCGGTAAACCAGCACCAGCCTGAAGATCACATTCTCATCAAAGGGTGGAAAGAAGGAAAACTGCAGCCAGCCTGGCAAGGACTCTACCCTGTGCTGCTAACCACCGAGACTGCTGTTGTACAGCGGAAAGGGGATGGACTCACCACACCTGAGTCAAGAAAGCGCCACCCCTTCCAGAGTCACGGGCCATAGTCCCAGGGGAAAACCCTATCAAACTAAAGCTAAGAAGAATTTAACTCTCTTTCATCTATTCTATTACTCTTTCTTCTTTCCTCGCTCTATTGCTGACCATCTAGTTATTAACATAACCAAGTCAATTTCACTTCAAACTATTGCATTTGATGCTTGCCTTGTTATACCCTGTGGGGACTTGCCAAGTCAAAGACAGCTCTCTACTTCAGAAAAGTACCTCTGTCCCTCCTGACTCTCCTCAGACTGGGTATTAGTGAATTGGGACCATTTAATCCTGGGAGATTTTGATAAAGACCCCAGTGTCAACCAGGAGTCTTGCCCCGCGATGTAGAGCTTTTATACCATAGTTGGTCCAGGGTTCTGTGGACCACTAAAGAGCAAGGATGGACTGCCCCAACCGGTTTTTGTAATTTCCTAAAACCATACATTCATCTTACTAGAGGGACAGCCCCCGCCTCCCACTAACTGTCAGCTAAACCAGTGCAATCCTATACAGGTTATTACCTTGAATCCTCAAAGTTCTTTCCCTTTTCTAAGCCAGTTCCCTTCTTTAAGCCAGTGTTATGGTATGGGGGCTGAGGTTTCAGGGACAGACCCTATTGGATTCTTTGAAATGCATTTCTTTGAACCCCCACCGCCTGCACCTTCCTCTAAGCCTTCTTCCAAAACCTCTCACATGGAACAATTGCTCCTCCTCCATCTAACAACAAGACCAAGATAGCTATCGTAGAAGCGAAAGACTTAAAACAAACTTTGGCAATTAAGACAGGATACCAAGATGCAAATGTCTGGTTGGAATGGATCAAATATTCCGTCCGCACATTAAACAAAAGCAATTGTTATGCTTGTGCACCCAGCAGGCCAGGGGCCCAGAATGTCCCCTTTCCACTAGGGTGGTCCTCCAGTTGACTGGTTGTGGGCTGCATGGTAGCTCTTTTCCAGGATTCTACAGCCTGGAGTAACAAGTCGTGCCATGCTCTTTCTCTCTGCTATATTCTGAAGTCTGGCACCCTGTGGGTCGGCCCCCGAGGGTCATCCAGCTTCCATCTCCCAATACTAAGTTCACTTCATGTCTCTCACGACAGGGAGGAAACTTAGCATTCCTTGGAGACCTGAACGGATGCAGTGAGCTTAAGAATTTTCAAGAGCTTATCAATCAGTCAGCCCTTGTTCATCCCCGAGGGGATGTGTGGTGGTATTGTGGTGGACCTTTACTGGACGCTCTGATGAATATCTGAAGTGGCACTTGTGTTTTAGTCCAATTGGCTATCCCTTTCACCCTGGCATTTCATCAACCAGAGGAAGGAAAAATAAGACATCGTAAAGTGAGAGAAGCCCCTTATGGGTCTTTTGACTCTCACATCTATTTAAATGCAATTGGAGTCTAGCAGGGAATACCAGATCAATTTAAAGCCTAAAATCAAATAGCTGCAGGATTTGAGTCAATATTTTGTTGAGAGACAATTAATAAAAATATAGATTGAATAAACTACATATGCTACAACCAACAGCGATTTATTAACTACACTAGAGATGGTGTTAAAGGAATAGCTGAGCAATTAGGGGCTACTAGCCGGATGGCTTGGGAAAATAGGATAGGCTTAGACATGATAATAGCAGAAAGAGGAGGAGTTTGCCTCATGATTAAAACTCAATGTTGTACCTTCATCCCAAACAACACTGCCCCTGATGGAAGTATAACAAAGGCATTGCAAGGTCTGACTGCCCTGTCCAATGAGTTAGCCAACAACTCAGGGTTAAATGAGCCCTTTACAGGATGGCTAGAAAAGTGGTTCAGTAAATGGAAAAGAATTATAGCCTCAATTCTCACTTCCCTGGCAGCCGCAATGGGTGTATTTATTCTTGTTGGGTGCTGTGTCACACCATGCGTCCGTGGGTTGGTGCAAAGAGGCTCATAAAAACAGCACTTACTAAAACCTCCCTTAACTATTCTCCACCTTATCCAGAGAAGCTTCTTCTTTTGGAAAATCAAGCAGAACATCTAAGCCAAGACATGTTAAAGAAGTTTAAAGAGAAAGAGCTGTAAGGAAATGCAAGAGGAGAAGTTGTTAGGTATGAGTTCTAAATTTCTCTTCAAAGAATCAGTATGTCAATATGTTCAATTCTTTGCCTTCTACTTTTAAACTTAACTTCCTTGTAAAGCAACCTTTTTCAATTACCTGCTCCGCCCTGACTCATTCTGATTACCTACTCCCCCCTGACTCATTCCGATTACCGGCTCCACCCTGACTCATTCCAATTACCTGCTCAGTCTCCACCCTGACTCATTCCGATTTCCTGCTCCGCGGTAACCATTTTTCCCACCAAACCACTCACCCCATCACTCTCTTTAAATTAGCCAATCAGAATTAGTTTAGCCTGTGTGGTCTAACCCTAGCCAATAGGGGAATGACACAGCAGCAGGGGCCACGTGCATCAGGGATAAGAACCCCTTCCCCTCCCTTGTCCAAGTGTGCACTCACCATTGCTCCATCTGTAAGGGCGCACCCTTCTATAGAAGTACCTTGCCTTGCTGAGAATTAAAAAGAAAATTTTATATTTGAGTGCTATTTCTTTTGCGGCACAGAAACTTCACTTATAACAGCACCATGCAAAAGACACTAGCTACTAGCACTAGGACATGGGATCAATGACATCCAAGTCAGGGCTCCTCCTACCTCTGCCTTTGACTCTGCTCCTAAGGACAAATGGGTTGGCATCTCCTTCTGCTGAGGCTCATCTTCTTTTGAGGGTTCCTTCGTCTTTTGGGGCTGCTTCTCCTCCTGCAATCAGCATTAGGGGAAAGGCAAGAGTGAGGCTGCGGTCCCTCCCTCTCCATTCAATATGGCACACATCCCCAGCTTCCAGGGCTTCTTAGAGTCTTCAGTGTCAGGGGGTCCCTTCACCCTGAGAGATCTATGGGGACATCCCTAACAAGCCTGGTGTGTCTGGCTTTCTCTTACCATTGGTCACATATGGATTGATTGTAGATGGTTCAAATCCCCTCACATCTGTGTTCATCCAGCCATAGCATAGGCAGGAAGGGTGGAGGAAGAAAGGCCTGTGATGTCATAAGGGCACCTGTGACTCAGGCACCAGATGGCTCCTAACAAGTGAGCCCCCTCCAAGGGAAAGACAAAAGCGCTGCCCATTCTTTTCTGCCAGAAATGGCCAAAGCCCTGACTTCAAAGGCAAGATGCCAGAAATACTGGCCCATTGCTGTAAGGTTTATAAAAAGCCAGTCATTTCTAATAACATTTAATTGAAAAAACTTGGCCAGGCGCAGTGGCTCAGGCCTGTAATCCCAGCACTTTGGGAGGCCGAGGCAGGCAGATCAACTGAGGTCAGGAGTTCGAGACCAGCCTGGCCAACATGGCAAAACCTTGTCCCTACTAAAATTACAAAAATTAGCTGGGTGTGGTGGCTGTCACCTGTAATCCCAGCTACTCAGGAGGCTGAGACAGGAGAATCGCTTGCACCCAGGAGGTGGAGTTTGCAGTGAGCCAGGATCATGCCACTGCACTCCAGGCTGGGCAAGAGAGCAAGACTCCATCTCAAAAAAAAAAAAAAAAGAAAAGAAAAAACTTATATAGCCAACTTAAATAATCAATAGGGGATTAATTTAATGATGCATAGTTCATTCATACTATAAAATACTACATAACTATTAAAAATAAGAATTTGATCTATATTACTAATGAGGAAATATATAAAGATGTATTTATAAGTAAAAAACTAAAGTTCCTTTTGATCCCACTATGCAAACAAAACTAGGAACATAATTATACACATAAAATTGAATAATTTATGCCAGAAGTTATTACATGATACACATTATATGTTGTAAATGAATATAAAGAAGAAAAAAGGTATATATACCAAACTATTACCAATGATTACCTTTGGAGAGGAGAGTTAAATTGCTGACTCATGCCTAACACAGTCCCCAAGGAACCCCATGAGGGCCTGAGGACCAGCCTGGACTCCATCTGAGGCTCAAATGGGTCCAAGTGCTCTCCTGTCTTCCTCTGTCCCTGGGGTCTCAAGGCCACAATCAGATGGATGAAGGTGGCCACTGCACAAGCATGGCCCCTTTCTGCCTGATCTCGGCCTCTGAAGACCCAGCTGGACAGGGTAAGGCCATGAGAGGCACAGCCCCTGGGGTCACTGAGAAGTGCACTTGAAATGTATAGGGTGAGTATGGGAGAGGCCAATGTGGATCTGTAGGGGGAATGTAGGGAAGAGGAGGAGGCCATTTGAGGCTGGGATGTGAAGTTAATGGGATGAGGGGGTGGAGAATATGGGAATACATTGAAAGATGTGGGAAGTTGTGGGTGTGATATAGTTTGGCTCTGTGTCCCCACCCAAATCTCATCTTGAATTTTAACTCCCGCAATTCCCATGTGTTGTGGAAGGAACCTGGTGGGAGGTGACTGAATTATGGGGGCAGGTCTTTCCTGTGCTGTTCTCATGATAGTGAATGAATCTCAAGAGATTTGATGGTTTTAAAAATGGGAGTTTGGGCTGGGTGCAGTGGCTCATGCCTGTAATCCTAGAACTTTGGGAGGCTGAGGCGGGAGGATCATGAGGTCAGGAGATCAAGACCATCCTGGCTAACACGGTGAAACCCCGTCTCTACTAAAAATACAAAAAATTAGCCAAGTGTGGTGGTTGACACCTGTAGTCCCAGTTACTGGGGAGGCTGAGGCAGCAGAATGGCATGAACCTGGGAGGCAGAGCTTGCAGTGAGCTGAGATCATGCCACTGCACTCCAGCCTGGGCGACAGAGCAAGACTCCATCTCAAAAAAAAAAAAAAAGGCAGTTTGCCTGCACAAGCTCTCTTTGCCTGCTGCCATCCATGTAAGACGTGATTTGCTCCTCCTTGCCTTCCACCATGATTGTGAGGCCTCCTCAGCCATGTGGAACTGTAAGTCCAATTAAACCTCTTTCTTTTGTAAATTGCCCAGTCTTCAGTATGTCTTTTCAGCAGCTGAAAATGGACTAATACAGTAAATTGGTACCAGTAGAGTGGGGTGTTGCTGAAAAGATACCCAAAAATGTGGAAGCAACTTTGGAACTGGGTAACAGGCAGAGCTTGGAACAGTTTGGAGGACTCAGAAGAAGACAGGAAAATGTGGGAAAGTTTGGAACTTCCTAGAGATTTGTTGAATGGCCTTGACCAAAAAGCCTGATAGTGATATGGACAATAAGGTCCTGGCTGAGGTGATCTCAGATGGAGATGAGGAGCTTCTTGGGAACTGGACCAAAGGTGACTCTTATGTCGCCAAAAAGAGACTGGCAACATTTTGCCCCTTCTGTAGAGATTTGTGGAACTTTGAACTCGAGAGAGGTGACTTAGGGTATCTGGCAAAATAAATTTCTAAGCAGCAAAGCATTCAAGATGTGACTTGGGTGCTGTTAAGAGCATTCAGTTTTATAAGGGAAGCAGAGCATAAAAGTTCAAAAAGTTTTCAGCCTGACAATGTGATAGAAAAGAAAACCCCATTTTCTAAGGAGAAATTCAAGCCGACTTCAGAAATTTGCATAAGTAATGAGGAGCCAAATGTTAATCCCCAAGACAATGGGGAATATGTCTCCAGGACATGTCAGAGGCCTTCACAGCAGCCCCCCATCGCAAGCCCAGAGGCCCAGGAGAAAATGGTTTCATGGGTTGGGCCCAGAGTCCCTGTGCTGTGTGCAGCCTAGGGACTTGGTGGCCTGTGTCCCAGCCACTCCAGCCATGGCTGAAAGGGGCCAATGTACAACTCAGGCTGTGGCTTCAGAGGGTGCAAGCCCCAAGCCTTGGCAGCTTCCACATGGTGTTGAGCCTGTGAGTACACAGAAGTCAAGAATTGGAGTTTGGGAACTTCCGCCTAAATTTCGGAGGATGTATGGAAATGCCTGGATGCCCAGGCAGAAGTTTGCTGCAGAGGCTGGGCTCTCATGGAGAACCTCTGCTAGGGCAGTGTGGAAGGGAAATGTAAGGACAGAGGTCCCACACAGAGTCCCTATTGGGGAACCGCCTAGTGGAGCTGTGAGAAGAGGTCTACTGTCCTCCAGACCCCGGAATGGTAGATCCAGCTTGCACTGTTCACCTGGAAAAGCCACAGACACTGATCGCCAGCCCATGAAAGCAGCTGGGAGGGAGCCTGTACCCTGCAAAGCCACATGGGTGGAGCTGCCCAAAACCATGGGAACCTACCTCTTGCATCAGCATGACCTGGATATCAGACATGGAGTCAAAGTAGATCATTTTGAAGCTTTAAGATTTGACTGCCCCACTAGATTTCGGACTTGCATGGGGCCTGTAGCCTCTTTGTTTTGGCCAATTTCTCCCATTTAGAATGGCTGTATTTACCCAATGCCTGTACCCTCATTATATCTAGGAAGTAACTAACTTGCTTTTGATTTTACAGGCTCATAGGCAGAAGAGACTTGCCTTGTCTCGGATGAGACTTTGGACTGTGGACTTTTGAGTTAATGCTGAAATGAGTTGAGACTTTGGGGGACTGCTGGGAAGGCATGATTTGTTTTGAAATGTGAGAACATGAGATTTGGGAGGGGCCAGGGGTGGAATGATATGGTTTGGCTCTGTGTCCCCACCCAAATCTCATCTTGAATTATAACTCCCACAATTCCCACATGTTGTGGGAGGAACCTGGTGGGAGGTGATTGAATTATGGGGGCAGGTCTTTCCTACGCTTTTCTTGTGATAGTGAATGAGTCTCATGAGATCTGATGGTTTTAAAAAATGGGAGTTTGGGCTGGGCGTGGTGGCTTACACCTGTAATCCCAGCACTTTGGGAGGCCGAGGCGGGCAGATCACCTGAGGTCAGGAGTTCGAGACCAGCCTGGCTAACGTGGTGAAACCCTGTTTCTACTAAAAATACAAAAAATTAGCTGGGCATGGTGGCTTGTGCCTGTAATCCCACTACTCAGGAGGCTGAGACAGGAGAATCGCTTGAACCTGGGAGACAGAGGTTACAGTGTGCCAAGATGATGCCATTGCACTCCAGCTTGGGCAACAAGAGTGAAACTTCGTCTCAAAAAAAAAAAATGGGGGTTTGCCTACAGTAGCTCTCTTTGCCTGCTGCCATCCATGTAAGACACGACTTGCTCCTCCTTGCCTTCTGCCATGATTGTGAGGCTTCCCCAGCCATGTGGAACTGTAAGTCCAATTAAACCTCTTTCTTTTGTAAATTGCCCAGTCTTGGGTATGTCTTTATCAGCAGCCTGAAAATGGACTAATAGAGGGTGTGACAGAGAAGGTGTGATATGTGTTCATTTGAGGATAATAGGATACAGGCCTTTGTTGTAACACTAGTCAGTTTTTTACTTCCCCCAACTCCCAACACTCCCTACACCTCCCCACCAACACACACACACATACTCATGAAAGCCTTGTGCTTCATTATCTGGAAGAATAAACCCCAAACTCCTCACGACCTAAGTAGTGGGCATCGGTTTTTTGAGAGAGAAGAAGACAAAAAAGTCCAGGTGTGGTGGCTCACACCTGTAATCCCAGCACTTTGGGAGGCCAAGGCAGGTGGATCACTTGCACCCAGGAGTTTGAGACCAGCCTGGGCAACATAACGAAACCCTGTATCTACAAAAAATACAAAAATCAGCCAGGCATGGTGGTGTGCATTTGTAGTCCCACCTACTTGGGAGACAGAGGTGGGAAAATCACCTGAGCCCAGGGAGGTCGAGGCTGCAGTGAGCCATGATTGCACCATTGCACTCCAACCTGGGTGACAGAGCGAGACCCAGTCTTTAAAAAAAAAAAGATAGAAAATTTAAATCAAAAATCTAATTACTGATCAGAATATATGGGGTAACTCACATCCTGTGAAGAATAAAAAGCCCTGGCAACATCAAGAGAGGAAATGAAACGTATAAAGGCTGGTCTGGGCATGGAAGGGCTTCCCTCCAGAGTAGCCAGAAAGGAGGAAGAAACGCCACTGCATGGGAATGTCAGAGGGCTCCACCTCCAGTTAGGATGCAGAGGGTCACAAAATACTCCCGCAACAACTGCACAATAAGAAAACACCTGACAAACTTAAAACATCACATAGCAGTAGGTATGGAGCATCTAAAACTGAATTCTAAAGTGGCTCTGTCCCTGTCTAGTTGCACGGAGGTTAGTGGCTGCTTTCATGCCTGTGGATATGTACCAAATCTCTGGACACAAGGACCTGCAGGAGTAAGCCCGCCATATGCAGTGAAATGCTGTGATGGGGAGAAACCAGCTGAACTTGAACTTTCAATGGTTGCATGCGAGCTGCAAGACAATTTGGAATCTGGAAAAGCCACACACACACACACACACACACACACACACACACACACACACACACACACACACAGTGAGTCCTCTGCTGCCACCATTCCCTCCCATGGGACTTCTGCTGGACCCACAGCAGCACAGGGAGCCAGGGGCTGGCCTGGACAGCAGAGAGAGCTCTCAAGTCTCACAGTGCTAATATTCCACACTTTTGCTGGAGAAAGGAGCCTGATCCCAGCCTCAAGACATTTGAAACTGAGGGGGATGCAAACCAACTAAAGTGTCAAAACAGCCCCAACCTAACTGAACTCCTGATTAGTTGAAAAATGGCCCACCCTAGTCTCTACTGCTTTTATCTAGTGTTTGCATACAATTTTAAAAATGAGACACATGAAGAAGCAGAAAAATGTGACCTGTAATCAAAAGGAAAAAAAGCAATAGAAGCAGACTCACAGATGACTCATATGTTAGAATTAGCAAAGACTTTGAAACAACAAAGATTATATAAATAGACATATAATCGAAAATAATTTACAGGTAAAGGTAGAAAAAAATGAATAAAAAGATGGAGAATTTTGGCAGACAAATGGAAACTCTAAAAAACAGAATACAAGAAATGCAATTTTTTTTTCTACTTAAAGAGACAGGGTGTTGTTATATCATCCACTTTAGTCTCAAACTCCTGAGCTCAAGAAACACTCCTGAGTAGTAGGGACTACAAGCACGTGCCACCATGCCTAGTTCTGAAATTCTAAAACTGAAAAATACAATACCCAAAATGAATAGTTCACTAGAGAGAGTAACAAAAGAAAGGATTATCAAACTCAAAGGCAGGTCAAAAAATTATACGAACATGATAAATACAAAGAAAACTACATATAGGGACAATAATGAAATTGATAAAAATCAAGGGAAAAGAAAATTGTTTCTAAAAAACCAGGTGGTTCCTGCCTGTAATCCCAGCACTTTGGGAGGCTGATATGGGCAGATCACTTGAGGTCAGGAGTTCGAGACCAGCCCGGCCAACATGGTGAAACCTCATCTCTACTAAAAATACAAAAATTAGCTGGGTGTGGTGGCATGTGACTCTAATCCCAGCTACTCAGAGGCTGAGGCAGGAGAATCGCTTGAACCTGGAAGGTGGAGGTTGCAGTGAGCTGAGATTGCGCCACTGTGCTCCATCCTGGATGACAGAGTAAGACTCCATCTCAAAAAAAAAAAAAAAAAAAAGAAACCAGAGATGGTCGGGTGTGGTGGCTCACACCTGTAATTCCAGCACTTTGGGAGGCTGAGGCAGGTGGACTGCTTGAGGCCAGGAGTTCAAGACCAGCCTGGCCAAGATGGCGAAACCCCATCTCTACTAAAAATACAAAAATTAGCCCTGCATGGTGGTGCATGCCTGTAATCCCAGCTACTTGGGAGGCTGAGGCACAAAAATCACGTGAACCCAGGAGGCAGAGGTTGCAGTGAGCCAAGATCATGCCACTGCACTCCAGCCTGGGTGAAAGAGTGAGACTCTGTCTCAAAAAACAAACAAACTGCCGGGTGCAGTGGCTCACGCCTGTAATCCCAGCACTTTGGGAGGCCGAGGTGGGCAGATCATGAGGTCAGGAGATCGAAACCATCCTGGCAAACACCGTGAAACCCTGTCTCTACTGAAAATACAAAAAAAGTAGCCGGGCGTGGTGGCGGGCGCCTGTAGTCCCAGCTACTTGGGAGGCTGAGGCAGGAGAATGGTGTGAACCTGGGAGGCAGAGCTTTCAGTGAGCTGAGATCTTGCCACTGCACTCCAGCCTGGACAACAGAGCAAGACTCCATCTCAGGGAAAAAAAAAAAAAAAAGAAACCAGAGGAAAAGGTCACATTACATTTAGGGGAAGAAAAATAAATAGTATAGATAACTTGTCATCAGAAACAAAAAGAAGCCAGAAAAAAAATGGAAAGACATTGTAGAGTGCTAAAGAAATGGGAAGAGAAAAATAAGCCAACCTAAAATTCTATACCCAGAGAAAATGTCCTTCAAAAATAAAGATGTAAAAATAAAACTAAAAGTTCTGCTCTTATCATTTCCACTTAATAATACACTAAAAGTCCTAGCCAGTGCAAATGGCCTTAAAATTCTGTTTAAAGAAAGAAAACTGTGTTATTCACAGACAGCATGATTATTTGCATTAAAATGTCCCAAAAAATGTACCCAAAAATCCTACTACAGCTGATAAAGCAATTCAGCAAGCTTGCTAGATATTCATGGTGATGGTGGCACATGTCTATAAATATACTTAAACCATTGAATTGTGCATGTTACATAGGTGAATTGTATGGTATGTGAATTATGTCCCAGTAAAGCTGTTTAAAAAATAAAAGTCATCAAAAATTTTCAAGATACAAGGGTAATATATAAAAATCAACTGCATTTTATTTTATTTATTTATTTATTTATTTTTTGAGACACAGTCTCACTCTGTCGCCCAGGCTGCAGTGCAGGGTGCAATGGCATGATCTTGGCTCACTGCAACCTCTGCCTTCCATATTCAAGTGATTCTCCTGCCTCAGCCTCCCAAGTACCTGGGATTACAGGCACGCACCACCATGCCCAGCTAATTTTTGTATTTTTAGTGGAGACAGGGTTTCACCATGTTGGCCAGGCTGGTCTCAAACTCCTGACCTCAAGTGATCTGCCCAGCTCAGCCTCCCAAAGTGCTGGGATTACAGGCGTGCCACTGCGTCCAGCCAATCAACTGTATTTTCATAATCAATGGACGATTGGGGAATTCTTGATATAGAAGAACAAAGTTAGCTGGACACAGTGGCTCACGCCTGTAATCCCAACACTTTGGAGGCTGAGGCACATGGATCACTTGAGGCCAGGAGTTGGAGATCAGCCTGGGCAACACAGTGAAACCCCGTCTCTACTAAAAATACAAAAAATTAACTGGGCATGGTGGTGGGTGCCTGTAATCCCAGCTACTCAGGGGGCTGAGGCAGGAGAATTGCTTGAACCTGGGAGGTAAATGTTGCAGTGAGATGGACAGAGCGAGGCTGTCTCAAAAACAAAAAAAAAAGAACAAAGTTGAAGGATTTATATTATCTCATTTGAAGACTCACTATAAAGTTACAGTAATCGAGACAGCATGGTGTAAGAAGAGACAAACAGATCAATGAAATGGAATAGAAAAGCCAGAAAAAGACTTACACTTATATGGTCTATTGATTTGTTTAATGTATCAACATAATTCAATGCAGAAGGAAACGCATTTTTCAATTTAAAATAAAAGAATCTTGATCCTTATCTAACACCATAGACACAAATAATAATTCAAGATGGATCATAGCCTAAACGAAACCTAAAACTATAAAACTTTTAGAAGAAATCCTATGAGAATTATTTTGTGCCCAAGAGTCGACAAAAACTGTTTTCTTAGCAAACAGAAAACACTAAGTATAAAATATTGATAAATTTGCCAGGCGTGGTAGCTCATGCCTGTAATCCCAGCACTTTGGGAGGCTGAGGCGAGAGGATTGCCTGAGCCCAGGAGTTTGAGACCAGCCCAGACTCAAACATGTTGAGACCTTGTCTCTACAAAAAAATTTTTTTAAATTAGCCAGGCGTGGTGGCGTGCGCCTGTAGTCCCAGCTACTCAGGGAGGCTGAAGTGGGAGGATCACTTGAGCCCAGGGGTCAAGGCTGCAATGAGCCATGTTTGCACAACTGTGCTCCAGCTTGGATGACAGAGTGAGACCCTGTCTCAAAAAAAATTTGATAAATTAGACTTTGTCCAAATTAAAACTTCTGCTTATCGAAAGACAGCACTCGGCCGGGCGCGGTGGCTCACGCCTGTAATCCCAGCACTTTGGGAGGCCGAGGCGGGCGGATCACGAGGTCAGGAGATCGAGACCATCCTGGCTAACATGGTGAAACCCCACCTCTACTAAAAATACAAAAAATTAGCTGGGCATGGTGGCGGGCACCTGTAGTCCCAGCAACTCAGGAGGCTGAGGCAGGAGAATGGCGTGAACCTGGGAAGCGGAGCTTGCAGTGAGCTGAGATTGTGCCACTGCAGTCCAGCCTGGGTGACAGAGCAAGACTCTGTCTCAAAAAAAAAAAAAAAAAAAGAAAAGAAAGAAAGACAGCACTTAAGCTACAATCTGAGGAAAGAATATTCACAATACCTATATCTGGCAAAGGACTCCTACTCAGAATATAAGAACTCTTACAACTCAGTAATAAAAAACAAACTAATAAAAATGGACAAAAGGCTTAAACCAATACTTTATAAAAGAAGATATTCAAGTGGCTTCCAAACACATGAAATTTGCTCAACATCATTAGATATCAGGGAAAGACAAAATTTAAGCCACCATCATGATGGCCAAAATTAGAAAAAAGAAAAGAAAAGGAGAATACCAAATGTTGGCAAGGATGTAGAGCAAATGAAACTCTCATACATTTTTGATAATACAACCAATTTGGAAATTCATTTGGCTATTTCTTTTAAAATTAACCATATACCTACACCTACTCTCTGACTCAGCGATTTCATTCTTAGGTATTTACTAAAGAGAAATGAAAACATATTCACAAAAAGACTTGTACAGGAATGCTCATAGCATATACTCATAATAGTCAAACATTGGGAACAAGTGAAATATCTATAAATAGGATAATGGATACACAAATTGTGGTATATTCATAAAATAAAATACAATTGGGCAATAAATAGCCAAGAACTAATGATACATGCAATAACATGGGTGAATCTTATCCATGACATTATATTGAGCAAAAAAAGCCAAATGCAAAACAGAACATATTGTATAATTCTATTTATATCAAATTTAAAACATGCACATTTGTTGTGGTGGCTCATGCCTATAATCCCAACACTTTAAGAGGCCAAGGATCTCTTGAACCCAGGAGTTTGAGACCAGCCTGGGCAACCTAGGAAAACACTGTCTCTACAAAAAATGTTTTTAAAAAAATTAGCCAAGGATGGGTGTGGTGGCACATGCCTGTAATCCCAGCACTTTGGGAGGCCGAGGTGGGTGGGCCACCTGAAGTCAGGAGTTCAAAACCAGCCTGACTAACACGGTGAAACCCCATCTCTACTAAATACAAAAAATTTAGCCAGGAGTGGTGGCACATGCCTGTAATCTGAGCTACTTGGGAGGCTGAGATAGGAGAATCACTTGTACCTGACAGGCGGAGGTTGCAGTGAGCCAAGATCATGCCGTTGCATTCCAGCCTGGGCAACAAGAGCGAAACTCTGTCTCAAAAAAAAAAAAAAAAAATTAGCCAAGTGTGGCGGTGTGCACCTGTGGTCCCAGCTACTTGGGAGCCTGAGGTGGGAGGATCACTTGAGCCTGGGAGGTCAAGGCTGCAGTGAGACAGGATCAAGCCACTGTACTCCAGCCTAGGTGACAGAGCAAAACCCTGTTTTTTAAAAAAATGCAAAACTAATATATTATGATAGAAATCATGAACAATGGACCAGGCGTGGTGGCTCACGCCTGTAATCCCAGCACTTTGGGAGGCTGAGGCGGGCAGATCACCTGAGGTCTGGAGTTGGAGACCAGCCTGACCAACATGGAGAAACCCCATCTCTACTAAAAATACTAAATTGGCCAGGCATGGTGGCGCATGCCTGTAATCCCAGCTACTCGGGAGGCTGAGGCAGGAGAATGGCTTGAACCTGGGAGGCGGAGGTTGTGGTGTGCCGAGATTGCACCATTGCACTCCAGCTTGGGCAACAAAAGTTGCCCATCTCAAACTCCATCTCAAAAAAAAAAAAAAAAATCTCGAACAGTGGTTGCCTCTGGGAGTTGAGATTGATTGGAAAGGGACACAAAGGGACTTTCTGGGATGATATGAGTGTTCTATATCTTGATGAGGTGTGGATTTGAGATATATGCATTTGTCAAAATTCATTTAACTTCACATTTAAGATTTCTCCATTTCACTGTATATAAATTATACCTTCGCCTTTTCAAGGAAGGTGAAATAAAGACATTTTCCAAAATATAAAAGCTGAGATAATTTATTACCAGCAGACTCACACTGCCAGAATGCTAAAGGAAGGTCCCGGGTGGAAGCTCAGAGCAGCAGGTGGAAATGAAAGCCTCACAATGGTGATTATGTGGGCAAACAGAAAAGATCATCTTTTTAAATGTCTTTAAAATACCATTGAATCCAGTGCTGGCAAGATGAAGTAAGTACACTACAGACAATCTTTCCCAGTGATTACAATGGAAAACTCTGGACAGAATACAAAGTCAACTAGACTCTGAAAAGTAAACAATAGCGGCCGGGCACGGTGGCTTACGCCTGTAATCCTAGCACTTTGGGAGGCAGAGGCGGGCGGATTACCTGAGGTTGGGAGTTCGAGACCAGCCTGACCAACATGGAGAAACCCTCTCTCTACTAAAAATACAAAATTAGCCGGCCATGGTGGCATGCACCTGTAATCCCAGCTACTCGGGAGGCTGAGGCAGGAGAATCACTTGAACCCGGGAGGTGGAGGTTGCAGTGAGCCAAGATCGGGCCATTGCACTGAGCCTTGGCAACAAGAGCAAAACTCCATCTCAAAAAAAAAAAAAGAAGAAGAAGAAGAAGAAGGAAAGAAAAAGTAGCAATAGCACACAGATTGGGGAAGAAAGTCAAGTCAAAGTCAAAGATAGCCTAAAATGCAGAACCGCACAAGTGTGAAAGTAAATAATCCAAAAGAAAGTCCTTATTTTGGATCAGAGGATCAGAAAAAGACACTTCCTCATGCTAGAGAGTATGGACAGCATCCTTCTTCTTTCTTTCTTTCTCTTTTTTCTCTTAGCCCTACCCCAAGGCCAGGCCCAGTCACAGAACCGCATTGTCCCGGTGGTGGTGCTATGGGCACCTGAAAAATCATCTCCCTAGCTAGAGTAAATGTACAAACGGACGGGACCCCTGTAGTCTGAAAGAAGTAATTTTTTCTCATTTCTTTTGCCCCTTTGCCCTGAAGGCAGCTCTAGTCACATGGAACTGCATGGAAGTGTGGTGGTCTAAAACTCTGAGACAAATCCATATTTCTGGCCAGAGGAACCAAGAACATAATCTCTAGGAGTGGAAGAATGAGGAAAGTTCAGAAAATAAGGAAAAAGGAATCCCCTAATTCTGTGTATAACAAACACATGTCTCAGGCTCACGCCTTAGCTGCACATAATAAATCAAAAATAAAATTCTAAGCCCCCAACCACCTGAATGGACCCCTCCTCTTGGGCAAGGGCACTCCAGAGTTAACCTGTAAAACTAGTTCAGGCCATGATGGAAAGTGGGAGTCAGACATGCCTCATTACTATTAATATCAACACAGACCTTAAGACTGATAGAACAGACTCTTTAAGGCTGATAAGAAACACATGCAATCTATTTTCTCTAAAGCCTGCTACCTGGGGCCTCCATCTGCATCATAAACCCTTGGTCTCTGCAACCCCCTTATAACCCAGACATTCCTTTCTATTGATTCCAAGTCGTTAGATAATAACTCAACCAATTGCCAATCAGAAAATCTTTGAATCTGCCTATGACGTGGAAGCCCCCACTTCCAGTTGTCCCGCCTTTCCAGACCACACCAAGGTACATCTTACATGTATTGATTGATGTCTTATGACTCCCTAAAATGTATAAAACCAAGTTGTAGGCCGACCACCTTGGGCACATGTCATTAGGACTTCCTGAGGCTGTGTCACAGGCATGTCCTTAACCTTGGAAAAATAAACTCCTAAACTGAGACTTGTCTCGGATGCTTTTGGTTTACAGCATCCTTTGAAAAATGAACTACAACAAAAAACCACTACCAAGTCCCAAACTAACCCCTACGTAGCACATGCAAGGGCAGACTCAAACAGCATAGAAAAGGCTTTGAAAACTGACACTGACATTAGAATCATCATCCACGGAAAGCAAGACAAAGCCTCTGACCTTTACGTAACTGATTTGCCTGCTAAAATAAAAACTAAACATTGTCCAGAGATGTAATATTTAAACTGTCTAGGATGCAATCCAAAATTACTCAATACGTGAAGAGCCAGGAAAATCTGATTAATTCCCAAGGGAAAAGACAATCAGTTTTTGCCATTCCCAAGTCACTCACGTGTTGGAAATATCAAAGACTTTAAAGCAGTTATCATCACCATTATCCATGAAGCAAAGGTGAACCCTTTTTTTTTTTTATTTTTGAGACAGAGTTTTGATTTTGTTGCCCAGGCTGGAGTACAATGGCGTGATCTCAGCTCACTGTAACTTCTGCCTCCCAGGCTCAAGTGATTCTCCTGCCTCAGCCTCCCGAGTAGCTGGGATTACAGGTGCCTGCCACCATGCCTGGCTAATTTTTGCATTGTTTTAGTAGAGGCAGGGTTTCATCATATTGATCAAGCTGGTGTCAAACTCCTGACATCAGGTGATCCGCCTGCCTCGGCCTCCAAAACTGCTGGGATTACAGGCATGAGCCACGGCGCCTGGCTGAACTCTTTTTAAATGAATAGAAAGATAGGAGCTCTCAGCAAAGAAATAAAACAAAACAAAAATATAACCAGGGCCCTGCCCTCCCTCTCCCTCAGGAGGGCAGACAGGTCCACCAAAAATTTAAAAATAAAGAAATATAACTGAATCGAAATTTTAGAACTGTGCCGGGCACGGTGGCTCACACCTGTAATCCCAGCACTTTGGGAGGCCGAGGCGGGCGGATCACGAGGTCAGGAAATCGAGACCATCCTGGCTAACACAGTGAAACGCCGTCTCTACTAAAAATACAAAAACTAGCTGGGCGTGGTGGCAGGCGCCTGTAGTCCCGGCTACTCAGGAGGTTGAGGCAGGAGAATGGCGTGAACCTGGGAGGTGGAGCTTGCAGCTTGCAATGAGCCAAGATGGTGCCACTGCACTCCAGCCTGGGCGACAGAGCGAGACTCCTTCTCAAAAAAAAAAAAAAAATTTTAGAACTGTAAAATACAATCAATAGCTGACATAAAAAAATCCACTGACAGGCTCATTGGCAGAATGTCAATGACAGAAAATCAGTGAATTTGAATATAGGGCAATCGAAATTAGCTAATCTGAACAGCAGAGAAATAAAAAAATAATAAACAGAGCCCTAGTGAACTGTGGAACAGTATCAAAAAGCCTAACATTCATGTTATTCAAGACCTAGGAAGGAAGGAGAAAAATTGTTTAAAGAAATAATGGCTAAAAATTTCCCAAATTTGGTAAAAGGCATAAATCTACAGATTTAAGAATCTCAGCAAATACCAAAAAGGATATACTCAAAGAAAACCATGCCCAGATACATTATAATCAAACTGTTGAAAACCAAAGACCAAAAAAAAGAAAGAAAGAAAGAAAAGAAAAGACAAAACACCTTAAAAGTAGCCAGAGAAAAAATGATGCATTACTTATAGAGAAATAATGATTCAAATGACCGAACTTCTCATCAGAAATCATGGAGACCAAAAGACAGTGGAACAACATCTTTAAAATGCTTCAAGAGAGCCGTCACCCAGAATTCTATATCTAGGGAAAAAAATTGTTTTGAAATCATGGTGATATAAAGACATTCTCAGATGAAGGAAACAAGAGAATTCATTGCCAGCAGAACTGTTCCTAAAGAAATGCTAAAGGAAGTTAGGAAGAAGAGAAATAATACCAGAGGGAAACTTTGAACTTCAGGAATGAAGACAATACAACAGAAATGGTTATCTAGGTAAATATAATAGACTAAAAGTAGTAGTCTTTTAAGTTCTTTAGAATATGTTTGAGTGTTGTTATAGCATTGTCTGGTGGGGCTTTCAAATTATACAAATGAAATGCACATGGCAACTATTACATAAGAGGGGAAGATAAAGGGACTTGTATGGTTGTGAAGTTTCTACATGTCACTTGAAGAGAGAAAGCATTAATTCTAACAGATTGTGAAGGTATGCTATATGTATAAATATATAGTAACTCTGAGAGAAAACACTAAAAAAATACAAAGAGACACATTCAAAAATCCAAAAGTTAAATTAAAATGGAACACTAAAACATATTCAAATAACCCAAAAGAAATCAGGAATGGAGAACAGAAGGGGAAATAAATAACAGAGGGAACTCACAGAAAACAAATGATAAACTGTAGTCTTAAATTATATCAGTAATAATATTGAATGTAACCAGTCTAAATATGCCAATTAAAAGGAGGTATTAACAGATTGGCTTTTTTTAAAAAGACAAACTGTGTGCTCTCTATAATAAATCTATTTAAAATGTAATTATATAGGTATGTTAAAAGTAAAACAAGTACTTAATGTACAATGAAAATAGTTAAAATTGTAAATTTTATGTGTATAAAAAAATTTAAGTAAAAGGATGGGACTTCCATTTCCAGCCAAGATGGAGTAACAGTAACTGGATTTACTCTCCCACCTGAAACAACCAAAAACTAGACAAAATCTAGAAAACAATGATTTTTAAGATTCTAGAAACCAGGCAATGAAGGACAGTAATCCCCAAGAGAAAGGAAACAAATGAGAGTTTACTGCCTGGAGAGTTTCCAAGCAACCGCACAGGAAGGGGGAGCCAA
Source organism: Homo sapiens (assembly GCF_000001405.40). Classification (NCBI taxonomy): domain Eukaryota; kingdom Metazoa; phylum Chordata; class Mammalia; order Primates; family Hominidae; genus Homo; species Homo sapiens. Next base: position 51,919,173 of record NC_000003.12, read on the forward strand.
AGAAGATATCTCAATGGTAAACAAGCCTATGTACAGATACTCAAAATCCTTAGTAATTAGGGAAATGCAGACTAGGACGATAAACTATTATGGCCCACATATTAAAATGCCTATAATTTCAAAGACTTATGCCAAGTGCCAGTAAGGATGTAGAGCAACTTGAACTCTTTAGATGAGAACAAACTCGTATAGACTGCTTATGAGAATGAAAAATGGTACAACTGTGCAAAAAAGTTTGACAGTTCTTAAAACATTTTACATATACCTACCACGTAACTCTCCTATTCCAGTCCTAAGTATTTACCCAAGAGAAATGGGAGCACATGTGTACATAAAGACTTGTACACTAATGTTCATAGCAACTTTATTTGTAATAGCCAAAACCTTAAAACAACACAAATGTGAACGCATAAACAAAATGTAGCACACCTATTCAATGGGACACTATTCCACAATAAAAAGGAATAAACTATTGATACATGCAGTAACAGGAATTAATCTCAAAATAAATTTTGTTTGCACGTATACAGATGAGGCCGGGTGCGGTGGCTCACGCCTGTAATCCCAGCACTTTGGGAGGCCAAGGCGGGCGGATCACGAGGTCAGGAGATCAAGACCAGACCATCCTGGCCAACATGGTGAAACCACGTCTCTACTAAAAATACAAAACAAATTAGCCAGGTATTGTGGCGTACGCCTGTAGTACCAGCTACTGGGGAGGCTGAGGCAGGAGAATCGCTTGAACCCGTGAGGCAGAGGTTGCAGTTAGCTGAGATCGCGCCACTGCACTCTAGCCTGGCGACAGAGCAAGACTCCGTCTCCAAAAAAAAAAAAAGGATACAGATGAAAAGAGTATATCCTAAAACATTTATCATTTCTTTTTTTTTTGAGATGGAGTCTCCCCCTCTCGGCTCACTGCAAGCTCCGCCTCCAGGATTCAAGCCATTCTCCTGCCTCAGCCTCTCGAGCAGCTGGGACTACAGGCACCCGCCACTACGCCCGGCTAATTTTTTGTATTTTTAGTAGAGATGGGGTTTCACCGTGTTAGCCAGGATGGTCTCAACCTTGTGATCCGCCTGCCTCGGCCTCCCAAAGTGCTGGGATTACAGGCGTGAGCCACTGCGCCCGGCCAACATTTATCATTTCTTCGTGTTGAGAACATTTCAAATCTTCTAGCTATTTTGAAACATACAATAAATTCTTTTTTTTTTTTTTTTGAGACAGAATCTCACTCTGTCACCCAGGCTGGAGTGGAGTGGCTTAATCTTGGCTCACTGCAACCTCCGTCTCCTGGGTTCAAGCAATTCTTGTGCCTCAGCCTCTCGAGTAGTAGCTGGGACTACAGGCTCGCGCCATCACGCCTGGCTAATTTTTGTACTTTTAGCAGAGAAAGGGTTTCCCCATGTTGGCCATGTTGGTCTCGAACTCCTGACCTCAGGTGATCTGCCCACCTCGGCCTCCCAAAGTGCTGGGATTACAGGTGTGAGCCACAGCACCCAGCCACATGCAATAAATTCTTAACTATAGCCACCCTATTATGCTAACACTTTAACTTATTCCTCCTAGCTAACTGCATTTTTGCACCCATTAACCAACCATTCTTCATTCTTCCTCATCCCCGACCCTTTCCAGCCTCTGGTAACCATCATTCTACTCACTCCCTCCATGAGATCAATTTTTTTAGCTCCCACATATGAGTGAGAAAATGTAATATTTGCCTTTCTGTGCCTGGCTTATTTCACTTAACATGTCCTCCAGTTCCATCCAGGTTGTTCCCAAATGTCTGAAGTGATGGATATCCCAATTACCTTGACTTGATCATTACCCATTCTATGCATGTATTAAAATATTATATGTACCCCATAAACATGTACAACTTTTATATATCAGTAAAAAATATATATATACTATATAATTTCATTTATATAAAATTCTAGAAAAATGTAAACTAGTCTAAAATGTCAGAGAGCAGATCAGTGATTTCCTGAAGATGGAGGCGGGGCTTCAGGAGGGGTGAGAGGAAGGGATAACAGAGGAACATGAGGAAACGTTTAGGAGTGATGGATTCTAAACACAGCCCAGGCTGCACGCAGTGGCTCAAACCTGTAATCTTAATGCTTCGGGAGGCCGGGGCAGGTGGATCACTTGAGCCCAGGAGTCCAAGACTAGCTGGGCAACGTGGTGAGACCCTATCTCCATACAAAACAACACAAAAATTAGCCAGGCATGGTAGTGCGCGCCCACGGTTCCAGCTACTCAGGAGAAAGGAGAATCACCTGAGCCCAGGAGGAAGAGGTTGCAGTGCGCTGCACTCCAGCGTAGGCAACAGAGTGAGACTGTCTCAAAAACAAACAAAAGAAAACCACAGCCCAAATCCTAGCAGATTAACATAAATACATCAATCCTTACACTAAAGGCATATTTACCTCAGTTCCTATTACCTGATACATGTCTAGCTTTTTTTTTTTTTTTTTTAAGAGACAAGATCTTGCTCTATCTCCCAGGCTGGAGTGCAGTGGCACAATTATAGCTCACTGCAGACTCGAACTCCTGGGCTCAAGCAATCCTCCCACCTCAGCTTCCTGAGTTGTTAGGACTACAGGCATGCACCACCAGGCCCTGTTAATTTTTTTTTTAAGAGATGAGGGTCTCACTATGTTGCCCAGGCTGGTCTTGAACTCTTCACCTCAAGCAATCCTCCCACCTCAGCTTCCCAAAGAACTAGAATTACAGGTAGGAGCCACCACACTCAGTCCATGTCCAGCTTTCAACACAACACTACAAGCATGCTAAAAGGCAAAACATACCACACATACACACAATTTGAAGAGACAAAGCAATCATCAGAATCAAACTCAGATGTAACACAGATATCGAAATTATCAGACAGAAAATTTTAAGTAACCATGATTATTATGTGAAGGGCTCAAATGGAAAAAGTAATGCAAGAATAGATGGGTAATATAAGTAGAGAGATGGAGACTCTAAGAAAGAATCAAAAGGTAAAGCTAGAAATTAAAAAACGTGGTAACAACAGAAATGAAGAATGTCTTCAGTGGGCTCACCTGTGGCCTGACACGACTGAGCTTGCAAATATGTCAATAGAAACTTCCCAAACTAAAATGCAAAGGAAAAAAAGACAACGCACCCAAGAACTGAGGGACAATTTCAAAAATGTGTAACATATGTGTCATTGCAATACCTAAAAAGAAGAGAGAACAGAGCAGAAGAAATATTTGCGGAAATAATGGCCAAGAACTTTCCAAGTTAATGGTAGATACCAAACCATAGATCCCAGAAACTCAGAGAACACCAAACAGGATAAATATCAAAATCTACAGCGATGCATGTCATATTCAAACTGCAGAAAATCAACGATCAATAGGCAAAGTTGAAAAGCCAGGGGAGTGGAGAGGAACACCTTACCTACAGAAGAGCAAAGAAAAGAAATACAGCAAACTTCTCATCAGAAACCATCTGAGCAAAGGAGAGTAAAGTGAAGTGTTTGGTGCTGAAAGGGAAAAAAAAGACCAAAATGCTGGGATTACAGGCGTGAGCCATTGCACCAGGGCCAGGTGCAGACGCTCACACCTGTAATGCCAGCACTCTAGGAGGCCAAGGCAGGAGGATCACTTGAGGCCAGGAGTTTGAGACCAGCCTGATCAACATAGCGAGACCTCATCTCTACAAAAAATAAAAATAAACAAATTAGCTGGGCATGGTGCTGTACACTTCTGGAACCAACTGAGGTCAAAGGAACTCTTGAGCCCAGGAGTTGCTACAGTGAGCTATGATTGCACCAATGCACTCCACCCTGGGTGACACAACCTCATCTTAAAAAAAAAAAAAAAAAGGAAAAGAAAAGAAATTAACTTTTATGTTTAAAACTTTCTAATAAAGAAAATCCCAGATAAAGATGGTTTTGCTGGCATATTCTACCAAACATTTAATGAAGAAATAGCACCAATTCTATACAATTTCTTCCATAAAATATAACAGAAGGGAATCATTTTCAAATGGCTTTAGAGAGCAGAATTACCTTGATATCAAAACCAGACAAAGACATTGCAAGAAAATTAAACTGTGTTCCTCATGAACATAGAAAAAAAAATCAGCAAAATATTAGCCAATTGAATCTAACAATATATAGAAAGAATAATACACTATTACCAATGGGGATTATCACAGGAATGCAAGAAGGGTTCTACATTCAAAAAAAAAATCAATACAATCCATCATATAAACAGATTAAAGAAAAAAACTACATAAGCAGGCTGGGCACGGTGGCTCACGCCTGTAATCCCAACACTTCGGGAGGCCGAACTGGACAGATCACTGGAGGTCAAGAGTTCAAGACCAGCCTGGCAACATGGTAAAACCCTGTCTCTACTAAAAATACAAAAATTAGCCAGGCATGGTGGTGGGCACCTGTAATCCCAGCAACTCAGGAGGCTGAGGCAGGAGAATCACTTGAACCCGGGAGGCGGAGGTTGCAGTGAACCGAGATTATGCCACTGCATTACAGCCTGGGCGACAGAGTGAGACCCTGCCTCAAAAAAACAAACAAACAAACAAAAAAAACCCACATAAATTGGCCGGGCACGGTGGCTCACACCTGTAATCCCAGCACTTTGGGAGGCCGAGGCAGGTGGGTCACCTGAGGTCAGGAGTTCAAGACCAGCCTGGCCAACATGATGAAACCCTGTCTCTACTAAAAATGCAAAAATTAACCAGGTGTGGTAGCACATGCCTGTAATCCCAACTACTCTGGAAGCTGAGACAAAAGAATCACTTAAACCTGGGAGTCAGAGGTTGCAGTGAGCCGAGATCACACCACTGCACTCTAGCCTGGGCGACAGAAGGAGACTCTGTTAAAAAAAAAAAAAAAAAAAAAAGTTTATCAATTAATTCAGAAAAATCATTTGACAAAATTCAACATCAATACATGATAAAAACTCAGTCGGGCACAGTGGCTCATGCCTGTAATCCCAACACTTTGGGAGGCTGAGGCGGGCCGATCATGAGGTCAGGAGTTCAAGACCAGCCTGGCCAAGATGGTGAAACCCCATCTCTACTAAAAATACAAAAATTAGCTGAACGTGGTGGCAGGTGCCTGTAATCCCAGCTACTCGGGAGGCTGAGGCAGTGAATTGCTTGAATCCAGGAGGCCGAGGTTGCAGTGAGCCAAGATCATGCCACTGCACTCCAGCCTGGCAACAGAGCGAGACTGCGTCTCGAAAAAAAAAAAAAAAAAATTGGCAGGTAAAAGAATTGTTAATGGTGATAAACTAAATGTTCGCTCTTATGATTGGGAACAAGACAATGGGTCCACTCTCACCACTCCTGCTCAAGATTGTACTGGAAGTCTTAGTGCAACAAGGCATGAAAAAGAAATAAAAACCATACACATTCGAAAAGAAATAAAAGTGTCCATATTCACAGTGACTGTCTACATAGGAAATCTCAAAGACTCCACCAAAGGCCCCTAAAACTAAGTGAGCTTAGCAAGATTAAAATAAGGATTTATTTTCATGCTCAAAGAAAAAAAATATGTAAGGTTAACATACAAAATTTAATCATAGGTCCATATACTTCCATGAATTGTTGGAAACCAAAATTATAAAAACAATATCATTTACAATAGCTCCAAAAATATAATGCTTGGATTTATCTAATCTAATAAAACACATATCTAATAAAACATGAGCAGAATACATATTCTGAAATATACAAAATGCTGATGACCAAAATAAAAAGACACAAATAGAAAGATATATCATGTCTATTGATTGGGAGACTCAATATAGCTAAATACTCCCCAAATTGGTCCATAAATTAAACGTCATTTGAATCAAAATCCCAGCAGAATTTTAGAAGAGACAAGCTGATTCTAAAATTTATGTAGAAAAGCAAAGGAACTAGAATAGCACAATTTTGAAGATTAAAAAAAGTTGAAAGACTCACATAACTCAATTTTAAGACTTACTATAAAGCTATAGTAATCAAAACATTATGGCATTAGTGAAGATTAGAAGCACAGATAAATCGATCACAATAGAATGTCCGGAAATAGATCTCCACAAATATGACTAATTGCTTTTTTTTCCCACAAAGATGCAAAGGCAATTTAATGGAGAAAGAGTAGTCTTTTTTTTTCAATGGTGTTGGGATAATTGGACATCTATCAGAAAATTTAAAAAGGAAGACTCTCAGCCTAAACTTCCTACCTTATAAAAAATTAACCCAAAATGGATTATAGCTGTAAATGTAAAATGTAAAACTTTAAGAAGAAAACAAGAGAAAATTTTTCATAATATTGGGGTAAAGAAATACTTCTTAGATATAACACCAAAAGCATTATCCATGAAAGAAAAAATGAATTTGACTTCAAAATTTAAAACTTTTGCTCAGTGTAGGTCAGGCGCAGTGGCTCACGCCTGTAATCCCAGCACTTTGGGAGGCTGAGGCGGGCGGATGAGGTCGGGAGTTCGAGACCAGCCTGACCAACAGGGAGAAACCCCATCTCTACTAAAAATACAAAATTAACTGGGCATGGTGGTGCATGCCTGTAACCCCAGCTACTCCAGAGGCTGAGGCAGGAGAATTGCTTGAACCTGGGAGGCGGAGGTTGTGGTGAGCCAAGATCACGCCATTGAGCTCCAGCCTGGGCAACAAGAGTGAAGCTCTGTTTCAAAAAAAAAAAAAAAAAATTTTGTTCAGTGAAAAAGACTGTTAACAGAATGGAAAAGCAAGCCACAGAATTGGAGAAAATATATGCAAATCACATTCTAGAAGGGACTTATTTATTGAGAATTCTCAAAATTAAATAATAAGTAAACAAACCCAATTAAAAATGGACAAAGGACTTGAACAAACACAGCATCAAAAAGGATGTAATGATAGCAAGTGAATGTATTAAAAGATGTTCAATATAATTAGCCATTAGGAAAATGCAAATTAAAACCACAATGAGATATCACTATGCCCCTGTTAGAAATGCTAAAATTAAAAATCCTGGCAACACCAAGAGTTGGCAAGAATGACGAGGAACTGGAACACTCATACACTGCTGGTTGGAATGAGAAAAATACAACCATGCTGGAAAATGGTTTGGCAGTTTCTTATAAGGTAAACATATACTTACCAAATCGTCCAGCAATCCCACTCCTGGGTATCTGCCCAAGTGAAATTAAACCTTACGCTCACATAAAAACATGTACACAAAGGTTCACAGCAGTTTTAATTGTAATAGCCAAAAACTGGAAACAACCCAATGTGCTTCAAAGGGTAAATGGATACACCAACTGCTGTAATTCCAGCAGTGAAAAGGAACAAGCTGTTGATACACACAACCACTTGTACAAACTCAGAGACATTAGGTTGAGTAATAGAAGCCAGTCTCAAAATGTTATATGCTGTATAATTCCATTTATTTGACATTCTTTTTTTTTTTTTTTTTGAGATGGAGTCTCACTCTGTCACCCAGGCTGGAGTGCAGTGGGGCGATCTCTGCTCACTGCAAGCTCCACCTCCCGGGTTCACGCCATTCTCCTGCCTCAGCCTCCCGAGTAGCTGGGACTACAGGCGCCCGCCACCACACCCAACTATTTTTTTTGTATTTTTAGTAGAGATGGGGTTTCCCCTCGTTAGCCAGGATGGTCTTGATCTCCTGACCTCCTGATCCGCCCACCTTGGCCTCCCAAAGTGCTGGGATTACAGGCGTGAGCCACCGTGCCCGGCTATTTGACATTCTTAAAAGACAAACAACATAATATTTAAATAAGCAAAGGATTTGAACAGATACTTCACCAAAGATACACAGATGGAAAATAACCACATGAAAGATATCCAACATCATTATCCACTAGGAAATACAAACTAACACTAAAATGAGATACCACTACACATTTATTTAAATGGATAAAATTTTAAATACTGATAATAACAAGTGTTATAAAGGATGTGGAGTGACTAGAAGTCTCATAAATTGCTGGTGGGGATGCAAAATGGTACAGTTACTCCAGAAAATAGTTTGGCAGCTTCTTATAAAGTTCAACATATGACCCAGCAATCTGGCTTCTTGGTATTTAACCTAGAGAAGTGAAAAAGTATGTACATGAATATTCAGAGTAGTTTTTTTTTTTTTTTTTTTTTTAAGACAGGGTCTCACTCTGTCATCCAGGCTGGAGTGCAGTGGTGCCATCTTGGTTCACTGCAACCTCTGCCTCCTGGATTCACACAATTCTCCTGCCTCAGCCTCCTGAGTAGCTGGGATTACAGGCACCTGACACCACACTCGGCTAATTTTTTGTATTTTTAGTAGAGATGGGGTTTCACCATGTTGGCCAGGCTGGTCTCTAACTCCTGATCCACCCGCCCGGCCTCCCAAAGTACTGGGATTACAGGTGTGAGCCACCAGGCCCGATTTCATGGTAGCTCTATTCATAGTACCAAAAATTTGAAACAACCCAAATTTCCATCACAAAATGAATGGATAAACAAACTGGAATCCATTCATACAATAGAATACCACTCAGTTGGAAAAAGGATGTGAAAATGTGAATGAATTTCAAAGACACTATGCTGAGTTGAAAAAGACAGTCTCAAAATGTTACATACTATATGATTTCATTCATGTGACATTCTCAAAAAGACAGCTCAGTGGCTGCCAGGGGTTAGGGATCGGGGAGGTCTGACCACAAAGGGGTACCAAGGGGATTGTTTTAGGGTAACAGACTATTCAGTATCTTGGTTGTGATGGTGGTTACATGAATCTATACATGTGTTATAATGTATAATTCAGAGAACTGTACATTCCCTAAAAAAGTCAATTTCACTGCACAGTAATTTTTAAAAATTTAGAACCCCATATGTCGCACCAAACAAGTTTATTGTGTGTAAATTTTAAAAACAACTCAAAACAATCATGATTTTTTTTTTTTTTTTTTTTTTGAGACAGAGTTTTGCTCTTGTTGCCCAGGCTGGAGTACAATGGCACAATCTCAGCCCACCGCAACCTCCCCCTCCCAGGTTCAAGAGATTCTCTTGCCTCAGCCTCCCAAGTAGCTGGAATTATAGGCATGCGCCACCATGCCCAGCTAATTTTGTATTTTTAGTAGAGACAGGGTTTCTCCATGTTGGTCAGGCAGGTCTCAAACTCCCAACCTCAGGTGATCTGCCCACCTCAGCCTCCCAAAGTGCTGGGATTAAAGGCATGAGCCACCCCACCCAGCATGATCCTCTTATTTGGGTCTATATGAGAAGCAAAGAGATGAAGGTCCTTGCACTCCAAGGGCACAGAAAAGATCCCACATTTGGAGCCGAGGGTGACTACAGAGCTGGAGCCCAGAATGGAGGGAGGCCCAGACAGGGGAGACCCAGGGGCTGCGGTGTTCGTGGATGAGGTGACTCTAGAGGCAGGGTGAGCGCTGGGGCCTTGAGTACCACCAAGACCAGCTCAGCCTCTAGCCAGTGGGCAGGGAGGAGGCACCCCAGGGGCTGAGGAGCAGAGGAAGATGCCATCCAATGGGAGGTTGGAGGGTGCGCTGGGTGAGGGGGCTGGGGCGAGCATGGTGGAGTGAACCTCCTGGAGCTGGGGTAAGGGATGCAGCACAGGGAGCAAGACACAGGCCCCTCAGGGCCACTGTGGGTGAGCGCTGAGCACAGAAGTACCAGCATCCTAGGGTACCATTCTTCCATCCCACCCCCACCAATTCTCCACCTCCTCTACCAGAGTTTCCTCCAGAGGTTCTCAGTAGGCCCCTTGAAGGAGGGCTGGAAAAAGGAGAAGAAAGCAGGACTCAGTGAGGGTTCCAGTGGGACCAGCCCTCTGCATGTGCTCCCAGCCCCAGGGCCTGCAGAGGAGGAAACGCAGGTCTCCTGGGAATGGGCTGTTCTAAGGCAACCCTCAGCCCCTGCCTCAGGCATTTCTTCTGCAGCAGCCCCAGCCCCATCCCGAGGTTAGTGACCCTCACATGCAGCCCCTGGCACAGCAGCCTCCCAGGAGGACCCAGGAGTTTACTTGGTGGATCCTGCACCTTGGGAAGCCCTGTGGCCCCCTTTAAAGATCTCCACCTGATCTATATCCACCTGTGGTCCTCACCTGATCTTATGCAGTCACCTTTGCTAGCCGGTCTCTTCCTTCTTCTGGCTCCTTGCTGGCAGAATCTGAGTATTTCCTCATTTGTGTCCCCAGATGCTAAAAAGTGCCAGCACAGAGCAAGTACTAAATAAATGCTCATTGAATGAATGAATATTATAAAGTAAAAGAGGACCAGATGCTTCTCTAAGGAGACCCAAGGCCCTAAAGTCCCGAGACCCTTTCTCCATGCCTAGGGAGAGGTCCTGTCACTGTGCTTCCCTGTACCCAGTGTCCCCAGAAAGAGGTGGGGGTGAGCAGGAAGTGACTGGGCTGGGAATGAGGAAGCTCCACATTGGGGAAGGTGGTGTTCAGCACTGGGAACTGGACAGCAACCAGAAGAGCCAGCACTGGAAAGGTAGGGGTGGGGAAGAGAAATGAGACAGAGACGTGGTAGAGTAAGAGGGGTTGAGAGAGGCAGGGCATTTAGCTGGCAGCCAACCCGTCCTGCACCAGCTACCCTTCTGTCTTACTCACCTCTGCCTGGGGTTTCTGTCCACACACTTCTCTAGTCAAGAGGCCCCGGAAAGTGGCTTCTTGAGGAAGATTCTCTTGTCTTAGGCCTTTGCACAGATGATTAAAGACTCGGGGTGCTCTTCCCCCAGGTCTTCCCATCATTCAGGTCTCACTGGATGTCACTTCTCCAGAGACCTTACCCAGTCTCTGTCCTCTCACTCTGCTTGACCTCCTCATTAACACTAATCATCTGGATTTGCATTGTGTCTGATTATTTACATGCTTTATACCTCCAGAGGGTAGACTTCTTGAATGCAGGAACTTTTTCTTGTTCGTTTCTGTATCCCCAGGAGCTGGGGCATCACTGGAACACAACCAAGTTTTGTTGGACGGACAGATGCATGGATGGATGGATGGATCAATGGATCAATGGATGGATGGATGGATATGCTACAAGGATGGATATGCTACAATGGATGGATGGATGGATATGCTACAAGGATGGATATGCTACAAGGGATAGTTTTCCAAGAGAAATTGGAGTTACACTTTCAGAAGGAAATGGGAATGAGTACCTGGCAGACCACACAACAGGTATCGAAGACATATTACTGTCACCATCTCCATAAAGTGGCCTCAATCCTTCCTGTTTGTGGAAAGAAGGTGAGTTGCCAGCCCTATTGCCTTCACCTCCCTGATTTCTAGTTTCCCTTTTGAAGTTAGGATTGATGGTAGATTCCCCCAGAATGGCAGTGATTTGGGTGGCTCAGAGGTTCAGACTGTACTCCTAGGCCCATTCTCAGGCAGGAGGGAAGAGTGGATATTGGCTGCTCATCTGTCATGCCAACCTCCTAATAGTGGCCAGGGGGCGGCCAGGTGCTGTGGCTCATGCCCATAATCCCAGAAATTTGGGAGGCCAAGGTGGGCAGATCACTGGAGGCCAGGAGTTTAAGACCAACCTGACCAACATAGTGAAACCTCTTCTCTACTAAAAATACAAAAATTAGCCAGGTGTACTGGCTCATGACTATAAACCCAACTACTTGGGTGGCTGAGGCATGAGACTCACTTGAACCAGGGAGGCAGAGGTTGCAGTGAGCTGAGATCGCACCACTGTACTCCAGCCTGGATGACAGAGCAAGACCCTGTCTCAAAAAAAAAAAAGGGGGGGCCAGTGAGCTAGGGTCTGGTCGTTCATCCTTGACTCTTACTGCACCATCAGAGTCTGAGGTTGCCCTCTAGCACATCCTCTGCCGACTCAGGAGTAAGAAGAGCGTAGCTCTGGCAGGAGAAAGGTGGAGTGATGTTCTGGACTGGACAGTAAACTATGTGGATTCCCTGCCCTTCACAACATGACATGGCAGTCAGTCCCATCAAGAGATGAAGTTTCCTTCCCATCAATCTAGGATGGCCTGCCATTCACTTTGGCCAACTGAATGCAATAGAAGTGCCAGATTCAAGCCCGGACCTCTAGATGACTTGCATGCTTCTCTCCTGGCGTGGGCTAGCCTGCTGGAGAATGAGAAACCACATATGGAAGTGCAGTTTTCCCAGTGTGTCCATTGCCAGCCAACCTCCAAACATAGATAAGTCAAGGTCAGCAGAGCTTCAAACACACAGCTGACTGCAAAATCATGAGTAAGCTCAGCTGGGACCAGAAGAAACCCCCAGTTGGGCTGGACGCGGTGGCTCACGCCTGTAATTCCAACACTTTGGGAGGCTGAGGCAGGCAGATCACCTGAGGTCGGGAGTTTGAGACCAGGCTGACCAACATGGAGAAACCCCGTCTCTGCTAAAAATACAAAATTAGCCAGGCATGGTGGCACATGCCTATAATCCCAGCTATTCCAGAGGCTGAGGCAGGAGAATCACTTGAACCTGGGAGGCGGAGGTTGCGGTGAGCTGAGATTGCGCCATTGCACTTCAGCCTGGGTAACACTGGGTAACAAGAGCGAGACTCTGTCTCAAAAAAAAAAAAAAGAAAAGAAACCCCCCGTTGGCCTGCAGACCCATGCACACTAGTGGTTCTAAGCCAGTTTTAGGATGGTTTGCACCCAGCAATAGCTAACAGATGCAGGAGCCAGGGAGAACACCTACTCAATCTCAGCCTGAAAGCTGGGTGGAATGCAACCTGCCTGGAACAGGCAGATTTTGGCCAAAGTGGAGGTGAGGAGAAGGGTCCTAGGAGAGGCTGAAGGCACCGGGTTTGCTGATAGCAGCCCCTGCTCAAGAATCCAAAAGCAAGGAAGCCCCGACGGAGCAAGGCTGAGAATAGAAACCATGGGAGAAGTTATCTTCACTTTGAATCCGGAGTCCTCGTTTTCATTTGATGAGAATGTACTTAGGAAAGGGTTCACTCCTTCAGGGGCTTCTCTGGGTTGTTTACAGTGTTTTTCAGGTGTGTTTATGACACTGCTGAGCTCAATTTGGGACGGGACACAGGAGTGAGTGAATTCTACCAACATCTTCTCATCTGCAATAGGATTTTTCAGGCTGGGCACAGTAGCTCACACCTATAATCCCAACACTTTGGGAGGCCGAGGTGGGTGGATCACCTGAGGTCAGGAGTTTGAGACCAGCCTGGCCAACATGGCAAAACCCCATCTCTACTAAAAATACAAAAATTAGCCAGGTGTGGTGGCACGCACCTGTAATCCCAGCTACTTGGGAGGCTGAGGCGGGAGAATTGCTTGAACCTGGGAGGCAGAGGTTGCAGTGAGCTGAGATCGCGCCACTGCACTCCGGCCTGGGCAATAAGACTGAAACTCCGTCTCAAAAAAAAATGATTTTTCAGAGGCTCAGCCTGAACCTGACCCCTCTGGTCCCAGATTAACCGCAGACACAGGTCAGTCTGAGGGGGAGGCCTCGTGAGCATGGGGTCAAGGGGAGCCCTGTGGCTTCGTCTCTCAGGGGACCACACCACTCCTTCACAGTTTCAGCTGTTGGGCCCCATGGGCACGGGGCTTTCCCTTAACACCCCTTCTCCTTTTTCCTGATAGGAGGGGACCTCACTGTGCCTCTACACCTCCAGTCCACCTCTACCTCCTCCTCGCTGGCTTCACCCCACAGCAGGAGGGAGCTATCCACTCTGTGAAATCAGAGAGAGTGAGCATTCCTTTGACTCACTTCCCTGGCAGGTAGGTCCTGGCAGGTAGGTCCTGGTTCTGACATTCAGACCAAAGACAGAGCTCTTCCCAACTTGGACCCCTGTCTCCAAACAGTAAGCCCACCAGTGCAGGGTCCCACTCCCACTCCTGACCCCCACACCTCACGGCAGTCTGTCCCCTCCAGCTTCCTGACCTGACCTGGGAGAGGAAGCGAAGCCAGTTTGATGTGCAGGTCCGCTGTCTACAGTCCAGTCCTGACCCCAGCACCAGCCCTTACAAGCCCTGGCTTCTGAGCTGAGGGGTGAGTAGCTTCTGACCCCGACCACCCAGAGCAGTGGCAGGCAGCTAGCCTGAGGAGGTCGTGCAGGACACGCAGGGACAGGAGCCAGGAGCCAGTTGAGGTCTCCATCCCAAGTTCTTTGGAAAAGGATAACAGCCCTCAGGCTAGCAGAGGGGCAGAGCTAGGAGACTGCTGGAGTCCTGTCCCTCCCCAGGCCGCCTCCCACCCAGTCCCTCATGCACCCCCACCCCCACCAAGAAGCTACAAGAAACAAGGCCCAAAAGAGGAGGCTTTTAATACAAAGAGGGTGGGGCATAGCCTGGGAAGGACTTAAATAAGGAGGATAAGAGTGTCAGGAACCAGCAGCTGGGGGTACAGGGACCCTGCGGAGTGGGATGATGCAGACAGAATTCCGAGCCTCTTTGATTCTCCACCATCGGCCAAGCCTGCAGGGAGTGCAAGACGCAGCTGAGACTCGGCCCAGTCTCCACCCCATTTCCACCGAGCTGTCCAGCCTGCACCACCTTACCTGAACCCTCGAGGGCCACACATACCTGTGCTCCTGCCCTACCCCAGCCACCAGGAAGTCCCCAGAGCTGGAGAACTTGAGGCTGTTGATAAAACCCACCTGAGCAGAAAGACAACACGGAAAGACATTAGAACGCCCCCCGCCACCACCGTCCTCAGCATCACAGTCAAGGGCTGGGCCTTATCAGGCCTGGGTTAAATCCCTGCTCTGCCTCCTGCCACCTGGTGACACAGGCCAGCCCTTCACTTGTCAGGGCCTCAGCCTCCACATCTGCGAGATGGGGGTAAGCAGAGCACGGGGCTAGCAGTGAGTTTGTGAGGATGAAGGAGGCAGTGTACACCCAGTATGGCCTGAGGCTGGCTCCTGGTGGTGGGGCCCTGGAGACCCCATGACTGTCCCCACTGACCTAGACCCTGCATTCTCAGCACACATCACTGACAGATCCTGCCACCCTCCCCCAGGTCACCCTAGTGTGGACAGTGAGGTCCACACCCTCTAGCCTGGCACCCAATCTGGCACCAGCAGTACAGAATTCATCACAGGGCCAGGCCTCCATGCCTCTCCCCATGCTGCTCCCTGACTTGTACCCCAGCACCCTGGACAGGGCCTAGGATAGGAAGGGGAGCAGAGGAGGGAAAGTGGGGAGGGTTCCTGCCAGGCCCTGTGCTAGGAGCTGGCCCTGCCCTGAGAAGGTTCCCTTCTGGCAGGAAGAAAGACCTTAAAGAGCTAACTCCAGGGGCCTAGGCAGTGTGGCAGAGACAGGCTGAGCATTCAAGCACACTCACTCACCAGGGGGATGTCACAGAGAAGGTCAAGCTGCCGGAAGCCTTCCCCACACTGCCAAAGCCGCACACAGGAGCTGTGGGAGCCTGGGGAGACTGGAACAGTGAGCAACCCCTGCACCGGCCCACCCGGCGACCCCTCCTCCCTGCCTCTCAGGGCACCCACCTGTGGCCACAAGGTCTGTGTTGAGGAGGGCTGCCACCGACGATATCCAGAAGGGCTGCTCCAGGCCTGGCTCTCCCCGCAGCCCGTGAGCTTCACGCTGCAGGGCAAGTGGTCGCTTCTTGGAGAGACCCCACAAGGCCACAGAGCTATAAACAGGGAGGGAATACAGCAGTGAGGGGGCCAGAGGCAGAAAAGGCCCCCTGTGTAACACAAAGGATTAATGCTTGAGGGGATGGATACCCCATTTCCCATGATGTGATTATTACATATTGCATGCCTGTATCAAAACATCTCAAGTACCCCACAAATACGTACACCTACTAAGCACCCACAACAAATTTTTTTTAATTCTAAAAAAAAAGAAAAAAGGCCACATGACAGGAAGGGATCAAGGGCACACAGCCCGGACAAGGCCATCTGAGCTCTCTGCCTCATCATCCTCATCCATGAAAAGAGGTTACAACAGCTCCCCCACTGGGGGTGCCCTGAGGCAAGCTCAGGGCCCCGTGGACAGCCAGCACTCAGGAGCAGAAGCCGTGGCCAGAGACATCCAAAGGACCTCTTACCCATCGTCCGCGCCGGACACCATGTGCTCCTCATTGATTAGGTGGATGCAGTCGATGGAGCCCCTGGAGAAAGGGGCTGTGAGGAGCGTGGCCCAAGCCCACCCCCAGCCCATGTAGCCCCCACTGGCATGGCAGGCCACCTTACTGGTGGCCATAGAAGACAAGCTGGGACTCCTCGGGGATCTTCCACACACGTACAGTCCCATCCCGGCCCCCAGCCGTCACACAGCACTCCCGGCTCAAGGCATCCAGTGCAGCCACAGCGTCCTGGTGTCCGAAGCTAGAGGGCCGGGCAGAGCAGGATAGTGGGGATAGGGGTACTGCATGAACTCACGGGCACACACTCCCACACCCTCTCTCACACCATCCACACACCCTCTCCCATCCACACTCACAGCGTCTCCACGTAGGAGTTCTCTGCCACATTCCACACCTTCACGGAGCGATCGTGGGATGTGCTGTAGAGCTGGTGGGTGCCTCTGCGGAATGCCAGACCCTAAGGGTGCATGGGGAGAGGGCAAAGGGGACCTGGACTACAGCAGGCGAGAGACAGGTCAGGCCCAGGGAGGACTTCCCAAAAAGCAAGCCATGTGGCACGTGCTGTGAGGCAATTTTGTACTGCCCACATGCCCATCTGCCCCTGAGCAGATGCAGACGTCTTTTTTATTTATTTATTTTTTTTAGCGACAGGGTCTCATTCTGTTGCTCAGGCTGGAGTGCAGTGGTGCGATCATAGCTCACTGCAGCCTCCATCTCCTGGGCTCAGATGATCCTCCATCTCGGCCTCCCAAAGTGCTAGGATTATAGGCAAGAGCCGCTACATCCCGCCCAGAGGCGGCTTCTCAAGGCCCTCGTTGATTCCTGAGCAAGCTCGGCCCGGTCTCCCCCAGCTCCTCCCCATCCCTTTAGCCCATTTATGTATTTTACAGCACCACTCGCTACCCACTCGCTACCCCAGGATGCAGGTTCCCTGAGGACAGAGACTCCAGAGGCCAGCACTGAGCCTAGAACACTAGCATGTGCCCACTAAAGATCCACTGACATAGACCCAGCTCCTCACCGACACTGCATCCCGGTGTCCTGTGAAGGTGTACAAGTGCTGGCAGCTCTGGGCCTCCCAAATGAGAATGAGCTTGCTGCGGTCACCAGAGGCCTGCAGGGATGAAGACAATGATCACAGGCACCCACCATGCACCAGACCTCCCGCCTGCCCCCAGGGCCAACCTGGCCTTACAAGGTACTTGCCGTCGGAGGAGATGGCCATGCAGAGGACGTGGCTGCTGTGGCCAGGGGGCTTTCCCTCGGCACCCTTCTTGGCTCGAGGAATCACATGCAGCTTCCGTCCACTCTCCACGCTCCCTGCAGTTGGGGGTGGGGGAGAAGCTACTGGGATGGGGGGATAGGGCTGGCTGGCAACCCCCCTCAAGGGGCAGCATGGAAAAAAGAGCCATGGCAAATGTCCCGGACTCGGCCAGAAGACCTGGCTCAGCCACCGTGAGCCTCCGGACAAGCTGCCTCAGTTTCCTCATCTATGAAGAGGGACATTAGTGCCAAACAGCAGCCACAAAGCCCAAAAAAGAGAAGGGATGTAAAAGGGCTTTGGGATTGATGGTGTGAGTTCTTCTGTTACTACAGCGGGTGTAGAAGGAACCGCTGGTCAGCCAGCAACGGATGGGAACCCAGGAGGACCGGGCACTCAATCCCAGGACTGCACAGCCTCAAATGTCTTCTAGTCCAACCACCTACCTGCAGCATTAATTCCCATTAAATCATCATCCTGACTTTGCCCAAAGGTCTCTAGGGACAGGGAGCTCATAAGCCCCACTGCCGGGCAGCAGCTTTCACTGTCACCCAGAGAGCACTCCTAGGGCAGCAAACCTGCCTCCAGAGACTTCCCCACTTCAGGGCTCAGCCTGCCATGACCACTCCCACTCCCCTGACCAGCCCTCCCGGATCCGCCATGGGGGCTCCAGCCCCACCCAGGCACTCACTCACACTTAATGATGCTGCAGTCTTTGGCAGCAGAGAAGATGGCTGAGTCATCGGGGGTGACGACCAAACATGTGATAGAGAGCTGGTGCCCCCGTAAAACGCGAATGTCAGCTGAGGCTGGGGCCTGGATCTGGGCAGACAGGGGCCAGGTCACTGTGGCTAGTGGCATAAAGGCACTACCTTCACCAACCCCACTGCGTAGTGTTGGCCTTTCCCACCCAGGCCAGAAGGAAAACAAGACCCAAGGCTACAACAACCAGATCCTTACCTGACCAGATAGGCCCAAGTGTCCACCATGTTCCAAGTGGGGCCCCCAATTCCCTCCAACCTTATACCAAAATACCATGCCCACTCACCTCTTTTGCCACCAACTTCTGCAGCCTGCCCCTCTGCTCAAGCTGCATGGAGAAGAGATGGATGAGACCCTGGGAGCAGATCAGCTCCACCCCCGTCCTCCCCCAACTCTCCCTCCACACTTACCACATCCTCCTTCAGGCGCCCCGCCACCTGGTCCTCCTCAAATGCACGGGCCTCAGCCTTCTCCTCCTCTGTGCAGGACAGACCAGACCAAGTAAACTGAGGCTGAGACCCCTCTTTCCCTTCCATCCTGTCCCCATCCCACTGCCCCAGGGCTGGATAATGCAGGAAGCTCCAGCTGCCTCAGCAGAGGGGAGGGCAAGCTGGAGGGTTTCCTCCTGCCTTTACTTATCAGATCAGCCCCCTGCGGGCTCCCCAGGAGGCCCATGAGAGCTTCTGGCCACCCCCACAGGGCAGCCAGCACTGACAGCCTGGGCACCCACTGGGAATCCATGTCAGTCACCCATCAAGTGGCTGGGGCTGCAGCGGCGGGCAGCAGACCAGCACAGGCAGAAGCCCTGCCCATGGCTGGCCTGCCCACTGGCTCACCTTGCTGACGGAGCTGCTCTAGGTAGAGCTTGGCCAAGCGCAGCTTCTTTTCCTGTGCAGTTTCCTCCAGCTCCTCCTCCTCCTCCTCCTCAGGCTTCCTTGGAGCTAGGCTGTGGGCAGGAAGGGGCTGGGTCTGAGGGGCTCACCTTGTTCCTCTGACCGCTAGGATCGTGCCTTCTGGATGCTCACCTTGCCATCCAACCTCCCCTATTCCCTGCTAGCCCACATGGTCGGTGACTACACTGCAGAAAACTGAAGGATGTGACTCCCCAAACTAAAAGGCCCCACTCAGTGCCCCACGTAGGGGTGGAAACAGACCCAAATCCCAAAGAGATCACTAAAGCCTCTCAACTCTGGGGGAAAGAGGAGGCTTCCAAGAGAAACCAGGCTTCCAAAAGAAATCAGGTCACATACAAAGAGTCAGGAATCAAAATGTGCAGGCATCTCAACAGCAATACTGAGAACAAGAAGACAAAGAAGCCTCACACACAAAGCTCTGGAGGAATACACTGACCCCTAAAATGCCATGCCCAGTCAAACAATCAACGACGACACTGCCAGGTGTGCAAGGTGCCATGGAATTTTCTCCCTCTTTTTCTTTAGGAAGGATAGAAGCTGTGCTCCCAAACAAGAGGGTAAACTGGGAAAGAGAAAGGCAAGGGATACCGGAAACCAGAGATGCGACACAAGAGAGCAGAAAGGGTGACACTATCCCCAGACATGACGGGGGCAGTCTGGATCAGATCCAAGGACCCACCAGGCAGACACACCAGGACTGTCATCACCACAGCACCATCCTTTACCCTGGGAACAAGGTTCCAAGCGAACCTTCACTGTTTGGGGATTGGCCTTTACTGGTGAAGTTACGGCTTTCCCCTCCATGCCCCAGCCCCCGGACCAGCTGAGAGTACTCACTTCACCCAAAGACAGGTGCTGCTTTGACCTGCTCCTGGGAGCTGGGGGTAGGTCATGGGCACTCAGACACAGAGAATCCAAGGCAGCCCACTCCCTCTGATCATGTGCCTGAAGACATCTAGTCTCTGTCCACTCCCCTAACCGTGTTTCCCAAGACTCACTCGTAAACCTGCCCCTGACTTCCCCAGAAGGGACCTTGAAAACTCTCAGGAAAGCCAAAGCTGGACCATGCCCCAGAAATAATTTAGTGCCCTGTGCCTGGCAAGCCTTCAGCCAACAGGGCTAGTGCTGCCCTTCCCTTACACAGCCAAGGGACCTGTGTTAACTTCGGACTTCTACTCAATTTAGCCAAACTAATTAATCTATTGTTGAAGGATTCATACGCATGAGACAGAACGCTAAAGAAATGCAAGGGAAGTACACACTATGATTCCATTTACAGGGCATGCTAGAAAATGCACAACTCTAGGGGCAGTGGTTAGCAGAGACTTGGGGGGAAGGAGAGGGGCTGACTACGAAGGAGCAGGAGGAGTTCTGGAGGGTGATGAAACTCTTTACCTTCAGGGTAGAGGTGGTCACACAACTGTGTGTGTTTGTCAAAACTCACTGAACTATAACTTTAAAAAGGGCATGTTACTATATGTAAATTATACCTAAATGGAAAATGTTAATTTTTTAAAAGAAGAACAAAGAAACCAAAGAAATGATTAACTCAAGTTAGGAATGACAGTTGCGGCTTCTAAGTTTCTGCAAATGTTCTAGTTCTTAACCTAAGTGGTAAGTAAGTGTACAGAGGTTTACCATTTTACCATTACTCTCTGTAGTGCAAATATATCTCATTCACTTTTCTGTATCTAACACACTTCACAACACAACATTCTAAAAATATTTAAAAGCACTTAGCCCACACTAGCCTGGCACACACTCACCCACAATAACCTTCGGATTAAGAAAAGTACATTAATGGCTGGGTGTGGTGGCTCACGCCTATAATCCCAGCACTCTGGGAGGCTAAGATGGGCGGATCACTTGAGGTCAGGAGTTCGAGACCAGCCTGGCCAACATGGTGAAACTCCATCTCTACTAAACATACATAATTAGCCAGGCATGGTGGTGCAGGCCTATAATCCCAGCTACTCAGGTGGCTGAGGCAGGAGAATCACTTGAACCTGGGAAGCAGAGGTTGCAGTGAGCCGAGATCGCACCACTGCACTCCAGCCTGGGCAACAGAGTGAGACTCTGTCTCAAAAACAAAAAAAAAAAGTACATTCTTTCCATGAGCAAATTAAGGCAACACATACTCAATTTTAGAAGCGAGTTCTAAAGTCAACTCATAGGGAAGGCACTAGGATTCTCTGGTCCAAGAGCCTCCAACCCACAGGGTCAGGCCTGACACCATGCCTGACCCTTTGAAAACCTGCAAGCAACCACACCCATCACCTGCAGAAATGAGGGAGGCATCCAAAGCCCTCTACAATCTACATGCACTTATGACCAGTCCTCCTGTTTTTGTGTGTGGTTTTTTTTTAGAGACAGGATCTTGCTGTCACCCAGACTGGAGAGCAGTGCATGATCATAGTTCACTGCAGCTTCAACTCCCTGGGAAGGGATCCCCAAACCTTAGCCTCCTGAGTAGTTGGGACTACAGGTGCACACCACCATACCCAGCTAACTTTTTTTTTTTGTACAGACAAGATCTCGCTATGTTGCCCAGGCTGGTCTCAAACTCCTGACATCAAGCAATCCTCCCGCCTTGGCCTCCCAAAGTGCTGGGATTAGAGGCATGAGTTACCAGGCCCAGCCCCCTTTCATCTTTTCTACTGCCCATTCTGGCACACTTACACCTCAGACTTTCCTCTGATCACTGAATGCCTTCCCTACCTCTCCGTGAGAGACTCCTCTTCATCTCTCAAGACCCTATTTAAATGTCCCTCCTCTGTTCCCAGAACACACAACTATAAAATACACACCTCACTACAACACACTCTCTTCACCCGCCTGCCTATCTCTGCACTTCCAACAGCAAAGGCAGTGCCTGGCATGTTAAGAGACGGGGAGCCCAGTAATTGTGAAATTGCAGGAAAACTGGCAAGGGAAGAAGGATGCAAGAAATACTTGACAGCTTTGTTCTGTTTTCCTGCAATTTCTCAATCAGTCCAGTCCCTGCCAAAACCTAAGGAGGTCTCAATGGCCTCGGATTGGGGCCCAGGGTCCTTCCCACCCAGAGACCTCGCAGAAACAAGACTTTGCAGGACCAGAAACTAAAGGAAACAGCCACGATCTCAGAGCCAAGGGACAGAGTCTTGGATTCTAGGCTCAGTTCTGTTCGGACTCACTCAGTCTTCCGTGCACCATGGGACTCAGTTTTCCCTCCCACTATGTGGAAAAGAATAGCTCACCTCTCGCTCTCAGAGTCGCTGGAGATCTCCTCATTCATCTTGCCGCCACCCTTGGATTTGCCCCTGTCCCCCGCAGAGTCGGCCTGGGAATTATACGGTCTTTTCTTTGGTCAGGGGTCCAGACCACCCTGGCATTGACCAAGGGCCCCCCCCCCTCGGTTCCCTCAGAACCCCAGGAATGGGGAAGGCGGTGGTTCCCGGGTTAAGCGAACGGCTTTCTAGGATTTGGCCCGCGGAGAGAGGGACGAAGCTGACTCCAGCAGGGGTCCAGGGCGAAGGGCTGGGGAAGGGCCGGGACCCAGGTCCCCTGGATGGGATGACGGTTGTCCCAGTAGCAGGGCTGACCGCGGCCCTCAGAAGCGCCATGCTCACCTTTCGCCGCCGCTTGCCGGCCCCCGCGCCAGCCCCGGCCCCAGAGGCCGGCTTTCCCCGCTTACGAGCAGCCGCTGTTGCCGACATGCTGCCCACCAGGCGTGTAGCAGCGGCCGCAGAACTCACGTGGCAGCTGAACCCTCCCAGCTCCCCAGCCGCCTGGCAAGACCCCGCGTATTGATAGGCTTCCACCGCCCGCCGGGCCCCGCCTCCTACTGCTCCATTGGGTCCTTCTGCAGGCTCTGCCACGCCCCCAGGCACCCATAGGATGCACGCTTGTAGCCCCGCCTCCTGAAGTTCCTAGGCTCCCGCACCAGGCTCGAGTAGGAAGCCCGCATCTCCACGGCGCTTCCGGCCTGATGCTGTGGCGCTTGCGCTCTGCTGCTGGCCCACTTCGAAGTCGGAGCAAGAGCCTTCTCTGTGTTTGCGCCCCTTGGCCGCTGGGGGGCGCCAGAGACGCGGCGCCCTTTCGCGTTCTGGAACGTGACTCCTCCCCTCCATGGGCAGCCCGGCGCTAGACCCAACGGGGATCCAAGCAGCCCCGGGGAGAGGGAGGCTGCGTCTGTATCCGGGCCCAAGGTCACCGCGCGACCGGCAGATGCGTGCTGCAGGCCCCGGCCACATGAGCAGCGCTACGGACGCGACTGCCCCGGCCTTGGATATGCCAGATCGAGTGTCCACCCGTCCGTGGGACTGGTCGCCTGACTCGGCCTGCCCCAGCCTCTGCTTCACCCCACTGGTGGCCAAATAGCCGATGTCTAATCCCCCACACAAGCTCATCCCCGGCCTCTGGCGATTGTTGGGAATTCTCTCCCTAATTCACGCCTGAGGCTCATGGAGAGTTGCTAGACCTGGGACTGCCCTGGGAGGCGCACACAACCAGGCCGGGTGGCAGCCAGGACCTCTCCCATGTCCCTGCTTTTCTTGGGTGAGTGTCCTATGGTCCTGCCCACGGCAGGGCAGGGCAAGGCCTGGTGGGACTGGCCTTTGCCCTCTATCAGTTCAAGGCCACTGATCCGGAGTTCTGGCTCCTCAGAACTCTTGAGTCCATTGGGAAGGGCTTCTACAGCTCTGGGTTCTAAGCTCCGGGAGGATAATCTGGCCCCAAGAATCCTGCCCCCAGGATCCTCTGCCCACCCTCCCCCATAGCTCGGTGACTCGGCCCGGCAACCATGCCAGGGCTGAACTAGCTGACACAGGGGGAGGAGCCCCGAAGTGGAAGAGAGAGAGCCTCCTTTCACTTTCCCTACCCCTCAGGACACACAGGTGAGCTGCAGAGGGTAGGGAGCCAGGCAGACCCTGTTGACCAGAGTGGGCAGACTGGACAGAGTCCTAACCTTGCACTTGGGACTGGGGAAAGGGGTGTTTCTGAGTGACAAAGAGCTGGGTGTGGTCTGGGGCTGGGAATGCCGTCAGAGTGGACACAGGATGCAGTGGGAGGCCACCGAAGGGCCAACCCGGGGTGGGGCAAGTTGGTGCTGTGCTGGCCCAGGGCAGGGGTGGGGACTGAGAGTGGGTCGTTGGGGATGAGGAGACCATGGAGGCCTAAGGGCCTCTCTGTGCCCCAGGACAGCCATGGCTCCAAAGCCGAAGCCCTGGGTACAGACTGAGGGCCCTGAGAAGAAGAAGGGCCGGCAGGCAGGAAGGGAGGAGGACCCCTTCCGCTCCACCGCTGAGGCCCTCAAGGCCATACCCGCAGAGAAGCGCATAATCCGCGTGGATCCAACATGTCCACTCAGCAGCAACCCCGGGACCCAGGTGAGCTGCAGTCCCCAGTCAGGCCCAGAGCCTGCCCACTGATAAGCACAAACACACCCAGGCCACCCCCTTAGGACTCTGTTCTGGTTTTGGAGCCCAAGGCCCCCAGGTAAGCGCCAGAGCAAGGCCATGTTCTCCTGACCCCAGACATCAGGGCTGTGTCCCGTCAGGTCCAGGCGGGTCACATCTGCCCTTCAGACCCCATGCAGGCCTCCTCCCACCGCACTTAGGGAAAGGCTGTGACTACATCAGTCTCCTGGGCGCTTGCCCATGTCCCCTCAGGGCAGAGCCATGTCCCTCTCAGATTCCCCCATCCAGGGCCCAGCTGTGTCCCCCCCAGCACCCCCCATACCTCCATGTCAGGGTTTAGCCATGTCCTCTCACACCGCATCCCCTAGGGAAGAGCAGTGACCCCCCCAAGCTTCCAAGACAGGGTCCCTCTGACTCCCACTGCCGTCAGACTCCTGTCCCCATCAGAGCCCTCTCGGTGTACGGCCAGGCACCCCATCTGACCCCAGCCAGCCTGCCCCCCACCTCCCCTCTGGCCCAGGTGTATGAGGACTACAACTGCACCCTGAACCAGACCAACATCGAGAACAACAACAACAAGTTCTACATCATCCAGCTGCTCCAAGACAGCAACCGCTTCTTCACCTGCTGGAACCGCTGGGGCCGTGTGGTGAGTGCCCTGCCTGCTCTGCACATACTCCCCAGGGTCCTCAAAAGGCCACAGCTACTGACTTGGGGGGGCACCTCCCAACTGTCCCAGGGCACTCAGCACAGGGCCTGGCCCGACACACAGGCCAGCAAATGCTGATGGTGGGCATACCCCTGAAGGCTGTCGGTTGCAGGGAGAGGTCGGCCAGTCAAAGATCAACCACTTCACAAGGCTAGAAGATGCAAAGAAGGACTTTGAGAAGAAATTTCGGGAAAAGACCAAGAACAACTGGGCAGAGCGGGACCACTTTGTGTCTCACCCGGGCAAGTACACACTTATCGAAGTACAGGCAGAGGATGAGGCCCAGGAAGCTGTGGTGAAGGTGAGATGGCCAAGGAAGGTGGGCAGGCCCTGGACTGAGGGAGGGGACTCGTTGGAGAGTTCCCGCTGGTTGGGCTCTGCCACTGCCCAGCTGCGCAGCCTCAGCCACAGAACTCCCCTCTGGCCTCAGGCTGGCTGGTCTCTGTCTGGTGTCACGCCCTGCCCCGCTGCTCCTGCCCACATGTGCCCTCTATCTTCAGGTGGACAGAGGCCCAGTGAGGACTGTGACTAAGCGGGTGCAGCCCTGCTCCCTGGACCCAGCCACGCAGAAGCTCATCACTAACATCTTCAGCAAGGAGATGTTCAAGAACACCATGGCCCTCATGGACCTGGGTGAGGGGTGAGAGGCAGGCAGGGTGGCAGGGGCCTCAGGGTGGCAGGGCTGTGGGGCTGAGTCTCCCCACTCCCCTGTCCCCCTAGATGTGAAGAAGATGCCCCTGGGAAAGCTGAGCAAGCAACAGATTGCACGGGGTTTCGAGGCCTTGGAGGCGCTGGAGGAGGCCCTGAAAGGCCCCACGGATGGTGGCCAAAGCCTGGAGGAGCTGTCCTCACACTTTTACACCGTCATCCCGCACAACTTCGGCCACAGCCAGCCCCCGCCCATCAATTCCCCTGAGCTTCTGCAGGCCAAGAAGGACATGCTGCTGGTGAGGGCTGGCAGGGGTGCGGGCAGGCAGTGGGGCACTGAACAGACAGCCTAGGCGAGCGAGATGAAGGGCAGGTGGCCAAGAAGGCCCAGAAGGATGGACTGCCTGGGCAGGCTGACAGACGGGTGGGGAAGGCTGGGCAGACAGATAGGGTGGGGAGGGACAGGTGGGACACACAGGTGGGGTGGCTACAATACCAGTCATGTGAGAGAGGAGAGGGGAGGCCAGAGGTCAAGTGGGAAGACAAACTGCCAGGGCCCATCATCCTAGGTGCTGGCGGACATCGAGCTGGCCCAGGCCCTGCAGGCAGTCTCTGAGCAGGAGAAGACGGTGGAGGAGGTGCCACACCCCCTGGACCGAGACTACCAGCTTCTCAAGTGCCAGCTGCAGCTGCTAGACTCTGGAGCACCTGAGTACAAGGTGAGTTGGGCCCCACAGAGGGGCCAGGCTATCAGTGGGCACTGTCCCTCTGCCCACCTGCCCTCGAGGTGCCCAGAGGAATACTCGCCCTCAGCCTTCTCTTCCTGTGTCTCCAGGGCCTGAGGAGGGCTTGGGACTGGGGGAAGAAAAATGGGGGATTAGCTCCTGAGCCTCCCACCCTGGCAACCAGCTTCTGCTCTCCCCACAGGTGATACAGACCTACTTAGAACAGACTGGCAGCAACCACAGGTGCCCTACACTTCAACACATCTGGAAAGTAAACCAAGAAGGGGAGGTGAGGGAGGTTCCCCCACCTCTCCCCCATCACCACTGTGCCTTAGGAAGATGTCCTTGGCTAATCGGTCCCTTAGCAAATCGTTTAGCAGCTCTGGTCAGTTTCTGCCGGCCATGAGTGCGCGTGAGTAAGCAGAGGGACACTAGGCCTTGGTCACAAGCAGCAGGGCAAGGCGACTGAGTGCTCGGGTGGCATCACTCCCATTTCTCACTTCCTCTCCACTCAGGAAGACAGATTCCAGGCCCACTCCAAACTGGGTAATCGGAAGCTGCTGTGGCATGGCACCAACATGGCCGTGGTGGCCGCCATCCTCACTAGTGGGCTCCGCATCATGCCACATTCTGGTGGGCGTGTTGGCAAGGGCATCTACTTTGCCTCAGAGAACAGCAAGTCAGCTGGATATGGTGAGGTGCCCCTCTGGGCCAAGCCCTGGGAGGGTTGGCACTAAGATGGATTGGGCCCAGTCCTTGGCCACTGGAAATTCATGGTGAATCCAAGAGAGGAATCCTTTAATGGTTAATGACTACAGTGCTCAGTGGGCTGTCCTGGGCTTTGGTGGCGGGGGGTCTTAGAGAAAGTGTCTGATGGTCAGGGATGGCTTCCTGGGGGAGGCAATACAGATAGGATGGGTGCACCAACCAGACCTGGGAGGGGGTAAAAGGGGAGCCTTTGAGCCAGGTGTGGTGGCATACACCTGTAGTTCCATCTACTCTGGAGGCTGAGGCAGGAGGAACGCTTGAGCCCACAAGTTTAAGGCTGCCATGAGCTATGATCACACTCCAGCCTGTGTGACAGAGCCAGACTCCATCTGAAAAAATAAAAATAAAAAAGAGGAGACGTCAAGGCAAGGGGATAGGCAGAGAGGCTGGGAGGATGTGAGGATGTGGCAGGTCAGGGCTTCCAAACACTTCCTGATACTGGAGCTCAGAGCAATGCCTAGCCGGGGGCAGGGTGGGCTAGGGGCCCAGAACGATCGAGGAGGCTTTATCCAGAGAGTGATGGTTAGCCCAGCTGGACTTGTCTGTAGCAGGATCCCAGTGGCTACAGCTGTGGAGAGGGGGGCAGCAGCCAGAGGCTGCAGAGAGGCCATCCTCTTATCCAGGCTGGATGTGATGGGTGCCTGGCCCAAGGGCTGGGAAGTGCAGGGGAGGGAGCCCATGAGAGGGGCATGTAGGAGATGGGATGGGGAGCGTGTGGGAAAGGGTCAAGGCTGTCTCCAGTGACTTCTGAGTTTCTGGCCAGGAGTGTCCTCACCAAAATGACCCCCCCAGACCAGCTCCTCCACCCAGGCTGTCCCCATCATTGGAGGCCACCACCCAGCTGGCCAAGAGAGCAAGGACCAAGGATTCATCCCAGAACAGATGGGGCTGAAGTTCTAGGATGCCTGAGGTCACCAAGAGCAAGGGGTCCACCAGGAGGGCAGAGGGGCTTAGGAAAGAGTGGCGGGGTGGAGGGCTTAGGAGAGCCAGCGCGAGGAAGTCCCAGGTAGGGGCTGATGATGTCAGGAGCAAAGTCAGCAGAGCAGGCCAGGGAGAAAAGCCCCTGCCACGGGTTTGGTCACTGGGAGGCCATTGCTGACCTTGGTGAGGACAGCAGAGGGTACAGATGCCTGGCCATAGGGAGCACAGTGAGGTGGGAGGGAGCAGGCCGGGACAAGGAGGGAGTGACGGTTGGGGGAGAGTGAGCCTTTTCTTGCTGGAGCAGCAAAGCCAGAAGGAATAACATCGCAGCAGAGAGGGGCCCCACAGGTCAGCAGGAGGCAGGCTGAGCTGCCCACCGGTGCCTCCCTGTGTCTTGCAGTTATTGGCATGAAGTGTGGGGCCCACCATGTCGGCTACATGTTCCTGGGTGAGGTGGCCCTGGGCAGAGAGCACCATATCAACACGGACAACCCCAGCTTGAAGAGCCCACCTCCTGGCTTCGACAGTGTCATTGCCCGAGGCCACACCGAGCCTGGTGAGTCCTCAGAAGCTGTACAGCCCAAGGAGAGAGGTGGGGCCGAGATAGGGGCTGGGACATTTTCAGGGAGGGGGCTGTGAAGAGGGACAAAAAGAAGCTTCCCTGTCGTCACTCAGTTTGTCATTTGACAAACATCCACTGGTTCAACACATCATTCCTGGGCATCCCGGAGGGCTTCAAAAAGAGGAGTTGTTGACTGAGCATTGAAGGATTAGTACAAGTTTCCCAGAGAGAAGTCGGGGAGGACACCCCAGGCAGAAGCCCCAGCCCCTGCAGTGGTTTGGAGGTGGGCAAGGTGGAAATGAGCAGGCGTGCCCTGTGACAGACATGGAGAGCATAGGGGGCAGGACTTACTCGTAAGGCCTGGGACCAGTGACCCCTGGGCCACCCTGGCCCTTGCTGTGCCCTGCAGATCCGACCCAGGACACTGAGTTGGAGCTGGATGGCCAGCAAGTGGTGGTGCCCCAGGGCCAGCCTGTGCCCTGCCCAGAGTTCAGCAGCTCCACATTCTCCCAGAGCGAGTACCTCATCTACCAGGAGAGCCAGTGTCGCCTGCGCTACCTGCTGGAGGTCCACCTCTGAGTGCCCGCCCTGTCCCCCGGGGTCCTGCAAGGCTGGACTGTGATCTTCAATCATCCTGCCCATCTCTGGTACCCCTATATCACTCCTTTTTTTCAAGAATACAATACGTTGTTGTTAACTATAGTCACCATGCTGTACAAGATCCCTGAACTTATGCCTCCTAACTGAAATTTTGTATTCTTTGACACATCTGCCCAGTCCCTCTCCTCCCAGCCCATGGTAACCAGCATTTGACTCTTTACTTGTATAAGGGCAGCTTTTATAGGTTCCACATGTAAGTGAGATCATGCAGTGTTTGTCTTTCTGTGCCTGGCTTATTTCACTCAGCATAATGTGCACCGGGTTCACCCATGTTTTCATAAATGACAAGATTTCCTCCTTTTTTAAGGCTGAATGGTACTCTGTTATGTATATGCACCACATTTCCTCTATCCGTTCATCTATCAGTGGACACCAAGCTGCTTCCATATCTTGGCTATTGTGAACAGTGCTGCAGTGAACTGGGAAAGCAGACGTCTCTTGAACATACTGATTTCATTTCCCTTTGATGTATACCCAGTAGTGGGGTTTCTGGATCCATATCACCCCTTCTTGCCAGGCTCCCCTGTGTCCCAGACATCGATCCCCCTTCCCTCCAATCCCTGTTAGCCTTGATGTGTCTGTGGCCCCAGAGTCTTGCCTCCTAAAGTGATGGGTGTGGTACGGGCGTATTACAGGGACACAGATGCAGCAGCTTACTCAAGGGGCACAGCTGAGAGTGGCTTGGATCCCACATCCACCCAGGCCGTCCATCCTGGCCTGGACTGCATGTTGGAGCCATGTGGTCACCAAGGTAGGCTAAACTGCAGGCATGTGCAAGCAGCTTTACTAAACATGGTATTCTCTTGCCCCAGCCTCTGCCTGTCTGTGCCACAACTGTGCTGGGCCTGGGCCTCCAGCCACACTCCAGGGAGCGAGCGCTCACATGGGTTGATGTGGATCATGCACATACTCCTTGCCCCTCCTGGTCCATCACTGCAACAACCTGCTTCCTCTAATTGAGCCTTCAAGGGGGACCCCCACTGTCTACTCAGAACTATTTGTCATCTGGGGACCCACCTGGTGATTCTGTCCTTTATCCCAGACATTGCCAGGTGAATCAAGCATTCTTCATGTCTTGGCACCAAACATCCCTTTGTGTCTTTTTTTTTTTTTTTTTTTTTGAGGCAGGGTCTCACCCTGTCACCCAGGCTAGAGGGGAGTGGTACAACCACTGCTCACTGCAGCCTCAGCCTTCCCAGGCTCAGGTGATCCTCCCACCTCAGCCTCCAGAGTAGCTGGGACTACAGGTACATGACACCACACTTGGCTAATTTTTGTGTTTTTTGTAGAGACAGAGTTTTGCCATGTTGCCCAGTTTGGTCTCAAACTCCAGGGCTCAGGTGATCCTCCTTCCTCTGCCTCCCAAAGTGCTGGGATTACAGGTGTGAGCCACTGCACCCAGCCTCCTTTGTGTCTTAATCTAAATGTTACAAACAAGCTGAGCATATGTCAGAGGGGCACAGCTCTGCAATCATGAAAGGAGGCTGTTCAGGCAGGAATGCCAGTGATCACCAGGCAGGTCATCCTATCCACAGACAAAGGGTGCCATTGCTGGAGGAGGCCAACATCCAGGCTAGGGTTGCACATTGCATTTAGTTGTTGTGTCTCTTTAGTCTCCTTTAATCTGAAAACACTCCTCAGCCTTTTTTTTATTTTATAACTTTGACATTCTTGACACTCTTGAAGAATACAGGCCAGTTGTTTTATAGAATGTCTATCAGTTTAGGTTTCTCTGATGCTTTGTCGTGATTAGATTTAGGTATTGCATGGGCAGGAATGTGACATAAATGATATGCCCTAGGGAATTCCATCTGTAGGGGCATGGCCCATTCTTGGTGATGTTAATTAATTTTAATCATCCATTAAGGTGATGTCCGCCATGTTTCTCCACGGTGAAGCTACCATTTCTCCCCTTTGTAAT
Organism: Homo sapiens; assembly: GCF_000001405.40. Classification (NCBI taxonomy): domain Eukaryota; kingdom Metazoa; phylum Chordata; class Mammalia; order Primates; family Hominidae; genus Homo; species Homo sapiens. The sequence continues at coordinate 51,950,483 of NC_000003.12, forward strand.
TAATCAATAATCTGTGGGGAAATATTGTTGGGTGTAAATGTCCCTTTCCTCATCACCTTTCACCCACTAGCTTTATCCATCGATGATAACTTAACTGAAATCAACTACCTGAATCAATTTTTGCTAAGATAGTTGCAAATGGTAGTTATCTAACTCCATCATTTCTTTTATCTGTATTAGTTTCTGTCTTTATTATCAGTGTAGACTCATGGATTTTTATTTTATTCAGTGAGTTATAATCCATTACTGTCCTCAATTATTTTGATCCTCAAATTGTCCCAGATTTGGCCAGCAGAAGGTCCCTTCCGTGTCCCGATCATTTTTTGAGCACATCCTTTCTCTCTGGCATCACAAGATGTTCCAGGTTCATCTCGTACGAACCGGGAATCAGCCATTTCTCCAAGGAGCCCTGGTTTCCTGGAGCAGGAAATGTTTAGAATCCAAGATCTGGGCAATAGATGTGCTCCTTGGTACTGAGGTGTCATTGCTTTTAAGTCCTTCCAGCAAAGAGAGCTAAGGAATGTGTCTATGTGGCTGGGCGCAGGAGCTCTCACCTGTAATCCCAGCACTTTGGGAGGTCAAAGCCGGAGGATCTCTTGAGCCCAAGAGTTCAAGGCTGCAGTGAGTTATGATTGCAACACTACATTCCAGCCTGGATGACAGACTGAGACCCTGTCTCTAAAAAAATAAAAAAGGAAAAAAAAGGGGGGAGACAGAATATGTATGTGTGAATAAATAGCAAACACATCTCTCTATATCTATTTCTCCAGTTCCAGTCAAACACCACAGAGTTCTTCCATTCTTCCCCAATTCCCTATTTCCTCGATTCTTAAACAGTAAGAACCTGGGTTTCTATCAACATCAATATATCTACTTATTTGCTCAATCCTGCACAAAAAGGAGTTTCAGAATTGCCATACCCATACCCTGTGAAAAACAAACATTCTAAATAGAGCTCAAGATGTATCTGATCTTACTCAGTATTTTTTTTTTTTGTCGTTAGATTGAGGGTCCATGGTCAAAGTAACAGTTTGAATACACGTTCAGATGTTACTTGGATTGGTTCTTTCTCTTCAGTGTGGTTATTTTATTCGTCTGAAATACAGGTAGGCTCAGTCATTTCTGTCTACATTCTTCTTTGTTACTTTATTGTTTTCAATATGTAGAACATTAACATAGTTCCAAAAGGTCCACTCTATGCAAGCTGTGCTCAGAAGAGTCCTTCTATCCCCCACACTCCATTCCTACTCACCTGCTGGAGGGAGCCAGTTTCATTAGTTTCTGGCATATCCTTCCTGTGTTTTTTTTTTTTATTTTGTTTTGTTTTTTGGAAATTTTGCAATACACATACACACATACACATGCTAAGGAAGTGTTTTAATTTTTTATTTATATTAATGATGTCGAAGGGAGCATGAACTCTGCAACCCACCACAGTCCCCACCCCTCCCTATCGCGTTCCCCAGTCCACTTTTCTCATTTGCTGTTCCCACTTGGCCCCACCGAGCTCTCTCCAGGCTCTGGTAACTCAGGGGCTGCCCCAGGCCTACAGGGCTGCCTGGGTAAGGACCAAAACTTCAAAAATCCATCTTCACCTCCTAGAGGCAAATGCCCAAATTCAAGTTGTAGCCAAGGACAGGAAGGGACAGCTGTGTGGACAGAGCTCTAGGAAGCAAAACTCAGCTGTGTGACCTGGGACCCATTTCTCCACTCTACTTTTCTCATCTGAATAATGGAGAACTGCGCTGGAGCCCTTTGAATTCCAGCACAAAATCAGTTAAACCAGGAGGTCCATGTCCTGTCTTCACCATCTAGATCTGCAGCAATGCTGACCGTGTGTCTGTGAGGGGTGCTAGGGCCACAGGCACAAGTGAGGCTCAGATGAGGTCCCTGCTGTCATGGAGCTTACATTCTAGTAAAGCAGGCTCTAAGCAAATGTATGCATAAATATGAAATACCACAGCAGGTAGGGAAAGTGCCGGGAAGAAAAATAAAGCAGGATAAAAGGATTTGAGTGATGGGAAGGTGGAACAATTTTAGAAAAGATGGTCGCAAGCTGGGCGCGATGGCTCATGCCTGTAATCCCAGCACTTTGGGAGGCCGAGGCGGGCGGATCACGATGTCAGGAGATCGAGACCATCCTGGCTAACACGATGAAACCCCGTCTCTACTAAAAATACAAAAAAAAAAAAAAAAATTAGCCGAGCGTGGTGGCGGGCACCTGTAGTGCCAACTACTCGGGACGCTGAGGCAGGAGAATGGCATGAACCCGGGAGGTGGAGCTTGCAGTGAGCTGAGATCGTGCCACTGCACTCCAGCCTGGGCGACAGAGCGAGACCCCGTCCCAAAAAAAAAAAAAAAAAGAAGGCCGGGCATGGTGGCTCATGCCTGTAATCCCAGCACTTTGGGAGGCTGAGGCGGGTGGATCATGAGATCAGGAGATCAAGACCATCCTGGCTAACACGGTGAAACCCCATCTCTACTAAAAAAAAATACAAAAAATTAGCCAGGGTGGTGGCAGGTGCCTGTAGTCCCACCTATGCGGGAGGCTGAGGCAGGAGAATGGTGTGAACTTGGGAGGTGGGGCTTGCAGTGAGCCGAGATGTGCCACTGCACTCCAGCCTGGGAGACAGAGCAAGACTCCGTCTCAAAAAAAAAAAAAGATGGTCGCTGAAGGTCCCTCTAGAGCAGAGACCTGAATCATGTGAGGGAGCAAGCCATGGACAGATCTGCAGCAAGGGTGTTCTTGCAATGGAAACAGCAAATGCAAAGAAACTGGCTTGATGGGCGGAAGGAACAGCAAGCAGACTGCTGTGGCTAGAAATACTGTGGGCAAGGAGGAGGGTGAGCTCAGAAAGGGATGGAAAAGGTAGATAAAAGGGCCTAGCTCCCTTTTATCTGCCTTTTTTTTTTTTAGTTCCAGAGGAGCTGAGATTCTATTCTCATCTATTCTGATGATGGGAAGCTCTTGGAGGGATGAGAGCTGGGTCATGCCCCCATCTGCTTTGTTTTTAGCGGGATCCACTTCAGCCCCTGTGTAGAGAGTGGACTATAGAGTATACGTCAGTTAACAACCAGTCAGCAAAACAGAAATTACCCTAGGTATTTCAGACAAGGGAAATTTGATACAGGGAAAGAATTGAATGACCAAATGGGGGATGATGAGGCAATCCAAAGATGAGCAACAGCCGGAAGTCACTACTACTCTTAAGACTGGAGAGATAAAGGAAGTGAATGGTGCTCTGATGCCAAGAGGCTAGGATCACCCTGCAGGAGCCAGAACCACAGAGGGGGCCACCTGAAGGGAGCCCCTGGCTGAGCTTCAGAGGGAAATAAATCCTGGCTTCTTCCCTCCTCCCATCTGCCAGTCTTCTGCTGGTAACTTTCATTGGCTGAACATACCCAAAGTCAGTTGACAAAGGAGCCTGGGAAATACAGTTCCCAGGAAGGCAGTATAGCACTGGGGAAGAAGGGAATGAATCTGAGGGCAAACAGGCAGATGGCCAGCACAAGGTGCAGGAGCTGAGGCCGGGAGACCAGTTAGAAGGATGCTGAAATGGTCCAGGTGAGAGGTGGTGGTAGCTGGGACCAGCTTGATGGTGATGGTGAGAAATGGCAGGATTCCAGAGACCTCAGCGGACTGGATATAGGGCGTGGGGGAGAGGGAATCATCCTGAGATGGACACTAAGATGGAGAAGATTCTGGGAGGAGCAGGTTGTCGGGGAGGGATCAAGAGTCATGGTTCTGTTTTGGACATAGGAAGTTTGAGATACCCATTAGTGAAAGTCCTGGTGGGGAAATGTTGAAAAGGCAGCTGGATACCCGTGAAAAGAGGAAGAGGCTTCAGATACAAATGCAAGCTATCAGACTATAGATAGGGTTTTGCCATGAAACTGGGTGACTTTGCCTGGGGGCATATGCCCCACGGGAGTTACATGGCTTTCCATGAGCCAACGACATTGGGGTGGGGAACCCTGACATTCACTGATTAGTCAAGACTGGGTTTTGTGCCTAATCAGGAAAATAGAGTGTGGGGATCTTGTTCACCCAAATTTCCTGTCCTGAGAATTGGGGAGGGGTGGTTTCCTAAAGAAAATTCAGGGTGTTTAGCCAGGTGTGGTGGCTCGTGCCTGTAGTTCCAGCTACTCAGGAGGCTGAGGTGGGAGGATCGTTTGAGCCTGGGAGGCAGAGATTACAGTGAGCCAAGATTGTGCCACTGCATTCCAGCCTGGGCAACAGAGACCCTGTCTCAAAAAAAAAAAAAAAGGAAAGAAAATTCAGGGTGCTGTTACCAAAAGGGGACCTGTTTGCTAGCAGCAAAAACAAAAGCAAACAACAGCAACAAAAAACCAAACAGCATCTGCCTGCTAAGGCCTCCTCTCACTCATCTCACACACTATCATGGAGCACCTATTCTCTATGAAGTTAATATTAGCTGAGCACCTACTATGTGCCACGTTCTATGCTTTTCTCTCACTTTTCCAGCCTCCTTTCTTTCTGAGAGAACTAGCCCTCTTGGGGGGCCAGGGCATGCCTAAGGGTCCTCCTGCTTCAGCTTTTGTCTCACTGGTACCTCAGTTTCCCTTTAATATGAGAGCTAAATGCTCATCCCATTGATGAGGATGGGGCAGGACAGGAGATGGGGGGGGCACTTCTCACCACTGAGAAAGGTAGAGCAGGCTCTGGCTGACTCCAAAGCCCACACTCTAACCCTCTCAAGTCTAGGCTCCAAGTCTGTGCCTGCTCTGTCCTCCACCCCTCCACCCTAGAGGCACCCCCAAGCACTTCCACAGCAGAGCCTCCAGCCTTCAGCTGGCAGCTGCTAGGACCCAGGGGGCTGGCGCCAGGCCCTGCCCCTCCCTTGCCAGCCGTGTGTGGCAACATCAGAGTGACAGCCAGTACCATCTCCGACAGGGGCTGAGTTGCTGGAGCTGGGCTGGGGCAGGGGAGAAAGACAGCAGACTCATCCTTGCACCCCTCCATGGGCCTGGCCAAGCCCCCAAGAGGATGGCAGCCTGGGCGTCGGAGCCACCTCCTGGGCAGCCAATGAGGTGAGGGGCCGGAGGAGCAAGGGACAAGAGGAGCAGAGGACAGGTGATGGAAATCCTGCAGCTTTAGGCTCCATTCTGCCATCTACATCCCAGCGCAGGGTGAAGCCTGAGAGCCCAAATGGCCAACTCCACAGGGCTGAACGCCTCAGAAGTCGCAGGCTCGTTGGGGTTGATCCTGGCAGCTGTCGTGGAGGTGGGGGCACTGCTGGGCAACGGCGCGCTGCTGGTCGTGGTGCTGCGCACGCCGGGACTGCGCGACGCGCTCTACCTGGCGCACCTGTGCGTCGTGGACCTGCTGGCGGCCGCCTCCATCATGCCGCTGGGCCTGCTGGCCGCACCGCCGCCCGGGCTGGGCCGCGTGCGCCTGGGCCCCGCGCCATGCCGCGCCGCTCGCTTCCTCTCCGCCGCTCTGCTGCCGGCCTGCACGCTCGGGGTGGCCGCACTTGGCCTGGCACGCTACCGCCTCATCGTGCACCCGCTGCGGCCAGGCTCGCGGCCGCCGCCTGTGCTCGTGCTCACCGCCGTGTGGGCCGCGGCGGGACTGCTGGGCGCGCTCTCCCTGCTCGGCACGCCGCCCGCACCGCCCCCTGCTCCTGCTCGCTGCTCGGTCCTGGCTGGGGGCCTCGGGCCCTTCCGGCCGCTCTGGGCCCTGCTGGCCTTCGCGCTGCCCGCCCTCCTGCTGCTCGGCGCCTACGGCGGCATCTTCGTGGTGGCGCGTCGCGCTGCCCTGAGGCCCCCACGGCCGGCGCGCGGGTCCCGACTCCACTCGGACTCTCTGGATAGCCGCCTTTCCATCTTGCCGCCGCTCCGGCCTCGCCTGCCCGGGGGCAAGGCGGCCCTGGCCCCAGCGCTGGCCGTGGGCCAATTTGCAGCCTGCTGGCTGCCTTATGGCTGCGCGTGCCTGGCGCCCGCAGCGCGGGCCGCGGAAGCCGAAGCGGCTGTCACCTGGGTCGCCTACTCGGCCTTCGCGGCTCACCCCTTCCTGTACGGGCTGCTGCAGCGCCCCGTGCGCTTGGCACTGGGCCGCCTCTCTCGCCGTGCACTGCCTGGACCTGTGCGGGCCTGCACTCCGCAAGCCTGGCACCCGCGGGCACTCTTGCAATGCCTCCAGAGACCCCCAGAGGGCCCTGCCGTAGGCCCTTCTGAGGCTCCAGAACAGACCCCCGAGTTGGCAGGAGGGCGGAGCCCCGCATACCAGGGGCCACCTGAGAGTTCTCTCTCCTGAGCAGGAGAAAGGAGGGTGGTTTCCGTGGGGGCTCATCCAACCCCTGCACAGGTCACAGCAGGTGCCCTGCTGGATATCTGGGTCTGGAACAGGAGGAGAAAGGGTGTCTGCTGCCTGGTGAGGCCCACGGACTTCTGAGAGCCAGGAATCCTGCGGTCTGGGCCCAACACTGCATAGCACTGTGCATAGGCCGACCCTTCCTTAGGCCTCAGCTTTCCCATCTGCACCCTGCAGCATCTCTAAGGGCCCCTCCAGCATAGGTGGTTTGTGAAACTCACAGGTGGTCCCCAGGCCAAGATGGGCAGGTGTCACAAAGAAGAGGGCCCTAAGGGCTCACAACCAAAGTGATCCGCCAAGCAGGGCAGTATCTGGGTTACAGCCACAGCAGGAAGAACCACTGGAGAGACACTCAGAAGGACTTCCCTGACATCTGCACCAAGGAGAGTCTGGACAAAGCTACTGAAACTCCTCCACCTGCTTCTAAAATGCCCAGAAGACAACTGGACCAGTTTGGTATTAGAAGTAGGAGGCTGGACGACTTCACCCCCAAAGGGTCCTGAAGCCCCAGAACTGGCATGTGGAAGGGGCTGAGGCCTAATTGAGGTTGGTGGATTCACACATGGGGGTCCTCCAGGACCTCAGCTGCACCCATTTTCTGGAGGTTTTGCTGCCCACAACACCAGTATTTCACAACTTCCTGGTCGCTGAGAATATTTATTCAAAAACAGGGATTGAAAAAACTGTACAGAGTGTCTGCTGCTGAGAACTGGGCCCCTGCCCCATGCCACTCCCCCAGCTACCTGGCAGTGCCCCCTCTTTGGGGTGCCCCCTGACAAGCCCAGCCAGTTCATTCCAGTCAAAAGGGTATCAGTGGAAGCAGCAAGAAATCTGCAGGTGGTGGGGAGAGAAGCCTGGCCCCAGCTACCCAACGGGCCCTCCTCCCTGACTCCCACAAGGATGCAGTAGGCCAGGAAGCCCTAAGGGATGGGGAGTGCGTGAGTGACACCCGCCATGGTGGGGGCACTAGGGAGTCTCCTGGCTGCTCCCTGTATCCAAGCACAGAGCTGAGGAGGTAGGGCCCCCTGCCCTGGGGCTGCCGCAGCTCAGACCCCTGGGCCAGAAACTGCCCCCACTCTGAGAGAAAGAACTCCCATAGATGGAGGCAGGGTAGGGGGTGCATCCATGCGTCTGGGCGTTAGCGGCGTTTGGGACCCCAGGGTGGAGTCTCCTTGGGCGGGTAGGGTGCAGAGGCAGCCCCCTGCTGGTGGTCCTGCCTGCCCCTGCCTGTACCTCAGCTGGCCTCAGTAGGGGGAGAATTTCTGCCGCTCAGCCTTCTTGCTCCCATTAGCTGCTGCCATCTTGGCAGTGTAGGCCGCCAAGCCCGGCGGCGGCCCTGGGGAAGCAGGTGGTAAAGCCAAGAAGGGCATGGGCTTGAGGCCGATGAAGTTGGAGAGGGAGATGGCATAGGGTGTGCCCAGCAGGCCAGGGGGAGCTGTGGGCAGGGCCGTCAGGGGTGGCGAGAAGGGGGCAGGCAGGTCTGCGGGGGCCGAGCTGGGCGTCCCCCCAGAGGTAGACTTGGCCGTCTCTAGACTGGAGAGAGGGATATAGAGGGGAGACAAAGGGGAAAGTGGGAGTGAGAGAGGGGCAATGAGGGCAGAGATGGGCATGAGATTAGATGAAAGGCAAGAGAGAGGTAGTGAACAGAGAACAATAAGGGGAAGATGGGAAAGGTGGAAGAGGAAGGGAAGAAAGGACAAGCAGATATAGCACGAGGTGCAGGGAGAAATGGGGTGGCCAGAGACCCAGGGAAAAGACACAGCAATGGAGAATGAGAGGTGGATATAGAGGGGGGAGATGGGGCAACAGAGGGTGAATTAGGCAAAGACCATGGGGAATTGGAGTAGGGTTAGGAGAGGCAGAGGTCGGGCCCAGACAGAGAGAGGAGGCCAGCTTCCTCTCCCCACCCCTGCCTTTCTTGGGCACATGAGAACCGTGACCTGCTCCCCCACTGCCGCCCAGCCCGCGCTCACCAGGCAGTGATGAGGTACTGGGCCAGGGCGATGGAGACCGGAGAGCCAGTGATGGTGACATGCCGCTCCCCAGCGCCCTCTGCTTGGTTCCCGATCTTGATATGTGCCCCTGACATCTGCCGGATCTCGCTGATCTTGCTGCCCTGGCGCCCGATCACACAGCCAATCAACTAGAGGGAAGGCAGAATTCAGCCCTGGGTGAGGTCCAGACCCCCAGACCCCCTACCCACCCTCCAGCCATCCCATCCCCTGCTCACATCGTTGGGAACCAAGAACTCCTGTGAGCTGGTCTGTGTGCCGGGATCCAGTCCTGAGGGGGAGAAGAGGGACTGAGTGTGGTTCTGGGCCTTTCCCGCCCCACCATTTCCACTCTCCCTGGAAGGGAGGGGGCTGCCCTCTTAGGACCCTCCCCCTGCCTCCTTGTGCAGGGGTGGCTTACCTGGCACCACGCTGGGTGTGGCAAAGGGGACCGCATGGCTTGAGAGCTGCTGGAGCTTGGTGACCTGTGCCAAAGAGGGGTCAGAGGTCAGAGGAGGCATGGTTCAGGAAGGGGTGCCTTGGGCTATGGGTCACTCACCTCAGCTGGGGTCACAGCCCCATACTGACCCTGGACAGAGAAGCCCTGTGGGGACAAAGTGGATGAAAAGGGGGTTACTGTGACATTGCAGTTCAGCCAGAGTCACTCCTTCCCCCGTCCCTGGACCTCCAATTCCTTCTTCCATCCCCTCCTCTATCTCAATCCCCCTTCTCCAGTAATGTGTCCCACTGCTCCTGTTGTTCCCCTCACCTGGTTGGCAGAGAGAAGAACAGTACCTAGGGAGAGGCTCGGATGGTAGGGGATAGTGGCTCCTTTGGGTGGGGACTGGAAGGCATAAACAGGGCTCTGTCAGGACCCTCTCAGGCTCCGATAACCTCCCCAGCTGCCCAGTGGCCTCAGGCCCCCACCATGACCCCCAGGGAAATGCACATGATCCCTGGAGCTCATCATCCATCCCTGCAGCCCTGCCCTGCCCCACCTGCAGCACAGGCATAGGGTTTGGGGTCCCCGACAAGGCAGACCCAGGGCCCATCTCCTGCCCCCTCTCTCCCTGCCCCAGGGCAGCACCTCCAGGATAACAGCGCAGATCTGGCGCACACACAGGATGATGGCATCAGGCACCCCAGATACCGTAACAGCTCGCTCTGTGGAGTTGGGGAGCAGGTCCCCTGCCACCTGTACCTGGGCACCCGTAGTCTGCAAACAGAGAACAGGGGCCACTTCTGGCTGCTCCCATAACCCAGAAAAGGGCTGCCCAGGCTCAGAGCTCTCTAGGTGGGGAGGACGCCATAAGCCCAACACCCCTCTTACAACTGCTCCCTTGCCCCGGATTCCCTGTGGGTGGTATATCTCGCCCCTCACCTCTCGGATCTCCTTGATCTTGGTGCCAGCCTTCCCAATCAGTGAGCCACACTGACTGGCAGGGATGACAAGGCGCAGGGTCACTGGAGGCCTGGAGACATTTCCACCATTTGCAGGAGCAGCACAAAGGTCCTGGGACAGGGAGACGGTGGGTTGGCCATGCTCGTCCCTGCTATATCTGCCCAGGGGTCAGGAGGGTACCCTTTCCCCAGTCCCACTTCAAGGGAACACTGCCCTGGGCTTGACCTCCCCTCCCACCCATAGCCACTATCTGGAGTCAGAGTTGGGTTCCTCCTGGGGAACCACTCTTGGCGTCCTGCCCTGGCCAGCCACGGACCTCATCCAGTTTGAAAGCAATCATGGAGACTGCATGGAAGACAGCTGCTGTAGACCCGGTGATGGTGGTGATGCGTTCAGGGCAGGAGCCCTCGGAGATGGTGATCCGGGCACTGCTCTGCAGATATAGAATGAGCGCCGGGCAGCGGGGCATCTTCCCTGCTCCCTTGCCGGAACTTGTCTGCCTGCCCCACTCACCAGGCCTGAGGCAAGGCTCAAAACTGCCACCCTCTGGGGGACTCACTGGTCAGCCCAGAAGGAGTGGTTCAGAGAGAAAGTGGGGCAGGGATCTCCCCTCCACATCAGGTGCCCTGGGCTCCTCCCCCAAACTCCATCCTCACCTGCTCCCGGATTCGCTTTACAGTCTCGCCCTTCTGTGGGAGGTACAAAACAGATAATCACTCTTAACTTAGAGGTCACAGCCTCCTTCCCTGGGCTGAAGCCTCAGCTGGAGGGGGATGTACAGAGCAGAGCTAGGCACCTACCTTCCCGATGATGCTGCCCACTTCCTGCGGACAAGACAAGAGCCGTCAGATGGGTGCCAGTGCCCAGGCCCAGCCCCTCCCCACTGGGATACCCAGTGAAACCCAGCCCAGCCCAGCCTTGCCTCGCCTGGCCCTCCACCTCCCGCTCACCTTCCCGTGCATCAGCATCCGCAGCGTGAGGGTGATGCTGAGCTCTGGCTCCTCCTCCAGTCCCCCGTCCGAGCCGCTCATTCTGTCAGGCGAGGCTGGGGCCACAGCGACCTGCGAGTGTGTCCGCGCTGCAACCTGGCCGGCTCTGGCAGGGGCAGCCAAAGAGGGGTTCGAGAGGAGCCCAGTCCACCCTGCCCCTGCCCTTACATGGGGACCCCAGAGCTGGGCTAGTCAAACTCCCAGAGGAAAGAGACTGCATGGACCTTGAGCGCCACACATCACTCTGACCAGGGTGCTTATGTGTGTCTCACGAGCTGTGTAAGCCTGGGGAGCCCATTCAACCCTCTGAGCCTCAGCTTCTCCATCTGTAGAAGGGGATACAAATTCCCATCTCCAAAGAGTGATGAGAATTAAAACAATAAGCACATACATGGTAGGTACCTAGCCTTTCCCTTACCCTGAGACACTAAAAGAAATAATTAACTAGGAAGCCTATGGGAGTCAGGAGGAGAGCCTCCTCCCTGACCTCTTGGAAGAGGTAACCTCTGTGGATGGGGCCCTGAAGGTGGAGTTCAGGCTGAAAGCTTACTCCATATGAGAGGCACTTTCGTCCAGCAGCCAGATGGTGGATGGAGCACAGAAGAGCAGCTGGGGAGGAAGCTGGAGCAGCCATGGGAAGCCTTGAAGGCAGGGAGGCCTCGGGTGTGGTCAGGTCTTGCCACTGCCTGGTAAAGGCTTGAGGCAGGGGTTGAGGGGGGAATTGAGGCACACTCCCACCTACCAAAAGTCACTAGGGCAGAAGCTCACTACAGACACCTCTGGGCAGGGTTCATTCAGCACTGGGCTGCAGTGGGTGGGGCACAGCGTGTCAGGGGACTGGCAGTTCTGCACGTTGGTTTCCAATCTCTCTTCTATGTGCTGGAAATGGCCTTGGGAACAGGAGGTAAGAAGTGTCCAGGCTGGCCACATTCCCAGCCTGGAACACTTTCTACTGTACCAGAAACAAGTCACTTGGGCTCTGAGTCTCAATTTCCTCACTTATAAAATGGAGGGAATACCTCTCCCTGGGACTGCGTGATGGGTAAGAAAAGGATTTGGTGGGCTGCGGGAATGTCAAGGCCATTAACTGATGGAGGAAGGTGGAGCCTGAGATTAGCTGCTGGGATTAGCTCAGTGGCCAGCCCTCCCCACCCGACCCTTTTTCATGCCCCGACTTAATCCTCAACCTTAATCCTGCTTGGAAATCCCTCTCCTTAGGCGTCTGTCTCCTGCCAAGGCTCAGCCTTGATGGGGAGCTCACTGGGGGACCAGAACCCTATGGGGAAAACAGGGAGTGGGACCAACTGGTGCTAAGTCTGGGCCAAGACCAAGCCCTAACACTGCAAATTCCTCATGCCCAGGAGGGTGTGGGGATGAAGGATGAGTGTGCTGAGCTTGGAACACTCCAGAAGTCTCTGGGCGCCTTCCTCCTCAGCCCCCTGCCCCATCCCAACATGACAGGAAAGGGCATGGAGTTCTGTCCAACGCCCTCTTCTGAACTCCCCTTGCTAGACAGAGCTTGAGCACGGAAGGTGAAAGGGGCTCCCAGCCTGGCTCCTTCTCAGAAGTCCCAGCAAGCCACCGTATGGCATAAGGTCTTTGTTTCCTCACCTATCCAACGGAGGTGACACCCTGCTCCCCTGGGTGCAGCTGCTCCTCCTTCCATTTGAGTTCTGCCACAGGGACTCCAGAGGCTGGAGATGAGCAGTGGATGCAGGGACTGTGCTCTCCGAGCATCCTGGCCAGCCTCATGCTGGCTGCCCTTGCTAGACATTCCCCCAGCTGCCTGCACTTCCCCCATCAAAGCACTTGTGATGACGTGCTTGGTTTCTGCTTCTCTGGACAGCCAAGCCCAGGAGCCCCTTGGAGCAGGAGCCAAGGCTGCTGCCTTCTCCTTATGTCCCCAGGGCTCAGTTCAGAGCCAGGCCAGAGAAGGTGCTCAGAACATACTGAGCTCAGCTGGAACTCAGCTAACATACTGGTTAGCTGAGCAGATGAATTCACTACACAGGAGAACCTGATGCCTGGAGAGGATCAGTAACCTGCCCAAGGTCACAGAGAGGTGGGACACAGTGGGACTAGCATTGCTAGTGTGAGGCTATCCAAAGCCCCATCTGCCTCCCCTTTCAGGCTGCTCCTGTCTGGATCTGTTAGTCCTCTTCCTGGAGGGCGGGCTCCTTCGAAAGTGGGGATTGGGCTTCAGTCGTCTCTGAGACCTTTGCCTAGCTAGAAGACAGGGATCCTATTTGGAAAGGACTGACAACTTGTCCAGAGCCTCGGTCTTAAGTTCCAAAATTTTCTGGGGTTCAAGGACCCCCTTGGGATGGTAACCAGTGGGAGACCTGACATTGTCCCCAAACCATCTCCACATGACCTCTTGTGGCTCCAGGAAAAATGGGGCAGGAGGGCTGGAACATGGCCAGAACTAGAGCTTCTGCCATGAAAAGATGCCTGGGTCTCCAGCAGAGACCCACCGCCCCAAGTCCAGTGGGTAACTTTGGCCAGGTCTTCACCTGACCTAAACCCACCTGTATTGTGTTTAGGGGCTGGGGGTAGGGAGAGAGTTGCTGGTCTATCTGCGCCCTTCCTGGTCTGAGAGACTCTCAAGGTCTTTCCCATCTTTAGGCAAGAACAAGGGGTTCTGACCCATGTCTTCCAAATTATTCTCCTAGGGCCCAAGGAACGAGCAGCCCCATGAGGCATCACTGGCTCCCCCTGCCCTCAGTGGGGCTCTAGGGAGTCATTTGCTGCTCCAGCCGGGTGGGCCCTGGGTCTTTGCCGGGCCACCCACGTGGCAGCCACACAACATGCCACAGTGACCTCCAGCTCACCTCCGCGGGTGCCCAGCCCCCTCTGGTCAGCAGGGCTCCCTGGCAGGGCATACCAAGCTCACACCAGGCCTCTGACCTCGGGCATTCCCTCCTGACTCCCAGGCCCCCTCCCCAGCCCCAGTGCCCACTCCTCCTGTCCCTGGCTTTCTGCCACTCAGGCTGGAGGAGGCGGGGGGGTGACAGCTGTGTAAGCGATGGTGGCTGCCCCCTTCCTGCCCCTCCCCCCCAGCTGTCTCTCTCCCATGACAGCTGCCCAATCAAAGGGCTGGGGGCTTAGCCAGCTCACCCCACATGCAGGGATCAAGTGTCCACCCTGCCTTTGTTCTGGAGCAAGAACAATCCGGGGGAGGGGAGGGCTCCTGGGGCCAGGCGATTCAAGTAGACTGGCCCGCCCCTTGGGGGATTCCCTCCGCTCTGCTGGCCAGAATGTCTGGACCAGCTAGGGCCTGTGGACCCACCTGGGCTTCACTCTCCATCTCACATCCCCCCACATCCTCTCAGCACCCCCAGCTCCCCACCTAGCAGCCCCCTTCTCCTATTCCCACTCCCAAAGCAGCCATGCTAGCCACACCCAGTGATGCTGGGGAATGGCTCGGAGCATCCAGGGAGGCAGGGTGTGGTGGGGGTGGACCCTGGGCCACAGCACGTCTGCATCGAGGGCTCCTAACTCTCCTGCCCAATCCCTTCTCTGGAGATGCTCACTCTCCTAACTAGCCAGGCCTTCATAAGAACTGCCCCAGCATCTTGGACACATGTGCCCAGCCTCTTGGCCTCCCAGCCTCCCGGGATAGCCAATCATCTACAGTTGGGAGAGGAGGAGGGGAGTGGGAAGCCTCAGGTGAGCATCCTGGGGTCCACAAGTTCCAGCCTCTGGCTTCTTGATTCAGATCTGCCACATAGACAAAGTGCCAGGAAGGGAAAGGCAGCTCTGACAAGTTGGCAGGTGCCAGAAATGCTACAGCTTCCATACACCATCATTAGGCAGCCCCCAGGAGTCTTCGGAACCAAGGGAAACCAAGTCAAGCCCGGGCCCAGGCTGGGCTCCAGGAGAAAGGCCACAGCCTCATGGTACCCATCCCCTCACTCTCTCATCTACATTGAGAAAGGCCTCTAGCTTCCAATCTCCATGCTGAAAACTGTATGCTTACTCTGCTGCTCAACAGCCACCCATGGCTGCCCAGTCCCCAAAGAATAAAGCCTGAACTCCACAGACAGGCCATCAAGGACCTTCATGATCCAGCCCCTGTCTCTCTTGTCTCATCTCCACCCCATCCTTCACACATGCCAGGCTGCAGAACACACTTAGCACCTCCAGCCCTTCGGGCCTTTCTCCAGGCTTACCTCAGCTCAAAACGCCCATCCTCCCCACTCTCTGTCAAAATCCTTCTCAAACGCCACCTCCTCTGTGAAGCCCTCCGCAGGCTTCCAAGTCAGATGTGATCACTCAGGCCTCTGTGCCCCTCAAAGATGTTGCTGCAACTCAAAGAAGTCCCCGCTGGGCATTTCTGAGCCTGTCTTTCCACTATACACAGAGCTCCAGAAAGAGGAAATTTGAGACAAGACCAGGGTCAGTGTGCAGGGAGAAGAGTTAAGGTTCATGGGGCCTGGGGACATTTGGAACCAAAGATGGGGCTGAGGGTCCCGGAGGAGTAATGAGAGTAGAGTGAGAAGACCCAGACATGAGGGCCAGCCACATGGGCAGAGGTAGGACCTGCCTGGACAGGATTCCTGGTTCCTTTCTCAGCATCCCCAGCCCTACTCCTGCCGTTTTACCAGGACTAGGAGCTCCCTAGGTATGCTGCTGGGGTGGGGGATTTGGGCTGTGCTTTAGGTTTTCAGAGGGTGGGAGCAGAGTGGGTCTCCTCATGGAAGAGGGGGACTGGAAGAAGGGCTGGGGGGTGGGGTACGTTTCACAGAGTCGAGTTGGGCTCAGCCTGTCACAGCTGGAAAGGTCTTACCAATCACAAGAGGGGCTCGCGGCCCAGAGAGGAAGGGAAATGTTTGTAAGGCTACATGGGAGACAACTGGCAGAGCTGGAGAACCCAGGGGTCTACCTGTGCAGCTCAGAGCTCTTTCCTCAAGATGTCAGCGCCACTGGGCAATGGTGATGGAGGCTGGAGGGGCAGCAGTGATGGGAGTAGGGAGGGTGGACAGCCTGTCTGGGGACACAGGGTGGGGCAAGCCAGCCTCCTCGTGGCCTGGGCCTGCCAGGGTGTGTGGGCTGCCTGCTCCCAGCCCCCCACCCTGAGCATGCAAGAAGAACAATCCCCTTGTGTTTGGGCAGCCTGAGCCTGCATGCTGATGAAGGCTAGGGGGTGGGGGCTGGGATGGGGGTGCCCTGGAGGTTGAGGGGGCTCCAGGACCTGGGAAGACCAGGGGATTTTTTCAGATGGGGAAAGAATAGGGTCCCAGGTACTGGTCCTGAGGCAATGAGGGTGACCCAGGGAACAGGGAGGGCAGGAGCTCAGCTCCTAGGGAGTTCATGGATTGTAAGAGCCTTTGTGGCGGAAGGCAAGCCCCTGGGGACACATGTCCTGCTGGTTCAGCACGAACATGAGCATCCTGGGCTTGGTGGGGAGAAAGGAATGCAACTGGCCCTGGGTGCATCATCACCTTGGAGACCACTCCCCTGGGTGCTGGGGCCGGGTGGGGCACTGGGTGCCACAGGTCTCAAGATGGCGGGCCAGGGATAGGGGAGAGAGGAGGCGGGCACCTCCCTCTCCTGGCCAGGCAGGCATGAGGGCCAGGCTGAAGTGAGTAGCAGAGCCTCCCACCCCCACCCCCCAGGACCCCAGCCAAGAAGCTAGGTCAGAGCTGAAGGGCTGAAGAGCTATGGGGCAAGAGGGACCACTCTGAGCCCCCAGCTGTCATCTCCATACACCCCTGGCCTGGAGGTCTGTATCTGGCTCCCCCAACGACTGCGGAGGATGGGAAGGAGTGTGTGCCCAGCCAGGAGCTACAGGGGAGTGGCAAGTGAGGGCAGAGATGGAGCAGAACCAGAACCCAGGGCAGGAGTCAGAGAGAGGAGCAGGCGCAAAGGACAGAAACAGCGAGTGGGATGGGGGCCTCAAATCTGGGATCTAAGGTCCAGGAAGCCCCTCCCTGGTGCCAAGGGCGCCTCTGGCAGACCAGCGCCTCCCACCTGTGCAGGCCTCAGCGGTGTGGGACAGAGAACGTGTTCCTCGCAGTCTCACAAACCTGCGACCCCAACCGAGGGATCTGGGCGCGGGCTCCCTGCCCCCGGGCGAACCCCCAAACTTCGCGGCCCGCCGTGCCCCGCCCGGCCCGCGCCCTACCTCGCTGGGGCTGTCCTGCGGCGGCGGCGGCGGCGGCACGGCGGCTGGGCCGCTCAGTCCCACATTGTCCCCGGGAGAGGCGGCCGCTCACAACTGCGAGTGACATCAGCTGCGAACAATGAGGGGTTTGACAGGCGCGGAGCCCGGCCGGCCCGGAGCCCGGCTCCGCGCCCCCCCCCCACCCCCCGGCCCGCCCGGCCCGGCCCCTCCCCGCCCCCTCCCCGGATCCGATTACAGAGCGGCGGGCCCGCCCCAGCCGCCCCAGTGCCGCAGCCGCCCGCCCCGCCCCGCGCGCCGCGGTGCGCCCCGAGCGGCGGCCGCTTCCTGGAGGGCTCGGGCGACCCTTCCCCTGCCACTCCCAGAGCCCCACGGGTTGGGGGTAGGGGCGTCCGGCCTGAAGCCCGGTCCCCAGCCACGGCCTTCCCCGCACCGCCCGCGCTGCGCCCGGCTCCAAGCCCCTCCGCTCCCGCCAGGCCAGTCCTTCCGGCCCGGGCCGCCCGCCCGGCGCCTCTGCCGAGCCCCCTGCACCCCCATCCCCGCCTTGGCCCCGCCAGCCCCGGCTCCGCCTCGCTCCCGGCCCGCGTCCCTCCGAGCTCCGGCTGGGACCCTGCGCCCCGCCTAGCTCCCGGCTCTGCTCGCTGCGCGCCATCCTCCGCTCGGGCTTGCGCCCACCAAGACCCGCTCTCCTCGGCCACCCACAGCTGCATGGCCCGGCCCTCGTCCGCGCAGGACAGGCTGGAGGAGGGGCCTGAGAGCCGTGTGGCCCTGTGCACCCGATCCTGTGATAACCCCAAATCTACCCCCGGAATTCCTTTTGGGGATAGGGTCGCAAGGAACGGGCTCCGTTGAGTCTTTTACTGGGGAAGGGATACTAGTGGGGGTGATGAACTGTTCTCAAGTCCGCTGGGCACCCCCCGCCCTCGGGGAAGCAACTATTCCTTCCCCCCCACTCCTCCATAATCGGCTCAGCCTGGTCCCACTGACCTCCACCTCCCCCCACAGCTGAGTCTCTTGGCACCTGGGTATGTGTGGGTGGGGAGGGGAATCCAATCTCCCTTCCTCTCCATCTGGCCTGGTGGACAAAGGGCAGGGGGACCATCTGGTCCCGCCGGGGTGGGGGAGGGGCCCACAGTGTTGGTCCCAGGGGTGGGGGAGGGGCGGCGCTCTTTAGAAGCAGGAGCCGGTGGGGTCTAATTGCATCACTTTATTTCACCGACCTCCACTCTGGCTCCCACCCCACAAGCCTCAGAGCAGGAAACAAGCTTGGCTGAGATGCCTCAGGCCTGGTAACCTGAGGTGTAGAGCACCCAGAAGGAAGGGTAAAAGCAGGGGGCAAAGCGGTGGCCCTCCCTTTCTGGGGGTCACTTCTGGGCTGGGGCCAGCTGAAACCTGTGTCCAAGTAGCTTTCAGGGCTGGCCACACCCTAAGCCTTGCAAAAGGGCCTCCTGCAAGGGCTGGCCCATGGGGTCCCCACCTTCCCAGCCAGTGAGGTTAGCATGGTTAGGAGTCCACATGTGTGCAAGTGCTTGTGTGGAGGCTCATGTATGCATGTGTGTATATGCAAAGCTGCACATGACAATGTGCATGCCAGTCCAGAGTTAGATGTACCTATGCAGTTGCCCTCAAGCGAAGGGTCATATTTGGAAACAAGGATGGCTCTAAACATGTAAGCGTGCATGTGGGCATGTATGTATCTGGGGCCTAAGGAGGTGGGGAAGTGGGTGTTGGGGTAAGGGCTGGCCTTCAGGGCATTTGCAGAAGGAGGAGTGGGTGGGAGGGAAAGGCTGGGCAGAGCAGGGGAAGGAGTGAAAGCCAGGCAGGAAAGTGGAAGAACAGGAGAAGCTCATGTAATGGATTACCCTCCACAGGATTATGTTCCTTGATTCCTGAGAGTTTTTTCTCTTGATTTTACCCCCTCAGTCTATCACTGCAAGAGAAAGAGGTAGAAAAGACAAACAGACCACAAAAGACAAGAACCCAGACATATAGACAGACGCACCTGTTGCATGTGCATGAGCCAGAGCCTGGGAGAGAAGAGAGAGCGTGCAAGAGAGAGCTCAGAGCAGGCAGGCAGCCCACCCCCTGCAGCAGTGCTGGGCTTCACTGGAGCCCCTGCAGGAAGTCCAGCAGCCCTGTATGCCACTCCTCTGGTTTGTCCAGGTAACAGGGGTGCCCCGCCCCCTTCATGATCAGCACCCGGTGGTTGGGCAGCTGCTTCAGGTGCTCAAAGCTGGTCTGACCCATGGGGTCCTGGTCTCCATATACAATCAGAGCTGGAGTCTGAGAGGAAGGATAGGGGGGTGGGGCAGAGTCAACAGGGACCTGCCATAGCATCCCCAGCCCTCCCCACTTCAGTCTCTTCCTGGGACCACCCCATATGAGGGAGAGAGACAAGCTGGCCCAGTGGGTGGGGGCACAGATTGGTGTCTGCCCCAGAACACAGTTTAGCACAGGGCTTGGCACAGTAGTCTGCTGAGTAAACCAAAAGGGTGGAGTTGGGTGGTCAGCTCCTCCCAGAAGACACCCCTTGATTATCCAGCCCCCAGATGAGGAAAGCCCAGGGATGCACCCTTCCTTGCTCCTGGCAGGGGCACCTCAGCTTCCCACACAAGGGTACCTTCACACTGGCATAGTTGGCAGCATTGATTTTGTCAGTGCAGATGGGGGCCACTGGCACAAAGCCCGGGAGCTGGGAGCCAGGGGCCGTGAGGAAGGGCAGGGAGTACATGCCACTCAGTGATGGACTGATCACAACCGGGGGGCCCAGCTCCAAGGCATCCACCACAGCCGCCAGGAAGCTGCCAGGGGCCAGCTCCCCAATAGGGGCAGGGGCTGCTGCTTCCTTGGAGTGCCCCAGACCTGCAGGGATTCAGGTGTGAAAGAGACAAGACAAGGGCAGTGAATGGCAAAACAAGGGAGATGGTTGCTCTCTCCAGGAAGCCCTCCTAGGTCAGTTTCTCTGTGGCCAGGTTCCTGTAACACCCAGTGTGCCCACGTTTATTCCTACAGTAGCCTCATTCTATCTTATCGTGCCAAGCATGAGGCACTTCTCTCCACGTCTGTGCCTGTCTCCCCAGCAGTAAGTGTCCTGGAGAGAATCAGGCTCTGAAGCCCAAGAAGTCTGGGTCCAGAACCCAATTCTGCATTTATTGTCTATGTGACCTTGGGTAGGTCCCCCTCAGTCCTCTCTCAGCTGCTCAGTTTCCCCATCTGTTAAAGGGGGATAACAAAAGTATCTGCCATTTAAGATTGTTGTGAAAATTAACTGTGTGAAAGGCACCTGGCCCTGGATTGGGACAAGAGAGGCTCCTGAAGGACAGCAGCTGAGGGGTCGGTTCTGCAGCTCCTCCTCCAGTCATTCAGGCTTCACCAACAAGATTAGCTCCAGACCTTCACCCTGAAGCTCAAGCCAACCCACCATTGGAATCAATCCTGCCTGGGCAGGAGGCTCGCCCTTGAGCCCTGAAACCATACCATCCCTGGCCTGAGGGGGTGGGGCCAGCCATGCTGCTCCTTTCACACCTGGCACCGAGGGTTGGGACCCAGCCATCTGGGTTATGACAGGCAGTCTGGGCACTGATCCCATCTACCCTAGAACCCAGCTCAGGGCTTTGCATGTGGGATCACAAGTGGGGGCCTGGCCACCCACCAGGCCCTGCCTTGTCCCCCAGAAGACTCAGGTCTCACTCCTTAGGGCTTCCAAAAGCCTATGGTTATTATTCAGTCAAAATACTTTACTTCCAATTGGCTGAGCACCGATTACTCTGTGTCAGGTACTAGCCACATACTCACATGGATTATCTCATTCCATTCTCATTAGAGCGAGCCCAAAACATGAGTGTGGTTATCTCCCATTGCAGATGAGGAAACAGAGGCTCAGAGACACTGAGACAATGCCCAGGTAACAGTGAGGAGCAGCTGGGCGGTGAGGACCACATCTGGATCAAGACTGCTCAGAGGCCCTTGCAGTGTGCTTGACCAAACGCTGTCAAGTTCAGGGCCCAGCCTGGCTGGGTCCTCCAGATCCCACCGCCCCCACCCCTGGAGTGGGGAGGGGCTACATGTTATAGGAACCTGGCCCTGTCCCTAATGAGACCTCCCCAAACCCTGCCCAGAAGCCTGCCCCTTAAGTACCTGGCAGGTCAATGGCCACAGCCCGGTAGCCAGCCTGGGCCAGCCTGTGCAGTGTACCCAGGTTCTGCCAGGTCTCGGAGGAGAAGCGAATACCATGCAGCAGCAGTACAGAGAAGCGAGCCTGCCCACTGCCGGGCAGGGCCTCTCGGAAGAAGAGGGCCTGGCCCTGCACCTGGATGGTGCCCTCGCGCTGCTCCACGCTTGCTGCCATGCCTGCTGCTGCTGTGCTGGTGAAGGGCCTGTGGTTCAAAACCACGATGATGAGGGGCCACAGAACACCCTGCCCAGGGTGGCAGTCCCAGAGGAGCAGCAAGGAAGCCTCCAGGAGGTTTCCAGAACTTTAAGAACATGCCTTGGGGTCAGGAGGACATAGGTGTTATTTCTGCCTCTGCCATTTACTTTAGTGTGTAACCTGGGGCCTCAGCTTCTTGATCTGAAATATGGGAACAATAAAGCCAACTTCAAGAATTAGCAATTTAATTAAAAGTTTAAGAAAAATTATCGGCCAGGCATGGTGGCTCACGCCTGTAATCCCAGCACTTTGGGAGGCCGAGGCGGGTGGATCACCTGAGGTCAGGAGTTCAAGACCACCCTGGCCAACATGGTGGAACCCCGTCTCTACTAAAAAGAAAAAAAAATTAGCCAGGTGTGGTGGCACGTGCCTGTAGTCCCAGCTACTCAGCAGGAGAATCGCTTGAACCCGGGAGGCAGAGGTTGCAGTGAGCCGAGATCGTGCCACTGTGCTCCAGCCTGGGTGACAGAGTGAGACTCGGTCACAAAAAAAAAAAAAAAAAAGAGCCAGCTGATGGTCACATGTAACTCTCATTAGGCCAGGCGCGGTGGCACACGCCTGTAATCCCAGCATTTTGGGAGGCCGAGGCGGGCGGATCACCTGAGGTCAGGAGTTCGAGATCTCCCTGATGAACATGCAGAAAGAAACCCCATCTCTACTCAAAATACAAAATTAGCCAGCTGTGGTGGCACACGCCTGTAATCCCAACTACTTGGGAAGCTAAGGCAGTAGAATTGCTTGCACCCAGGAGGCAGAGGTTGCAGTGAGCCGAGAACGCGCCATTGCACTCCAGACTGGGCAACAAGAGAAAAACTCCATCTCAAAAAAACAAAAAACAGAAAAATTATCAGTGGGGGTGCCTGCTGTAAAACCTCAATATGTGGTGGGGCTCCATTACAATTACTGTTCTTATTCTCATCGTTATTATCCTTTTCTATAAATGGGGATAATTCAATAGTACTAGCTCATAGGTGGTTGATAGGATTAAATAAGGCCATGCATGTACCATGCCTAGCACGTAGTAAGGGCTCAGTGCTCAATCAACGGTAAGTTACAGGTCATGAGTTGTCAATGCAGGCCAGAGGGAGCCCAAATTGGGGTAAAAAGCCCATTTTATTTTATTTTATTCTATTTATTTATTTTGGGACAGAGTTTCACTCTTGTTGCCCAGAATGGAGTGCAGTGGCATGATCTCGGCTCACTGCAACCTCCACCTCCTGGGTTCAAGCGATTCTCCTGCCTCAGCCTCCCGAGTAGCTGGGTTTACAGGCGTGCGTCACCATGCCTGGCTAATTTTTTTTTTTTTTTTTTTGAGACGGAGTCTCGCTCTGTCGCCCAGGCTGGAGTGCAATGGCACATCTCCGCTCACTGCAAGCTCCGCCTCCCGGGTTCACGCCATTCTCCTGCCTCAGCCTCCCGGGTAGCTGGGACTACAGGCACGCGCCACCACGCCCGGCTAATTTTTTGTTTTTTTTTTTTTAGTACAGACGGGGTTTCGCCGTGTTAGCCAGGGTGGTCTCGATCTCCTGACCTCGTGATCCGCCCGCCTCAGCCTCCCAAAGTGCTGGGATTACAGGCGTGAGCCACCGTGCACGGCCTAATTTTTATATTTTTAGTAGAAACGGGGTTTCATCATGTTGGCCGAGCTGGTCCGGAACTCCTGACCTCAAGTGATCCACCCACCTTGGCCTCCCAAAGTGCTGGGATTACAGGCGTGAGCCACCGCGCCGGAACTAAAAGCCCATTTTCTTCGGTTTTTTTTTTTTTCTTTTTTTTTTTTTTAAGAGAAGATGTCTCGCTCTGTCGTCCAGGCTGGAGTGCAGTGGCGCAATCATGGATCACTGCAGCCTTGACCTTCCTGGGCTCAAGTGATCCTCCCGGCTCACCCCCAGTAGCTGGAACCACAGGCGCGCTTCCACACCGGAAAGCCCATTTTCTAGAGGCGGAAACCGAAGCGCCCAGTGGGAAAGGCGACCCGCCGGGGATGCGGGGTGCTCAACGCGCTGCCACCTGGGGCCCAACGCGTTGACCTCGCGGTCAGGTTGCTTCCGCGGACTACGGTTCTGGCTCGCTAGCTCTGGAAGGGAGCACCGGGAGGGAATGGTGGCAACTCCCAAGGAGGGGACCCAGGGATCCGAGAAAGGAAGACTTGGGGTAGGTGGGGTTGGATTTTGACTGGAGAGAAGAAAGGGTCAGGAGTGCAGGGCGGGTACCTGGGGAGCTGCGTGGACTCGCGCAGACGGGAAGCAGGCGCGTGCTGGCGGTGACCTGGGGCCGGAGGAGGAACGCTGGGAAGAGGCCGGGCCCCATCCAGCGGGGGCGGGGACTGGGCCGTGCTCCGGGGCGCCCTCTTGTGGCCACAAGCTCGCAGCGTCCATAGACTCCGCTAAACTCGTTCTCACAGCGGCGTCAGTTTCCCAAAGCCTCTCGGTCTCACATGCCCCAAACGCGGTGCTGAGCACGGTTTCGAACTCTTCAGCGACCTGCCCCACATGGACATGGAGCAGTCTGAGGAGGAAAGTTCCTTCGGGATCGCATCCTTGCTGCTGTCTTCCTGCTCCCCATCCCCCTTATCCCCAGCTTGAACTGCCCAGGGCAACTTGTTGGCCTGGCACGGAGTTGAGGCCCGACAGGTTTGAGTGCGAGGCTCCGCCAGTGTCCAGCCAAGTGGCCTTGATCGTTTTCCCAATGCCCCCGAGCCTGTTTCCTGCCAGTAGAGCGGGTCAGATGTTGCCAACCTCTGCAGAGTAGCAATAAGCAGTAAACGCCACGCTCTGCACAGCCTCCCAGTGCTGGGCCTGGTCGCCACGCGGAGCCTTGGGCTGGGACAGGCCAGACGTTGGTAACACATCGCCAACCAGGGCAGGCGCCATGAGTAGACGTGAACGAGCCCAGGGCCAGCCCAGGCTCTGACCGTGGGTGTGCGTCGGGGAGGGGGTGGGGAGGAGTGGGTAGGAGTCAGGAAAGTGGGTCGGCCAAGACCTGGAGCTGCTGCATAACAATATCTGGCATTTACACAACGAGGCCTCTGCTCCGGACACTGTTCTGAGGCTTGACCCGTCCTTAAGAACCTAGGACAACCCTGTGCGGTGGGTTTTATCCTTAACTCCATTATACAGGCCAGAGAACTGAGCCAGGGTGGAGATGTTCCACTGAGAAGAAGCCACATGGCTCTCCGCCGGCTCTCAAGCCAAAAACAGTTCCGAAAATCTGGGCGGGGAGCGGGCCAGAGAGCGCTGGGGCTCTGCCCCCAGCACCCCCTCCACGCAGACGACTCGGTAACTGGGTTGCAGGCCCGCGGCTGCGGAGTGCGCAGGCGCGCCGAGATGGCCGCGCTCCTGGCCGCCTAGAGCCGGAGCGGCCCGCGGAGCTGCGGAGGCAGCCATGGTCGGGGCGCTGTGCGGCTGCTGGTTCCGCCTGGGCGGGGCCCGCCCGCTCATCCCGTTGGGCCCGGTGAGTCTCCCGGGGGAGGGAGGCCGGCCGGTGGCCCAGGGGAGGGCCGTCTTTACCCCGCCCCTTGCCCCGGCGCCCCGGGGCAGAGTCCCGCGGAAGAAGCAGACGCTGGGGCCGCGAATGTGCATGTGCGCGCGTGTAATGTGTGTGCGCGCGCAGGGTCTGCATATGTTCTTGGGGGTCTGGGTGTATGTGTACGCTTGTGTGTCTGCATGGTGTCCGTCAGTGGGTTTCTGCGCGCTTATATTTTTGGGGGGGGGGTGTGTTCGTTGATGTCTGCCTGCTTGTGTCAGCGTTATGTCTTCCGAGTGTATTTCTGTGTGCGTGTGATTTTAAGGGTATGTGTCTACCTGTCTGCGTGTGTGCATTTCTGGGGGTTTGTGTGTGTGTGCGTGTCTGCTTTCCTGTGCATGTGCCTTTCTTGTGTGAATGTGTAGTCTTACGGTTGTGTGTATGACCGTGCTTGAGTATTTCTGAGGATCAGCCTGTGGTTTTCAAAGTGTGCATCTCCATCAGTCTCTCTGGCTTCCTGATGCCTGACTGTGTGCGTGATGTAGAGGGTACCATTACAAGGGATTAATTGCACACGGGCCAGTGTGTGTGCAAAGAGGCTGCATGTACATGCAGGGAATAGCTTGTGCAAAAGAAAAGCGTGTGGGGGCAAGACTCGTATTTGTGCGTGTGTGCACCTGTGTGTCATTGTCAACGCATATTCCAATGACCTAACCCGGGCACAGTTTACCCTGCCCCCCGCAAACCCCCGCAGGCGGCCAGCTGCAGGTCCACTACAATTTCCTAGTACTGCGGGCACCCTCGGTTGCCAAGGCAACAGCCTAAGCCCCGCCCTTCCCGCTTTGGAGAAGCGCGGGGGCGCCCCGAGTGGGCAGCAAGGAAATGTCCCTCGCGCCCGGTGGGAATCTGGACTAACGCCCAGTTAGAGACGCGCGTCTGAGGTTGTTAGTGGTCTGGAAGAAAAGAGGAACGCGCTCTTCCTCCACTAGGTCCTGGTTTTCCAGAAACAGCAGAAAGGCGGCTGCTGCTGTGGCTCACAAGCCCCCCGACCCCGAAGCCTGGGGATGCGGGCTCAGGAAACATCCCCAAAACATCCCGGAGGGATGAATAGGAACCAAGACGGGCCCCCGGCTCCTAGTTCGGGCAGGCGCCCAGTTGGCACTCAATAAAGATGTGCTGGCCCGGCGCGGTGGCTCACGCCTGTAATCCCAGCACTCTGGGAGGCCGAGGCGGGTGAAACACGAGGCCAGCAGTTCGAGAACAGCCTGGCCAACATGGTGAAACCCTGTCTCTACTAAAAAATACAAAAATTAGCCGGGCGCGGTGGCGGGAGCCTGTAATCCCACTATTCGGGAGGCTGAGGCAGGAGAATTGCTTGAACCCGGGAGGCGGAGGTTGCAGTGAGCCGAGATTGTACCACTGCACTCTAGCCTGGGCGACAGAGCAAGACTCCGTCTCAGAAAAATAAAAATAAAATAAAGATGTGTTTGCTGGACTCCTGGAAGGAAGCAGGCGTGCTCATCCTAGGCCCAAGAAATGACAGGGACAGCCCTGATCCAGTCCACGGTATTATCTAAATCTCACAGGAAGCTTAGGAGGGCAGCCACGAGGTTATCCCATTTTACTGACAAACTGAAGACACAAGGTCAGGAAGTGGCAGTCTCAAAGGCCTGTCCTGTTTGAGTCCTGGGTCCTAAGGGCTGTCCTCTGGGGTGGCAGAGACCCCAGATTGGAGGAGTCCACGAAGCAGTCATTTGGCCAGAAGCTGTCTGTGTGTAGGATGGGGAGTAGCAGGCGGCATTCATCTCTCCAACCTCTACACTGTGCTTTTCATTTCTGGGTGTACCATGCTCCTCCCTGGCCCTGCAGCCCCTCACTCCTCAGCATTTTCCTCTATTACAAGACATTCTCTGTGAGCCTCTTCATAACAGCTGGGTTAGACCTTAGTTATAATGCGATTGTAAAACGCGTTCTGATTTTAGCAGTATTAAATGCAGTGAGATTAAAAGAACCATTTCCAAACATGCCCTTAAGTGGGAGGTCCCTTTGCGCGCAGTCTTTCTCCTTTGATAGCCCTCATCACTTTTTCCACCTGCAAGGCTCCAGTTCATCCATCATCTCCCAGCTCCACGGGTTCCTCCTTGGCAAACCGAGTGTGGCCTGGTAGTTAGAAGCCCATTCCTAGGTTCAAACCCCAATTCCCCCACTTGCTACTTGGCACTTTGGGCAAGAGAATGTACCTCTCTGAGCCTCCATTTCCTCACCTATAAGAGACCTATAATCACGTCTGCTCCCCAGCATTCTTGGTGGAAAAGAACCTTGTATGTGAAGTGCCACACTCAGGGCCTGCTGTCATAAGCGCTTGATGAACGGAAGTGGTTTCAGCTGATGCCATGATGGTGGCGGTCACTGAGCATGCTGTGTGCCAGAGAACACCTCAGATGCACCTCCTCACACTGTGAGGTATCTGAGCGCTTGCCCTGGCATGTGGAGTAGTTGAGTGTGAACTCCCAGAACTTTGCCCAGAGCAAGGGAAAGGGCAAGGGCTGGAGCTCTTCCTCTGCTGGGGACTCTGGGTGGGGTTTTGGGATGGGATCCAGGGTCCTTGTAGGGACTCAGTTCCAGCCTCTTTTCCCTCTCCTCTCCCTCTCCAGACTGTGGTACAGACCTCCATGAGCCGGTCCCAGGTAGCCCTGCTGGGCCTGAGTCTGCTGCTCATGCTCCTACTGTATGTGGGGCTGCCAGGCCCCCCTGAGCAGACTTCCTGCCTCTGGGGAGACCCCAATGTCACAGTCCTGGCTGGTCTCACCCCTGGCAACTCGCCCATCTTTTACCGCGAGGTGCTCCCACTCAACCAGGCACACAGGTAGGTGCTGCTCCAAGGGTCTAGTGGAGGGACTAGGCTCAAGGGGAGTCCCTGTGTGGGACCCCCATTATACTCAGGGTGCTCAGGTCCTGGGAGGGCAATGGGAGAAGCCTAGGAATAAAGAAAGGTGGGCTACACCAGGTTCCCAGCAAACACATTCCCCTGTGTGCCTGCAGGGTGGAGGTGGTGCTGCTTCATGGAAAGGCCTTTAACTCTCACACGTGGGAGCAGCTGGGCACACTGCAGCTACTGTCACAGAGGGGCTACCGGGCCGTGGCCCTTGACCTTCCAGGTGAGCACCCCCACCCCTTTGTCTAGGGAAGCCTTAAGTGTGGCTGGGAGGCAACTGGACCCTAGGGTCTGGACAGGCCGTGGCAGGTCACAACATAAGGTGGCACCATGAAAAAGTCTGTGTTTTCATTTTCTACTATGAAAACTACAGTGTGAATTCTAGGTCATGGAGCAAATAAAAACTCTTCACAAGCAGTATACTTTCTTTTTTTTTATTTTATTTATATATATTTTTTGAAACAGAGTCTCGCTCTGTCACCCAGGCTAGAGTACAATGGCACAATCTCGGCTCACTGCAACCTCCGCCTCCCGGGTTCAAGCAATTCTCCTGCCTCCGCTTCCCCAGTAGCTGAGATTACAGGTGACTGCCACCACGCCTGGCTAATTTTTGTATTTTTAGTGGAGATAGGGTTTCACCATGCTGGCCAGGCTGGTCCTGAACTCCCGACCTCAGGTGATTCGCCTGCCTCGGCCTCCCCAAGTGCTGGGATTACAGGTGTGAGCCACTGCGCCCGGCCAAGCAGTGTACTTTCTATGGCAAACCATATAGGTTTTGTGTTTTTAAGTACACAAATGATTTATGCTATCATTCTTGTCATTAAAAAAATGAAAAAATGTCGAGTCATAGAGGATTAAAAAATACTAAAAAATAGCAAAGCTCTGAGAGACTGGTGCCGCATTTCTCTCCCTCTCTAAGAAGTTTAGGGGATGCCACACGCTGTTCTGGGTATTCCCACATGTAAAGATGCAGACGATGTAGAGGATTGTCTAGTGGGGGCTGTAAACATGATTGGTATCCTGTCTGCTTAGCACATCCATCTGTAGCTTGGTTTTCTCCCCCTACATCATGTCTCAAGGATCATGCCGGTCCCTACAAACCTCCCTCTTTGTTGTCAACCCTGCAGTGTGTCCCATAGGAGGGATGGACAGGCTTTATTCAGCCATTCCTCTACTGGCGGAGTGCTCAAGCAATATAGTAGCTAAAGCATCCTTGGGCATGCTTCTTTGAGCATGTGAGCAATAATTTCTCTAGGGTAGCTACTGAGGACAATTGATGGGCCAAAGGATGTGTTGTGTTTTGTTTTTTTTTTGTTTGTTTCTTTTTTTGTTTTTTGTTTTTTTTTTTTTTGAGACAGAGCCTCGCTCTGTCACCCTGGCTGGAGTGCAGTGGCTCGTACTCGGCTCACTGCAACCTCCGCCTTCTGGGTTCAAGCGATTCTCCTGCCTCAGTCTCCTGAGTAGCTGGGATTACAGGTGCGCCCCACCATGCCTGGCTAATTTTTGTATTTTTAGTAGAGACAGGGTTTCACCATGTTGGTCAGGCTGGTCTCAAACTCCTGACCTCATGATCCGCCACCTCGGCCTCCCAAAGTGCTGGGATTACAGGCATGAGCCACCGCGCCCAGCTGCCAGGACATGCATTTTTAAATTTAGATAACTACTATCTCACCCTCCAAAAACACTATATGGATTTATCTTCCCATCTGTCATGTATGAAAGTGCCCATTTCCCCATGTCTCCCCCAACACTGGGTATTATTTATTTTTTATTTTATTTTATTTTTTTTTTAGACAGAGTCTCGCAGTCGCCCAGGCTAGAGTGCAGTGGCATGATCTCGGCTCACTGCAGGCTCCGCCCCCCGGGGTTCATGCCATTCTCCTGCCTCAGCCTCCTGCGTAGCTGGGACTACAGGTGCCCGCCACCTCGCCTGGCTAATTTTTTGTATTTTTAGTAGAGACGGAGTTTCACCGTGTTAGCCAGGATGGTCTCGATCTCCTAACCTCGTGATCTGCCCGCCTCGGCCTCCCAAAGTGCTGGGATTACAGGCGTGAGCCACCACTCTCGGCCAAGATATGCTTTTCTAACAGGCATATTACATTACCAGAAAATAGCTTCTGGGCAGTTTTAGGTAGTGTGTGCCAGTGCCAGTGGTCCCCAACTTTTTCCCCCACTGTGGTGGGCAGGAAGTCCTGTGCCCCTTCCCAGTGCCCCTCAGCTGGTACCTGCTGCTGTTCCTAGGTTTTGGGAACTCGGCACCTTCAAAGGAGGCAAGCACAGAGGCAGGGCGGGCAGCGCTGCTGGAGCGGGCGCTGCGGGACCTGGAGGTACAGAATGCCGTGTTGGTGAGCCCCTCGCTGAGTGGCCACTATGCCCTGCCCTTCCTGATGCGAGGCCACCACCAGCTACATGGATTTGTGCCCATCGCACCCACCTCCACCCAGAACTACACCCAGGAGCAATTCTGGGCTGTGAAGGTACTGGGAGAAGGATCTCAAAGGTCCTGGCACCCTGTCTGTGGCTTGGGGGGGTTCAGGACTCAAGTCTTACTTGGAGGGACATGGCCTTATCCCTGACCTTGGATGGAAGAGTTGGATGGTGTTGGGGAAGGCTTCCTAGGAAGTGGCTTGGGGGTCAGAAACTCATCAGGCCCCAAGATCACAGCCCCCTGCCTTGCCCTGCAGACTCCAACCCTTATCCTGTATGGAGAGCTGGACCACATCCTGGCTCGAGAGTCACTGCGGCAGCTCCGCCACCTGCCCAACCACTCTGTGGTGAAGCTACGCAATGCAGGCCATGCCTGTTACCTCCACAAGCCGCAAGACTTCCACCTTGTCCTGCTTGCCTTCCTTGACCATCTACCTTGAACTAACCCACTCCCAGCTCCCAGCCTGGCATGAGCTTGGACAGTCTGGACCGCCACCCTCCCTGAACCAGGGAGACAGCCTCTGGGATTGGAGGCCAGAGGCCAGGGTCAGACCCAGCCAGGACTCCTCATTTCATCTCACAGACACAATAAAAAAGCATATTTGTCCTGCCTGGGAAGTGACAGGTTCCGTTTCCTGGTGTGCTGTGGGAAAGACGGGAGTGGGAGGCAAGTCTGGGACTACTTTGGGCCTGGGAGCTGGAGGGGATGTCCAGCAGTCTGAGAAGGCTAAGAATGCGCCACTTCCTAAGTGCCTGGCCTCACCACTCTGTGCCTGAGTTTCCTTATCTGTAAAACGGGTATGATGGCAACACCTAGGTTGGAGGGTGGTTATAGGACTGAATGAGTCTGGATAACTGAGTACTTGGCCACATAAGGCTGGGGAATTGCTGGTGGGAGGCGGGGTGTATTACTGCTGCTGCATGACCACAGGGATTGGTGGGAAATCCAGGGTCTGGACAGCCAAGCCAAGGAAGTCAGGAACCTAGAGGGTATGGGGAACGCGATTTAACAATTAGCCAGCATTGGCCGGGCGCAGTGGCTCACACCTGTAATCCCAGCACTTTGGGAGGCCGAGGCAGGCGGATCACGAGGTCAGGAGATCGAGACCATCCTGACTAACACGGTGAAAACCCGTCTCTACTAAAAATACAAAAAATTAGCCGAGCGTGGTGGCGGGTGACTTTAGTCCCAGCTACTCAGTAGGCTGAGGCAGGAGAATGGTGTGAACCCGGGAGGCGGAGCTTGCAGTGAGCCAAGACCGAGATCACACCACTGCACTCCACCCTGGGTGACAAAGCGAGTGAGACTCCGTCTCAAAAAAAAAAAAAAAAAAAAAAAAAAAAAAAAAAAAAAAAACCAGCATTAGCTGGGCACTGTGGCTCACATCTGTAATCCCAGCACCTTGGGAGGCCAAGGCGGGTGGATCACCTGAGGTCAGGAGTTCAAGACCACCCTGGCCAACATGACAAACCCTGTCTCTACTAAAAATACAAAAATTAGCCCAGCGTGGTGGCACGCACCTGTAATCCCAGCTACTCTGGAGGCTGAGGCAGGAGAATCACTTGAACCCAGGAGGCGGAGTTTTCAGCGAGCCGAGAAGGAGCCACTGCACTCCAGCCTGGGCAGCAGAGTGAGACTCCATCTCAAAAAAATAAATAGCTAAATAATTAGCCAGCATTGTTATGAGTTAAAGTCTATTTGCCCGCATGAATAAATAGGTAAATAATTAGCCAGCATTGTTGTGAGTTAAAATCTATTTGCCCGCATGACAGAGTGAGACTCTGTATCAAAAAAATAACTAAATAAAGAATTATCCAGCATTGTTATGAGTTAAAGTCCATTTGCCCCCATGTTATGTGTGAGCAGCCAAGACTTAAACCTCAGGAAAGGTGGGACAGAACCCTTCCCACAGCGTGCCTCCTTGGCCTAGAGATTGAAGTCTTTGTCCCTCACCCTTCCCCAAGCTGACTCAGCCCCTGGAGCAGAGGGCAGACCTGGCTGGGAGTACAAAGGGCAGCTGGGGCACAAGTGGGCAACTGCAGCTGTGGCCTGCAGGGGGCCAGTGGTACACCTGTGCCTGTTTAGCCTCCCCCTCTGGTGGCTGCAGAAGAGCCAGTTTCCTCACACTGTCCATCCAGGGTCACAATTACATCCATTCACAGTGACTTCATCACACCCACCCACCATCTCACACTGTCACATACACAATCATATCCACTGATAGACTGCACACGCAGTGGCACGCTTAAACCGTCACACGTGCTCTTGTCCATGCATTCATTCCCATTCTAGGCACTGTCCGGGCTCGGCACGGCCCCGGGCAGAACCTTGCAGGAAGTGGAGCTCACAGCCTCCTGGAGTTCAGTGTGGGCAGACAGACATTGGCCAATAACTTCAGTACAAGTGGAGCTGAGGCGTCAGGGAGGACCTCCCCGAGGGGCTGAGGCCTGCAGTGGGGAGCCGTTGGAGACTTGCCGAGGAGGGCGAGGGCGCAGGCCCAGGGCTTTGCAGCTCTGCATCTTGAGAGCCTCGGGGCGGCCCCCTTTCCTCCCGCCCTATCCGGGGGCTGAAGGAGGAGGCGCCCTTAGGGGACGGGACCGTCCTGAGCTCCCGGCGCATACCTGGGGGCAGGAGTGGCAGGCGTGTCGTGTGGGGCGGGGCGAGCCTGTCAGAGCAGGGCCAGCCCGGAGCTCGCAACTCGCGGGGCGGCGCTGGCCGCGGCGGCCGCTGCCCGGGGACGGGATCCGGATCTAATCCTCCAGTAATCTCGCTGAGGCCCGAACCAGAGGCGGGCGGGGACATCCGCGCCGACGCGGCCGCTGGCGCCGGGACGGCCCTCACTGACGGTCTTCGGTCTCCGCCCCGACATCCGGCCTCGGCCACGTGGTGGGCGGACCGGGGCGGTCCTGAGCCTGCGACCTCGCAGGCGACCTCGCTGGACCCTAAGTCCAGGCCACAGTCAGGGAAGGGCGCTGAGAGGCGAGCGTGAGCCCAGCGACAGGAGAGTGAGGTGGGGGCCCTGGGGAGGGATAGAGGGACTGGGGCTCCGTGGCTTGAAAGCCGGGCAACTGGGAGGCGTTGGGGTTTTTCTTGTTTGTTTTTTGTTTTTGTTTTTGCCTTTTTTTTTTTTTAGGAGGGCGGGGGGAGTACAAGTCTGGGTTCAAACCTTGCTCAGCTACTCTATGAGCTGTCCTTGAACCTCTCTGAGCCTCTCAGCTTTCTCCTCTGTAAAGTGGGCATTCTGAGCACAAACTTCATGGGGCTCTTTTGGGGATTAAATAAGGAAATGTGCTGGAAGCAGACAGCCCAGCGCCTGAAACAGAATGGGTGCTCCTTAATGGGGGCTCCGAAACACGGTATCCTACCCCTGTGGGAAGTCCGGGAGCCGCCGTGGGGACAGGCTGTGTGCAGGAGCTCACCATTTCCAGGGTCTTGGAGGGGTAGTTAGCCATTCACTTTGCCCCCAGCTCACCACGCGCAGCGCCATGACCAGCAAGGGTCCCGAGGAGGAGCACCCATCGGTGACGCTCTTCCGCCAGTACCTGCGTATCCGCACTGTCCAGCCCAAGCCTGACTATGGTGAGAAGACGGTGGTTCCAGAGCCTGTGACGGGGCCTAAGGGACGGGGACTGTGCTCTAAACCAGCCTCCAACCCCTGTCACCCAGCTGAGCCCCACTCTGCTGTCCCAAATGGCTCCCCAACCCCTCCAGCCATTCCCCAAGTAAATAGACTGAGGCAGCCCCTCCAGGTTAGGGAGGAACCCTTTCCCCAGAGACTCTGCTGCTGACCAAGGTTACTCCTGGCAGCTGGTTAAAGAAAAACTTCACCTCACTCTCCAGGGCAGGAGTGGTGGGGGAAGCCTGAGGCAGCCACAGGGAAAGGAGAGGCCCTCCAGAAGCCCACTGGGGCTGGACAAAGGCCACAGCCCTTAGGGAGTCAAGCTTGGTGGCTAGGGCCTGGGAGGTGGCTCCTGCCTGTTATCCCAGCACTTCAGGAGGTTGAGGCTGGCAGATTGCTTGGGCCCAGGAGTTCAAGACTAGCTTGAGCAACATGGCAAGACTCTGTCTCTACAGAAAAAATACAAAAATTAGTCAGGAATGGTGGCACACCTGTAGTCCCAGCTACTCCAGAGGTTGAGGTGGGAGGATCGCTTGAGCCTGGGAGGTTGAGGCTGCAGTGAGCCGAGATCGCACCACTTCACTCCTGCCTTGGTGACAGAGTGAGACCCTGTCTCAAAAAAAAAAAAAAAAAAAGGAAAAGAAAAAAAAAAAACTTAGTGGCTGGGAATTGTGTACATGGGTCCAAATTCCTCCTCTGTGATTAATCAGCTGAGAGATGGTGGGTGAATCTCTTCATGTCTCTGTGCCATAGTTTCCCATATTTAAGGAAGATAACACCTTCCTCCAACCCTGTGTCCAGACATCCCCCTGGACTTCCAGAAAGGGTCACTGAGTAGCCAAAAATATCTTCTTTCTTGGGGATGGAAATGCAAGCATCTCTGAGGGATATGGAGTGTGTCGGGGAGGCAGCAGCCCATTTCTGGGTATGCTCCACTCTCCGGGCTGCCTGGGCTGGTGGGAAGCTGTGGGTAGGCAGAAGCAGCCCCAAGACACTCTGTGCCTCCAGGAGCTGCTGTGGCTTTCTTTGAGGAGACAGCCCGCCAGCTGGGCCTGGGCTGTCAGAAAGTAGAGGTGAGCCTGGGGCCCTAAGCGGGGAAGGGAGGTG
This sequence comes from Homo sapiens, assembly GCF_000001405.40. NCBI lineage: Eukaryota > Metazoa > Chordata > Mammalia > Primates > Hominidae > Homo > Homo sapiens. Next base: position 51,985,306 of record NC_000003.12, read on the forward strand.
GGCCTGGGCACTTCCTCACCCTGCTCAGACCACCTACCCTCCTGACCATCTCCAGGTGGCACCTGGCTATGTGGTGACCGTGTTGACCTGGCCAGGCACCAACCCTACACTCTCCTCCATCTTGCTCAACTCCCACACGGATGTGGTGCCTGTCTTCAAGGTGTGTAAGGGGCTGGGGAGGTGGGCAGTGCAGGCCTTGGGGACAGACATGATGCAGACCCCAGGATTCAACCTCAAGTTGCTCATGGTCCTGGCCCCAGTCCTGACACTAACTCTCAACATCCTTATGACATTACACCACTCAAGCAGCCTTCATCCAGCAGCAAGTTCTGGGCCAGAGTGGGGTGGGGACTGGGGGGTGGGAAGCAGGAGACAGCAATGGGGGATGGCAATCAGCTGCCTTCTTCAGCCCCCGTCTTTCCTCTCCCACCACTCCACCTGTCACTCCAACCCTATGGTGGGCTCCTAGGGCAGGGCCACTGTTGACCAGAGTGGATTAATGGCTAAATTTGGGGTTTGGGCCCCTCTTCCCATCCCTGCCCCCAGGAACATTGGAGTCACGACCCCTTTGAGGCCTTCAAGGATTCTGAGGGCTACATCTATGCCAGGGGTGCCCAGGACATGAAGTGCGTCAGCATCCAGTGAGTGTCCTCCATTCCTACTCCTCCACAATGTCCCCACTGGTCCAGTGGATTGAAGCAGGACCTGAGGGGGTGATTGGAGAAACTCAAGGCCAAGGAACACCGTGACCTCTTGGACAGGAACTACTGCCATGACCATTGCATGGATAGGGAGATTCAGACCAGAGAGGGGCAGGGACTTTCTGGAGTCCCTATCAGGGTGTGGCAGGGTAAAGTCCAGGACACAGGACTCCAGCCTGCTGGCCCTGCCTGTGGGGCCAGCCTGCGCATCTGGTGGCTCCCCCAGCACCTGGCTTATGCCCCCTCAGGTACCTGGAAGCTGTGAGGAGGCTGAAGGTGGAGGGCCACCGGTTCCCCAGAACCATCCACATGACCTTTGTGCCTGGTAGGAGTGGCTCAGATACCTTTGGGAAAGGGGAGGGTGGGGCGGGGCAGCCTCCTCATCTCACGTCCCTGCTGCTTTTACAGATGAGGAGGTTGGGGGTCACCAAGGCATGGAGCTGTTCGTGCAGCGGCCTGAGTTCCACGCCCTGAGGGCAGGCTTTGCCCTGGATGAGGGTGAGCAGGTTGGCAAGCCAATGAGCAGCCAGGCAGGGAGTAGGAGGCTGCTAGTGGGGACTGAGCTGCTCCACCCTCTGAACCCCCTTTCCCTCCTCAGGCATAGCCAATCCCACTGATGCCTTCACTGTCTTTTATAGTGAGCGGAGTCCCTGGTGTAAGTATGAGCTTGGAGGGAGGGCTCACTCTACAGGCGGGAGGCTAGGCCAGAAAGGGCACGGTCCTATGCAGGGTTGCACAGCAAAGTTGAGGCCTGAGAAGGCCTTGAACCCAGGGCCTCTACCTCCCAGCTCTTTCCTATCTGAGCTTCTCTGAGGGCAAGCCCTGAATGGGCAGAAACCAGCTGTATGCTACGGGCCCTGAGTGGGGACAGGACCCTGCCAGAGGAGCCTGGAATGAGGGGGAGACCTGGGCCCACCCCAGGCTGATTGTGTCTCCAGCCCCTCAGGCTGAAGACACTGCCTTCCCCCTACACCTCCCCAGGGGTGCGGGTTACCAGCACTGGGAGGCCAGGCCATGCCTCACGCTTCATGGAGGACACAGCAGCAGAGAAGCTGGTACGTGGCACCCCAGGAGGGAGTCTGGGAGTTCAGGAGGCTCTATCCTGAGGCCACTGTCCCATTTAACCTCATATTCTCATAGCACAAGGTTGTAAACTCCATCCTGGCATTCCGGGAGAAGGAATGGCAGAGGTGAGGCAGCCTGGGAGGCAGTGGGGTGGCTCTGGGAGGCGGTACCACAGAGGATAGAGTCTGAGCCACCTCTTTTATCTGTTGCTGCCGCTACCCTGCCCCCACACCACAGGCTGCAGTCAAACCCCCACCTGAAAGAGGGGTCCGTGACCTCCGTGAACCTGACTAAGCTAGAGGGTGGCGTGGCCTATAACGTGATACCTGCCACCATGAGCGCCAGCTTTGACTTCCGTGTGGCACCGGATGTGGACTTCAAGGTGCCACCTCCACCTGGGTTTGGAGGAGGGATCCTGGGTCCTCAGTCTTGTCCTAGAGGCCTCTGGAAAGCCTGAAGGATCAGCTCGTCTCCCTTCTCTTAGGCTTTTGAGGAGCAGCTGCAGAGCTGGTGCCAGGCAGCTGGCGAGGGGGTCACCCTAGAGTTTGCTCAGGTATGGACTTGGGACATGTGATGGGAGAGTGTGGGAGCCGGGGGAGACCCAAGTGTGCAACAGTGGAGTGTGTGCTTGGTGTGTCTGCATATGTCTGGGCATTTCTTTATCTGTGACAGACACATTTTATTCCAACAAGCATTCATTGTAGAGGCCACTGTGGGTGCTGGGGAATGCTGTGGGGAGTAAAATTAGGCACAGTTCATGCCCTTGTATGGTGAAACGGGGAGATATAAATCAAACATTTATGTGATATTACTTTTTTCTGAGAGAATCTCACTCCGTCACCCAGGCTGCAGTGCAGTGGCACAATCTCGGCTCACCTCCGCCTCCCGGGTTCAAGCAATTCTTGTGCCTCAGCCTCCAGAGTAGTTGGGATTACAGGCACCTGCCACCACGCCCAGCTAATTTTTGCATTTTTAGTAGAGACAGTGTTTCACCATGTTGGCCAGGCTTGTCTCGAACTCCTGGCCTCAAGTGATCCACCCACCTTGGCCTCGCAAAATGCTGGGATTACAGGCATGAGCCACTGCGCCCAGCCGTACTTTCATATAACCCATGTGGTACAGGAAAGGGTGGCCCCTTGCACTCTGAAAACCTGTAACTGGAGTATCCAACTAGTCTGAGAGGTCTGGGGGAGCCATCTTGAGGAAGGGGCACTTGGGCTAGGATCTGAAGGATGGACAGGAGGTAAGTAGACGGAGGGTGGGAAGGTCCCAGACCTAGGACATTTGAGGGGCTGAAAGAGGACCTGTGGCTGGACTGGCTACCCAGATGTCTGGGTAGGTGAAGGAGTGGGGGTGGGGAGGTGTTATGTACTAGGCACAGCCCACTCTATGGGAAATAGGGCAAGATGCCCAGGCCCATGTCCTGATCCTGCCATTCTTCCTGTCCCTCAGAAGTGGATGCACCCCCAAGTGACACCTACTGATGACTCAAACCCTTGGTGGGCAGCTTTTAGCCGGGTCTGCAAGGATATGTGAGCACGCTGGCCAGCTCTCCTCACAGCCCAGCCCCCTACTCCTCTCCTTCCTGCTGCCCCCTCCCTTCTCCCTCCTTCTCCCACCTCTTTCCCACCTTCCTTTGCCCCTTCAATTCTTCGCTTTCTCCCTCCCCATTCATCAGGCTCTTTCTCCTACAGGAACCTCACTCTGGAGCCTGAGATCATGCCTGCTGCCACTGACAACCGCTATATCCGCGCGGTGAGCCACTTGCATATAGTGCCTGGGCAGTGGACTGGGCCTGAGTGCTGGCTTTTCCCTAACGGCTCTTCCTCACCCCTGCAGGTGGGGGTCCCAGCTCTAGGCTTCTCACCCATGAACCGCACACCTGTGCTGCTGCACGACCACGATGAACGGCTGCATGAGGCTGTGTTCCTCCGTGGGGTGGACATATATACACGCCTGCTGCCTGCCCTTGCCAGTGTGCCTGCCCTGCCCAGTGACAGCTGAGCCCTGGAACTCCTAAACCTTTGCCCCTGGGGCTTCCATCCCAACCAGTGCCAAGGACCTCCTCTTCCCCCTTCCAAATAATAAAGTCTATGGACAGGGCTGTCTCTGAAGTACTAACACAAGGACACTCGTGGAGCAAGAATTTTCCTTTTCCTGGGGACATGTTACCATCTCCATTTCACAGATGAGGAAACTGAGCCTGGCTGTTAGCACTTCCCCACTACCCCACACTGCTCTGTGCCCCTTGACACAGCACACCCATTCAGTACCATCCAGCCATGTCTGTGCCTAGCAAGAAAGGGCCACAGTTCCTATTTGAGTGGCCACCATACTTAGTTCTGACCTATCAGGGATTCCATTCCCATTAAAGAGGGATACTAAGGACCTCAGGAACCACTCCCATCTTCCTGGGTGTACATCTGGGATCCTGAGACAGTACCAGAATAGCACCAGCTGGGCCCCTGCTAGATGAGGGGCAGGCAGAGGGCCAACGGTGACTGCTGGCTCCTGTCAAAACCTGTACACCCTTGTGTTGGCAGCAGGGGCCACAGAGGGGCAGGGTCCCTGGTAGACTAGGTCAGTTCATCTTAGAGGCCTCAGCACCCTGGATCTGTGTGTGCAGAGGCCCAGGAACTGGGCTTTCATCTCAGCCTTGCTAGGACCCCCAGGTAGTACCAAGAGTAAACTATGGCCCCAGTAGCAGAGCCTGATCTAGCCAGATCTGCTCTATCCTGTTCTGACTTCCCTGAGCATGGGGCAGGAGAGACAGGGCTGGGGTGGGATAGTTGGATTTTTTAAGTTTCTAGTTGTAGCCAGAAGTCCAGAGCCTGGCTCTGGGCTGCAGGCTTAGTACTAATAGAAATAACAATCACTCCTGCTCACAGTTGACAAGGAGCCAGGACTTGACTGGCTTTTTTTTTTTTTTTTTTTTTTTTGAGATGGAGTCTTTCTCTGTCGCCCAGGCTGGCGTGCAGTGGCGCGATCTCGGCTCACTGCAAACTCCGCTTCCTGGGTTCACGCCATTCTCCTGCCTCAGTTTCCTGAGTAGTTGGGACTACAGGCCCCCGCCACCACGCCCAGCTTTTTGTATTTTTAGTAGAGACGGGGTTTCACCTCCGCCTCCCAGGTTCAAGGGATTCTCCTGCCTCAGCCTCCCAAGTAGCTGGGACTACATGCGCGTGCCACCACGGCCGGCTAATTTTTGTATTTTTAGTAGAGACGGTTTCACCACGTTGAACAGGATGATTTCGATCTCTTGACCTCAGGGGATCCGCCTGCCTCGGCCTCCCAAAGTGCTGGTGAGAGGTGACAGCGTGCTGGCAGTCCTCACAGCCCTCGCTCGCTCTCCCCGCCTCCTCTGCCTCGGCTCCCACTTTGGTGGCACTTGAGGAGCCCTTCAGCCCACCGCTGCACTGTAGGAACCCCTTTCTGGGCTGGCCAAGGCCAGAGCCGGCTCCCTCAGTTCGCAGGGAGGTGTGGAGGGAGAGGCGCGAGCGGGAACCGGGGCTGCCCGCCGCGCTTGCGGGCCAGCTGGAGTTCCGGGTGGGCGTGGGTTTGGCGGGCCCCGCACTCGCACTCGGAGCAGCCGGCCGGCCCTGCCGTCCCCGCCGTCCCCGGGCAATGAGGGGCTTAGCACCCGGGCCAGTGGCTGCGGAGGGTGTACTGGGTCCCCCAGCAGTGCCAGGCCACCGGCGCTGCTCTCGATTTCTCACCGGGTCTTAGCTGCCTTCCCGCGGGTCAGGGTTTGGGACCTGCAGCCCACCATGCCTGAGCCTCCCACCCCCTCCACTGGCTCCCGTGCGGCCCCAGCCTCCCCCATGAGCGCCGCCCCCCGCTCCACGGCACCCAGTCCCATCCACCACCCAAGGGCTGAGGAGTGCGGGCTCACGGAGCAGGACTGGCAGGCAGCTCCACCTGCAGCCCCGGTGCGGGATCCACTGGGTGAAGCCAGCTGGGCTCCTGAGTCTGGTGGGGACGTGGAGAACCTTTATGTCTAGCTCAGGGATTGTAAATACACCAATCGGCATTCTGTATCTAGCTCAAGGTTTGTAAACACACCAATCAGCACCCTGTGTCTAGCTCAGGGTTTGTGAATACACCAATGGACACTCTGTATCTAGCTACTCTGGTGGGGCCTTGGAGAACCTTTATGTCTAGCTCAGGGATTGTAAATGCACCAATCAACGCCCTGTCAAAACAGACCACTGGGCTCTACCAATCAGCAGGATGTGGGTGGGGCCAGATAAGAGAATAAAAGCAGGCTGCCGGAGCCAGCAGGAGCAACCCACTGGGGTCCCTTTCCCCACCGTGGAAGCTTTGTTCTTTTGCTCTTTGGGTCCACACTGCCTTTATGAGCTGTAACACTCACCACCAAGGTCTGCAGCTTCACTCCTGAAGCCAGCGAGATCACGAACCCACCAGAAGGAAAAAACTCTGAACATCAGAAGGAACAAACTCCAGACACGCCACCTTAAGAGCTGTAACACTCACCATGAGGGTCCGCAGCTTCATTATTGAAGTCGGTGAGACCAAGAACCCAATTCCGGACACACTGGGATTACAGGCGTGAGCCACCGCGCCCGGCCTAGACTGGCTTGCTTTTCATTGAACCCTTACAGCAGTCTTGTGATGGAAGCCGGGTCCCACTAGTGATGCAGGAACAGGCTCCATTGGCCGGGTGCGGTTGCTCATGCCTGTAATCCTAACACTGTGGGAGGCTGAGGCAGGCGGATTGCCTAAGCTCAGGAGTTCAAGACCAGCTTGGGCAACATGGCAAAACCCCCTCTCTACTGAAAATATAAAAAAAGTAGCCAGGCATGGTGCCATGTGCCTGTGGTCAAGAGGCTGATTCTGGAGAATTGCTTGAACCCAGGGGATGGAGGCTGCAGTGAACCGAGATCACGCCACTGCATACCAGCCTGGGCGACAGAGCGAGACTCTCTCAAAAAAAAAGGAAAAAGAAACAGGTTCCACTAATATAGTTTGCCCCAGACAACAGAGCTTGGAGGTGAAGGAGTTGAAACTCAAGAACTGGGAATTTGTGCTTCCTGAGCACAAGGCAGGTTCCATGTACAAGCTGGAGGCTGAGGGTAGCAGTTGGCTGTAACCTTAAGCCCAGCTGAAGCCCTGACCTGGCCTCCCCCCTCAGACCGGAACTTGGTAAAGGGATCACTCCTTTTTCATGGCAGGATGGCTGGGGAAAGGAGAACCTTCACACCCCATGTCCAGGACACCAGCACAGAGACCTCACTTTGGAAGTCATCAACCTGGTGGCCTGTCTGGGCCAAACCACCTTCAGAACACAGAACCTGCTCTTGCTCCCTTTCAAACCCACCTCCACCTGTCATGCCTTGGCAAGGGGCAGTTGGCCACCCAGAGACTTCCAGGATTACAGTCAAGAGCTAGCAGCCCCAGCTCTGGTTGGGCAATTGAAACCTCCTAGGGCCCCACATGGACTGCCTAGATCAAATGCTACCCCCACCCCTTCGTAGGTTCATTATCTTCAATATTTTCTCACCCGTGAAACAAAGATAATCATAATACCTACTTCAGAAGTAGGGGATCACATGCCATGGGCTGCACCTGCAGCTGTAGCATAACAGCACCCCTTTAGGAGTTTCTAAAGTGTCCGAGGTTGGACCAAGGCTGGTTTTGAGGATTAAGTGCGGCCAGGAAGTGCCCACGTGGTGCCTTCTATAGGCAGCCTCCACAAAGGCTTACTATTACTTCAGTACTTTCTTCACTGACTGCTGAGGATAAAGACCTCCATGTGAAGCAGCTGACCCAGGGGCACAGAAGGGTCAGAACCAGTCACGGGAGTAAGGCAGTGCCACTACCACCTGCCTTCCTGGGTCCCTAGCTGTTGGGGGACTAACATAGCCCAGAGCAGTGGATGCTGACCAGGTGCACCAAAAGAGCCCAAATCTGGGACACCTCAGGCCAGAGTGCAGAGCTGCTCAGCGGGGCCCCTTCCCCTCCCTTGCAGTAAGCTTTAAGACCTCATGAGGATGTTTAAGATTTCTCCCTTTGGGCCAGGAGCACTGGCTCACGCCTGTAATCCCAGCACTTTGGGAGGCCGAGGCAGGCAGATCACAAGGTCAGGAGATCAAGACCATCCTGGCTAACACAGTGAAACCCCATCTCTACTAAAAATACAAAAACAAAATTAGCCGGGTGTAGTGGCAGGCACCTGTAGTCCCAGCTACTTGGGAGGCTGAGGCAGGAGAATGGTGTGAACCTGGGAGGCGGAGCTTGCAGTGAGCCGAGATGGCACCACTGCACTCCAGCCTGGGTGACAGAGCACGATTCTGTCTCAAAAAAAAAAAAAAAAATTTCTCCCTTTGCTCGGCAGGTTACACAGTCCAGCAAGCTATGTGCCCGAGCTTCCCAAAAGCCCCCAATCATTTCTCATTCATTAGGTCCTCCTCTTGCACTTCAGGGCCCCATCTCCTGACTCCCACCCACACCCCACCATCCAGACCCATGTCTTCTCCCACACCAACAGATGGAGCAACCAAACCCATCCCCAGGATCATAGACAGAGGCTAACAAATCCTGCCTCAGGTTTATTTGTACAAATAGCACAGGAGGACCCCAGCCCCATGCAGATGGTAGCCCAGGGGCGGGGGTGGGGGGTCGCACCAGTCCTTCTGTCCTCATGTTGGCAGAGATATCTACTCTGAAGCCTTTGTAGGGGCCTGGGTACGTTTGGGAGCCTGAGCTGGAACTGAAGCTGGGGCTGCAGCCTGGGCCTTGGTTTGATCCTTGGCCTTGGCCTTGGCCTTGGCCTTTGGCCGGCACAGCCTGAGCCCCTTGGCAATACGGGCACGAGCACGCTTCCCAAGCTTGGGGTGGGCAATGTAGGCAAGTCGATCGAGCTTGCGGCTGACACCCTTTGGGATCTTGGGCTTAACCTCCTTGGGCTTTACGAGGGCCTTGATAGCCTCGGCACGTGCACTCATGGCCTTGGCATTGTTGGCCTGCATCTTCTTTAGGCCCTTTTTGTTGTGCTTCTTGGCAAAGCGCATGTTCCTCAGGAACTTGGGGTCCACCTGAAAAGCAGGAAAGGTACAGGTGGCAGCATGTGGGTCCCCAAGTCTCTCCCTGCTGCCCCTCTCCATAGGGGTACCCAGCATTCTAAAGACAGCATCAAGTCAACCTCAAATGTGGAAATACCCAACCTCTTGAAACTATTTCCAGAGAAAGTGTACCACCACCCCAGGGAGCCAATACGCCACCTGGGTAATGCTGTGCAGACCTCCTTCAAGAACAAAATTACAAGCTGCTTTGCTGCCCTGTCTGCCAAGGTTGTGGGGCTTCAACTTCCTACAGCAGGGGTTCGACCAAGTTTTTTCCTGACATCCCCTCAGGGACACCCCCTCCCCTCTTTAGAAGAAGGTGTCAATTAAATACCAAGTCTGGTCCAAAAGACTTATAGCCAAGGTGGGATATGGGGAAACTGAGGCTCAGAGTTTGTGATTCACTCCACGGAACAGAGAGCAAAAGTAAAGGGAAGGAACAGACTGGGGACATGCTCAGCTCTCCCCTAGACCCTCCAGCCTTCTCAGCTAATCCTTAGAACCCCCTGACACAGGAAGAGAAGCTGACCCCAACTCCAGCACTGGGTCAGATGGAGGTCATAAGGCTGGTCAGTGTGGGAATGTGCCCTGCACGCACTCAGACAAGGCCACTCCTTACCCTAAGTGCCACTGCCAAGCAAGGGAGATAGCCAAACTGCCCTCAGGAGGCAGGTTACACCCTGACCAGAGGGTTACACTTCAGGCTGTGGAGACCAAGGAAAGCTTTATTATGGGTCTGGTAGGGTAGAAAAAGGAATTGCAGGCTTTGGGTGGGCCAGTTAGGCTGTGCTCAGGCAGAAGCCAAAGCTAGAGAAAAACTACATGAGAGGCCTTGACTGTGCACCTGGAACCAAGAAAAGACACTTCCATGTGATTCAGTGCACTCACCCCCTTAAGAGATTCGTATCTTTGTGATCGGGGTTTCTTGATACCATTTCTGTGCCATTTTCGGGCTGTGGGAGAAAAAAAGGGAATTAAGCCAACAAAGAACTTTCCTCTAATAAGACCACCCAACATCACAGCTGGCAAGTCTGGGAGAACCAACACTTCCTACAGCAGCTACACTTGAGATATGGGAAACCCTTACTACTAAATGCAAAACACTCTGTATCTCAAGTAGATCTCTAAACCTATAAACCCTAAAGTTATTACTGGGTGAAATCAATCAGCCTCAGGCCCACAATGGAAACGTGCCCCTTCATCTCTGTCCCAGTTTGCCTGAACCAGTCCTTGCCAGGGTCTGGGATGTAGGCAGGGCCCAAAAAACTTACACTGGTTGTGTGTGGTGTGGTTCTTGGACTTGGCCATGTCTGCACCTGGAAGACAAAAGTGGAGATCAGGGTTAAGGGCTCGCCAGGCTGGGCCACCTCTGCCCCCCCCATTCTGGTCAGAATGAGCCTGCAGGCAGAGAATGTGCAGCCTCCACGAGTCTCGGCTTACTCTGCACGACCAAACGCCAGTCCTGGCCTCCCAAACCCAGGTAATGATGCCCTGAAATCAACTCCTTACCCCCGGAAAGCTGCATTCCCCAATAAAGTGGCTTTCCCTGCCATCCCCCTCCTAGGACCTAGAAGCACCATTCCCACCCCGCAGCTTTTGCTCCCGACAGACACACGGTCGGTCACCAGTCCTCTCCGCAGCCCGCGCCCCGCCGCCACCCGTAAGTCGCGGATGGCATCGGATGCCGCGCGGCCAACACTCACCATAAGCCGCGGCTCCCGAAGCGCCTAGAACCGGAAGAGAAAGGGGCTGCGGTGCAGCACGGGAAATAGGGTCAACAACGCCGGAAAGTACTACTGGAAAAGCTTCCCCAGGCTCCGCGAAGAAAAGTTCCGAAGCCCGGAAGAACGCAAGCCAGACGTGGAGGCGGTGCTACGAGCTTGCCTCCGCCCCCTTCAGGCTGCCTCCTCCCTTCTCTGTTTCTCCAGGACCTGTCTCTTAAGTCTTATTCAAGATACTGAAAAAGAAAGGAGTCCTTGAGGGATGTTGTTGGGCAAGAAGATCTGTGTTCTTTTTCTTTTTTTTTTTTTTTGAGACGGAGTTTCGCTCTTCCACCGAGGCTGGAGGGCAGTGGCACAATCTCGGCCCACTGCAACCTCCGCCTTCCGGTTTCAAGCGATTCTCTTGCCTCAGCCTCCCGAGTAGCTGGGATTACAGGCGCCCACCACCACGCCCGGCTAATTTTTACATTTTTAGTAGAGACGGGGTTTCACCATGTTGGCCAGGCTGGTCTCGAACTCCTGACCTCGCGATCCGCTCGCCTCTGTCCCCCAAAGTGCTGGGATTACAGGCGTGAGCCACCGCACCTGGCCGATCTGTGTTCTTAAAAGCACCCCTGTAATCCCAGCACTTTGGGAGGCTGAGGTGGGCGGATCACGAGGTCAGGAGTTCCAGACCAGCCTGGACAACATGGTGAAACCCCATCTCTACTAAAAATCCAAAAAAAAAAAAAAAAAAAAAAAAAAAATTCACGGGGCGTGGTGGCACGTGCCTGTAATCCCAGCTACTCTGGAGGCTGAGGCAGGAGAATTGCTTGAATCTGGGAGGTGGAGGTTGCAGTGAGCCAAGATCGCACCATTGCACTCCAGCCTGGGCTACAGGGCGAGACTCTGTCTCAAAAAAAAAAAAGAAAAGCACGCCTGACTCTTTCGTGGAGAAGGAGCAGAGGGGAGGAAGGAGAGAGGGCTGCCTGGACCTGAGGGAGGACAGTGGGAATGCAGAGGAGTGGACAAAGAAAGAGTACTGGACTTGGGACACAGAAGATGAGGGAGAAAAAGGAGGCAAGGATAGCCCCTATGTCTTTGGCTTGACAACTGGGTGAATGGTGGGCTGTTTACAGAGATGGAAGATTGAGTGGGGAGCAGGGGCTTTGTTTGTTTTGTTTTGAGGGGGAATGATGAGCCAGATATTTTTGTTGGATGCATTAAATGTGAGATGCCTGTTGGACATCAGAATTGAGAAATTGTTGCCTCTAACAACTCTGTTGCCTTCTCCACCTCTTCCCCCTATAGTTCATTTTCCACACGGCAGTGGGGCTTGGGGACTTGTTTTAAGATACAAATCAGATCCTGTCCCTTAAATCTGCAAGGACATCCCCTTGCATTGAAGATCAATTCTTTACCCACTTGACCCTGACAACCTCTGTCATTTACTTCTCTCCAAACGCATTGCCTTTCTTTCCTGCCAACCACAAATGTGTGTTCTGCCTCAGGACCTTTGCACTTGCTATCCCAGCCACCTGGACTGCCCTTCTCCCTGCTTTTTGGATGGTGTGCTCTTTCCTATAGAGGCCTCCCTGGACTCCATTATCTAAAATAGAGAACCACTGCCTCATCTCACCAGTGATTCTGTGTCCTCTCATGGTTTCCTTTCTTTTCTATTCTTTTTTTTTTTTTCTTTTTTTTAGACAGTCTCACTCTGTCTCCCAGGCTGGAGTGCAGTGGTGCGATCTCAGCTCACTGCAACCTCTGCCTCCCGGGTTCAAGCGATTCTCCTGCCTCAGCCTCCTGAGTAGCTGGGATTACGGGCGCACACCACCACTCCCAGCTAATTTTTAAAGAATTATTTTTAGTAGAGACGGGTTTTCACCATGTTGGCCAGGCTGGTGTTGAACTCCTGACCTCAGGTGGTCTGCCCGCCTCGGCCTCCCAAAGTGCTGGGATTACAGGCGTAAGCCACCGTGCCCGGCCATGGTTTGCTTTCTTTATAGAACTTTCCCAGACTCTAATTGCATTGTTTACTTAGTTGTGTATGTGTCCATTATCATAGGAGCCCAGAGTTTGGGACTGGTTTGATCACCTTCATTTTCCCACTGCCTAACTCAGCATAATGTAGATAGAGCAAGAGCTTAATAAACACATGCCCAGTGAACGTTCCTTGACAAGCCAGGTTCGTGGAGTGACAGACGCATACTGCAGAGGTTTAGGGAGTGAAGCGGAAAGGAGGTTGTGGAGGCAGGACATGTGGATGACTCATTACCAAAGCATTCCTGAGAAAGGGGAGAGAATTCTGACAGGTGTGAGTTGGGAGAATGAAAAGCAGGCTTATATACTGATGGATGATCTGGTGCCAAGAAAGAAACAGCTGAGCCCAGAGGAGAGTGTCTCTGCAGGAATAAAGTCCCTGTGGGGTGCTGAGCACAGGTAGAGAACCTGGTGGGCAAAGACAGGGGCTACAGGAGGTGGGGGTGGTGTGATGCCTGACAGCAAGTCAGGACTTCAGCTCAGGAAGTTGAAGAGGTGGCTGTGGAGACTGGGACAGGGAGGAGGAGGTCTGACTGCCACATCCTTGAGAAAGAGAAGCCAGCAGGGTAGAGGCTGACAGCGGGGGCAGTGATGACTTTATTTATTTACTTTTATTTATTTTATTTATTTATTTATTTATTTTGAGACAGAGTTTTGCTCTCATTGCCCAGGCTGGAGTGCAATGGCGCGATGTTGGCTCACTGCAACCTCCACCTCCTGGGTTCAAACGATTCTATTGCCTCAGCCTCCCGAGTAGCTGGGATTACAGGCACCTGCCACCATGCCCAGCTAATTTTTGTGTTTTTAGTAGAGACGGGGTTCTACCATGTTGGCAATGCTGGTCTCGAACTCCTGACCTCAGGTGATCCACACTCCTTGGCCTCCCAAAGTGCTGGGATTACAGGCGTGAGCCTGTAATCCATGTCCAGCCTGTGATGACTTTAAAAGAACCAGGCTGCCCTGCTATGTGGCCTTCCAGCTGGGTAGCGACTCCCGCAGCTCCTAAAAAGTGAGTAGTGACTTGGTTTAGCTAGACTGTTACGACAGAGGCAGAAAAAGCAGTGAGCAGAAAGCCACGGTCTGACGGGGGAGGCAGATTCAGAGATGGACGATGGTCATGCAGTACCACTGGGGCTGTGTTAGGGATTGGCCCAGAGTTAAATCCCAGCTGTTAGGCAAGGGGGAGTCAGTGACAAGAATGAGGAACTTTGGCTGTGACCTGAGGGGACCTGTCCAGGAGCCAAAGGGGACCATGACCTGGAGCCACTGACCTGTCATGCTTTTCTTTTCTTTTTCTTTTTTTTTGAGACAGAGTTTTGCTGTTGTTGCCCAGGCTGGAGTGCAATGACACGATCTCAGTTCACTGCAACCTCCGCCTCCCCAGTTCAAGCGATTCTCCTGGCTCAGCCTCCTGAGTAGCTGGGATTACAGGCGCCTGCCATCACACCCAGCTAATTTTTGTATTTTTAGTAGAGATGAGTTTTCACCATGTTGGTCAGGCTGGTCTTGAACTCCTAACCTCAAGTGATCCACCCACCTTGGCCTCCCAAAATGCTGGGATTACAGGCGTGACCAACCACGCCTAGTCCCTGTCATGCTTTTCAAAGTGGGATGGATGGTAGGGTCATCCATGTCTATAAAGATAGTATTCTTTCTAGGGATAGTTTTCTTTATTTCTCCCTTCCTTCCTTTCTTCCTCCCTCCCTCCCTCCCTCCTTTCTTTCTTTTCTTCCTCCCTCCCTTTTTCACTCCTCTCTTTCATAAATGGAAACTTACACTATATGAACTCTTCTGTAACCTGATTTTATGCATTTAGTCATAATTTGTGGACATCTTTCTCTGCTCATGAAAATCTTTTGTAATCTTAATCTATTTTACATATTTTGAAACATTATTTTGAGAAGAGGTCAATAAATATCACCATATGTCAATGGAGTCTCTGGCACACACATACAAAAAGGCAAAGAACTTAACCTTTCCTCTAGGGTTGACACACTCTCACCCTCCATGAGTGAGTGGTTCTTGCTCCATCTCAAATCTGCCTGGAGGCCGGGCTCCACTTGCCTCCTCCATGGAGTAGACTTGGGCAGAGCCACTATCTGGACTCAGCAGAGCATAAGCCAGGTCTCTCTCAAATGCCTTGGGCACAAGGCAGAGAAAGATGTGAGCCTGGGTGACAAGATAGGGCTGGATGGGGCTGGATGTGATCAGCCCAACCCATGTGGCCTGCAAGGGTGTTGTCTTGACCAGGCCTTGTCCAGACCCATTACCCAATTCAAAGCCCGAGTAGGATCCCATAGTGTCTCCTCAGCAAAGTGATGGGGTTGGAGACCCCTGGGGTTGTTTTTGCAGTTCCTGTCACAGTCCCAGGAGTATATGGGGACCTGATACATGTTTGAGGAGTTAAATGTGCACATTTCACAAATCCAGGAAGATGACAGAATCAGGGTGGAGAAGCCAGCTGGCCTGGAGGGATTTCTCAGAGATAAGAGTCAGCTCTTCTCCTGGACCCAGAGCCTTGCTTGCCAAGCCTCAGTTCCCAGCGTAACGTGGGGATAAAAATAGTAATAACCTCTTGGGGCTAAACTGGATAATTTGAGTAAAGCACAGAACACTATGTTAAGTACACAGTAGGTGCTCAATCATTGTTAGTCCCATCCATGCATCTTCCCCACAAGGCCTCAGGTGAGGGAGACGGGGCTTGGGGAAAGAAAATCAGTGGCAAGTGGATGCTAAAAATAAGGACAAGATCCAAGGAACAACAAGAGAAAGCCAAGGTGGAGGAAAGTGGCGGTGCTCGCGGGGGCTGGGTCCCTTCAGCCTCTGAGGTTCCTGAGATACAGGGACTACCAGTGTTTTCAGGTAAGAGGGACTGTGAAGGTTGTCAGAACCAGGGTGTTTTATCTGGTTGTTTTACCCCCACAAGACAGAAGTGTGGAGGTGGGGTGGGCTTTGGGACTTTGGATCTGCTTAGAACTTTCTGAGGGAGGGGCTACCTGATTCTGTGTGTCCCTAGAAGACAGAGCTGTGACTGAGGACAGCAAATGCCAGCTTCGTGGACAAGGGGCATTTTTGCAATCAGAATTCCCTCCAAAATATGGGCTGCTCCCAGCAGTAGTGAGCTTCCTGATACAAGGGTTTTGCCAGCAGCGATTGAATGCCCTGGGGTTGGGGGTTTAAAAATGGGATGGAGGGGGCCAGCCATGGTGGCTTACGCCCATAATCCCAGCACTTTGGGAGGCTGAGCTGTGTGGATCACTTGAGGTCAGGAGTTCAAGACCAGCCTGGCCAACATGATGAAACCCCATCTCCACTAAGAATACAAAAAATTAAGATGGGTGTGGGGGTGGGCACCTGTAATCCCTGCTACTTGGGAGGCTGAGGCAGGAGAATCGCTTGAACCCAGGAGGCGGAGGTTGCAGTGAGTTGAGATCGCGCCATTGTCCTCCAGCCTGGGAAACAAGAGTGAAACTCTGTCTCAAAAAAAAAAAAAAAAAGTGGAATGCAGGGTTGGAAAATAGAGTTAAGTTCACTCCCCACCAGGAGCCTGGGATTCAAAGCTCCTGGTAGAAGGAAAGGGCCATGGGCTGCATGCAACGCCAGGCTGGTGCTCAGTATCTGTCAAAAGAGAGTCATTTCCAGCAGAAACTGGAAGGTGCGGCCCATTCCTCAGGTCATCGCGCGCGCGCCCCTTTCAGCCCCAGGCCTGATCTCCCTCTGGGGGCGCACCTGGCCCACCTAGCCCAGGAGTGAGCCGGGATGTGAGCCTATCGTCCGCAAGGGGGCAGAGTGGGACCGCGGATGAAGTCTGGTGCTGCAGGTGGGCTGTAGACAGGCACCCGCTCCCCTCCGGCGGGACACTCTTGCAGCCTCCCAGGCCTTTCACAGCTGCGCTTCTCAGCACGCCCCACCACCCCCACCTCCAGATTCAGTGCCTGTCTATTTTGAACAGGTTCTCTAGGCTGGGTCAGGTCTCCCTCAGCTCCAAGTTCCTGGTGGTGGTGGTGAGTTGTCTTCCCCCAGAGAGGGTTCAAGGCAGAGGAAGTAGAGCCTGTGGGCATCCCTGGGCACAGCCCCTCCTGGCCCACTTTAGACTTACCCAAGGGCGATGCCTCTTGTGGGTTAAAGGAACAGGCTTTGGCATCAGACAGACTTGGTTTTCGATTCTGACTGCCACTCACCAGCAGAGCATCTTCACCTCTTGGAGCCTGCCTGCCACAGTGGAGGCGAGT
This sequence comes from Homo sapiens, assembly GCF_000001405.40. Taxonomy (NCBI): domain Eukaryota; kingdom Metazoa; phylum Chordata; class Mammalia; order Primates; family Hominidae; genus Homo; species Homo sapiens. The sequence goes on from NC_000003.12 coordinate 52,002,129, forward strand.
AGCACCAGGGCTGAGGAGGCAGGAAGCCTCCCAGAGCCTCGCTGTGCATTTGGGAGGCCCGCGGGTTTGATTGTGAGACCGCACAGCAGCCTTTGGAGGGGGTATGGTTTTTATCACCCCACTTCACAGGTGGGGAGATGGAGTCCTTGGGCATGACTGGCTAGAGGTCCCACAGCCAAATGGAGAGCTACTGCAGTCCAGGCACCTACCAGAATCTGGGGGGGCACGGGGTGGTTTGTACCCAATGAGGCCATGGAGGGGGCCTTGTGACAGTGACTGCCATGTGACGAGAGAAGCCCGTGGCCTTTATGGCCAACGGATGCCCAGAGTGAGGGCATCCTCTGTGCCAGCCCCTGCTTCTGCCAGACACACCTGCCACATCCAGAGCAGGCCTACAAAGGAGGTGGTAGTGTCCTTGGGTGGAGGGCAGGCTGCTGCCTGAGCAGGCCTGGGCTGGGGTCAGTTGGCCTCAGGCAGCCAAGGACTGGCCAAGTATAAATGGAAGAAAAGTCCAGCAGCACAGAAAACCGACCTGCTAGGAAGGATGGGAGGGAAGGGATAGGGTAGGTGGGTGACATGAGGGTGTTGGACAGGGCTGGATGGAAGCCCGAAGTATCTCTCCCCACTCCTGTTCCCAGCCACAAAAGGAGGCTACGGAGATTCCCTTTTAACAAAGAGCATCTGAAAAGGAAGAATGAAGCTGAGGGTTGGGAGGGACACCCCTCTCCTTTCCCTCCCCAGCAGGCTCCAATGGCCCCAGCAATGTCGTTGCCTTGGCAACCACAGCCCCCTTCTAGCTCCCTTTCTCCTTTAACCCCATCCTGCCTGGATGCACCTCTCGCCTGTACCCTCCCTCCCTCTCTTCCCAGCTCAGACTAAAGAGAGACTTGGCGGGCTGGGGAGAAAGGACTTCTCTGCTCACCAAGCAGTCCTGGGGTTAATGCCCTGGCTGCATCCCAGGACCGCCCCTTCCTAGGGATCAGATGGACAACTCTTTAAGATGGAGACAGGACAGGACGAAATGACCTTTGAAAGAATTATTCTGAATGAACAAGGGAGCTGTCTTCTCCCAAAGATTTCAAGCCCCAAGTCTCCCAGTCCTCACTCCCTCCCAGGAGACAGAGGCTGTGACCCAGGAGCCCCTGGCGGAGTTTAGGAAACAAGCGCTGGAGCAGGGGGGTTTGAAGATCATCTAGTTCCCCTCTCTAAGCCAATGGGTGGGGAAACTGAGGTCTAAGAGGAGGAGGAATTTACTCAAGGGCACACAGTGAGTATTGGAGAGTCAGGGAGGGAACCAGAGAGGCCTGAGCCGGGATGAGGGTGGAGGCTGCATTTGCTACCGTTGGCCCGAGGAGTGGCTAGGTACAGAGGGCCACAGGAGACCTGCACCCCATGGGAAGGCAGTTGCTGATGTTTCTCTCCTGAGTCCAGAGAAAGCCCCTGGCTGCCCTCACCCACTTTTGTTCCCTGAGAGGTGCCTGCCTCCCTACCATTGGTGTTCCTGGGTTTCCTAAACTTAGTGCTTCAGTAACCCCCTCCCAGGCCCCAGCGCAACATAGGCTAAGGAAGGAGAATGAGTTCTGGCCCTGTTTAGGGCGGCACACGGGACTCTAGCAAGATCAGAGAGGAGCTAGAATTCTGAGAGGGCTGGGGATTCTAAAGGTCCCATTGAGAGTGTCCCCTGAGCACGAAGGGCTTGTGGCTGCAGGCAGCAGGTTCTGGCCCAAGGGCAGCCCTTTCTTGACTGTGTCCCTGGCAAGTCACTCAACTTCTCAGAGGCTGCTAAATGGCCCAATCCCACCTCCACGTAAACAAGGTCGGCCACACAGGCTACACAAGATTCCCATGAGGCGGCAGACACAGAGCTATGGACAGGTCCTGGGAGGGGGTCCCAGCCCCAAACCTCTTGTATCTGCTGTGCCAGGGCTACTGCCATGATCACTTGGAGCACCTACGGTATGCAGAGCCGGGGAGGCTGGGAGGGGAGGAAGCTGTGGGCACAGCACCCCTAGATGTAGACCAGAGAGGGCTCCATTCAAGCCAGGCCAGCAGGCTCCAGAAACCTTCTGGGGTTGGAGGAGCGCCCTGGGAGCCTCCCTGGAAGATGAGGCAGGCCCTGTGCGATCAGGTGGAGGTGGAGAGAACACAGTGGGCTGGAGAGGGTGAAGGTTGGCATTTGCTCTCATAGCTCTCCCAGCTGATCCGGACCTCCCTGAGCTGTCGCTGCGACCCTGAAGACCCCAAGGCCTGGCCGGAAGAGGGTGCTCTTGCCTTTCCCGCACACAGCCCAAGTCCTGGGCGCCAGCAGAGAAAGGGGCCTGCTGCTGGGGGCTGGAGTCAGGAGCTTTGCCTTTATTGTGGCTGGTTCTCACCACACCCTCAGAGTGTCCTCGCCTGTTAATCCCACGTTGCAGAGGAGGAAACAGGCTCAGAAAAGTAAAGCGACTTGCCCGTGATCACCCAGCTTTTTCTCCCCATCAAAGCCGCTCCTTGAAACTCTCCTGGGCGTGGACACTGCCTGAGACTCTTACACTCAGGTGGGAAGTGTGTCACCCAAGTGTAGGAAGTGTCATCCCAAGATGACAGCTTGAGAAAAGGAAGGGGACGCCTACCGGAAGGAGTGACCCTCTGGTGGACAGTGCTGAGGTGTCCATGGAAGGTGGGGACAGGTGCTAGGAGACTCGGGCCCACCTCATCCAGCAGGCGTCCCCCTGCAATATTGCATTTGTTAGTCCCTCTTTCTACATCGGCCCCATACCCACTCATTAGTTCTTCAAATTCTCAGGCACCCCCTCAGCAGGCAGCCACTGGCGAGGGCTGGGGAGCACGGTCCAGACCTGCCTGGATGCCAGGCAGCTGGGTGACCTTGAGCAGAGACTCAACCCCAAGGCTCAGCTTCCTCATCTGGGAGAGGGGGAGCAGGGCATCACTTACTTGGCAGGCTGTGGTGGGGATCCAGGGACCTGTTCATTCCGAGCACCTACCAGGGCCTGGCCTGTGGACATTGCTCAGTCACTGGCTCACCCAGGCACTCCTCAGCCCTGGTTAATCCCCCAGCCACCTGCCTACTCCTGTGCCCACCTGCGGCTTTGGTCCCCATTTCCCAGTAATCCTCAGGGCCAGGTGCTGGCAGTCAGGGGGTCAGGGTTGTCCCTGCCCACCCAGCAGGTCTCCTAGGACAAGGCTCAGATTGGACAGATGACCAGGCAGGCAAAATGGGGGTCCTTCTCTGCCCTCCCCAATCTCCCCTGGTGGGCAGAGGCTGGTGGGGACAGAGGCAAAGAATCCCGCCCAGAGTGGGGATAAGAGAAGGGGATGGCTCTGCGGTGGCCCTCCTCCCCGTGGGCAGGGCTGCTGGGGACAGGGTCAGATGAGGTTGGGCTGACAAGCAGCTGCTGAGCGGTGGCAGTGAGGGACATGTGGGGACCCCCACCACTCCTAACAACGCGGCACCAGTGCCTAGGAGCCAGCGGGTGAGAGGCCCACGGTCCTGGCTCTGCCTGTCTCAGCGCCTGCTGCCTGCCTGGCACAGGGCCCTTGCAGCACTGGTTTTAATCGATCACTCTTTCCGCAAGCAGCTCCTGGAGGTGCGGGGGTGGCTTCCCCTTGACTCCAATCTCCTGGAGGATGCAGCTTGGCTAAAAATAACTTGAATTACTGAGCTCCCACCCTGGCGCAGAGGAGGGGCCTGGGGGCTGCGGGGGCGGCGCCTGGAGGGAATGTTGCCGCAGCCAGGAGGGGGTTCCCTGACAGGAAGTGGAGAAGAGTGAGTGTCGGCAGGTGGGAAGGAGTGCAGCTTGTTGAAGGGAGGCTGGCCCTTTCTCGCCCATTCCTCCAGGCTCAGGCCTGCTCCCTGGGGACAGTGCTTCTTGAGAAAACCTGGGGAAGGGCTGGCCCTGACCCCTGCACTTGCATCACTGAGGGTAAGTGGCCTGGCTGCAGCGGGGGTGCTCCTCCCAGCACAGACACCGGATTTGGAGGAGACTCCCCCTGTAGATGCTCTGGGCAGGAGCCTCCTCCCTGCCCTCCCACAGGGCACCAGAATGCAAGCCGTGTTGGGCATCAGGCAAGAGGAGTCAGGTCTGGTCTCATGTCCTGTTCCTTCTGTGTGACACTGAACTCAACTTCCTTATCTGATAACTGGATGCAACTGCAAAATCAAGCATTTGCCTCCACCCCCATTCTGCAGGCAGCCTCTCATCTGTCTGGAGCAGCAGCATCAGGCTCCCTGTCACTCACTCCCAACCGCCTTGGTGCCTGCAGAGGGGGCAAGTCCCGTGACCACCCTTCAGAGCAGAGTGGGTGTTATGCCCAGGTTGGGCAGGCAGGACCTGGGTCTCTCGAGGTGCAGCAGGGCAGGTCAGGGAGAGTGGGGACTCCAGGGCCTCAGGGAGAGTGGAAGGTGACTTCAGGGCCCAGGCAGAAGCCTGGGGTCAGGTGGCATGGTAATAGTCCCAGCTACTTGGGAGGCTGAGGCACAAGAATCACTTGAACCTGGGAGGTGGAGGTCACTGCTGCCCCCCTGCCATCCCCATCTTCATACCCCAGGGCCAGGCCAGAGCAGGATGCTGTACAAGCAGTTCAAGGGCAGGTCCAGGGCTGCATGGCGGAAGGGGGACAGGATGGCAGTCCCTTGCATGTGCACGGAGGCAGTGGGGACATACTGGTGTTGGACCAATCTGTCCTGCAGCAGGGAACAGGCTGGGAGCTCCCAGCCCCCGCCATTGCCTCAGTTCCCTCATCTGTAAAAGAGGTCTGGATTAGATGCTCTCTGAAGTTCCTGACAGCATCTGGGGAAGATGGAGCATAGATAGCAGCTGCCCTTGGGAAAACAGCAACAGCTACGACTTCAGCTTCCCTGCCCTTCACTGAGCACCTCTGGCGCTGAGATGCTCTGTGAGGACAGCACTGAGGTTATCCCCCATCACACGTGAGGAGACCGAGGCTCAGAAAGGGGGACTTGTCTGAGGTCACATGGCTTGGACGTGATGGGCTGATTTTGAACCCGGCACTGTCCAACTGCAGTCTGTTTTCCCATTCCATCCTATTCTAAACATAGGGCCTGGGGGATGAGACGTGCTTTTGGGGGTGACTCAAGGTGGGGTGCAGGGGCATGGATCCAGATAGAAGTTCCCTACAGCTGTGCCCCCTCCCACACCCCCTCCCACCCCCACCCAGGTTTGGCTCAGGTCACAGGGAGCCTCATTCTGGGGCACCAATGGGACTGGGAAGTGGCTGTGCTTGCGGGAGGTTGGGAGGAGAGGAGGGAGTGTGAACCTGCTTGAATGGGAACAGGACCAGTGATAATAATAATGACAATAACTCCCTCCCCCGACCCCAGAGACATTTTTAGCAACACTGTTCCTAAGGAGAAACTCAAATATCCGGTGACAGGCAAATTGAGAAATCAGCTGCAGCTCCGACAGCAGCATGGGTGAATCCTGAACCATCATGTGGGTGAAAAAGCAAACTGCAGGAGACTACATTCAGTTCAAAGCCATTTTTATAAAGCCCCCCTGAAGTATAACTAAATGATATAGTTTTAGGAGTTCAGGTGTGTATGATGACAGAACTATCTGCAGGCTAGGAAGTGCTAAACCAAAATTTGCCATACTCGAGGAGAGGCAGGAGCTGGATAGGGAGACCCACACGGGGGACCCCACCCACGGACACCTGCCACAGGCCCACAGGGTGCCGGGCACTCTTCATGGTGTGGGGAGATACAGGCATGAGCAAGGCAGACATGAAGCCCGGGCCTTGTGGAGCTTATGGTCTAGCAAGGCAAGTTCCGTGCCCATTCTGTGTTGTATGGTAGATCGCAGGTGTCAATTATACTATTTTGCACTGTCTGCATTGTCCGTTACAGATATTCTTTTTTTTCTTTTTTCTTTTGAGATAGAGTCTTGAGACAGAGTCTCATTCTGCCACCCAGGCTGGAGTGCAGTGGTGCCATCTTGGCTCACTGCAACCTCCGCCTCCCAGGTTCAAGTGATTCTCCTGCTTCAGCCTCCCGCATAGCTGGGATTACAGGCATGCACCAGCATACCTGGCTAATTTTTGTATTTTTCTAGAGACAGGGTTTCACCATGTTGGCCAGGCTGGTCCTGAACTCCTGACCTCAGGTGATCCACCTGCCTCGGCCTCCCAAAGTGCTGGGATTACAGGTGTGAGCCACCACGTCCAGCCACAGATATTATTTTATTTTATTTTATTTTATTATTTATTTATTTATTTTTTGAGATGGAATCTCGCTCTGTCACCCAGGCTGGAGTGCAGTGGCGCGATCTCGGCTCACTGATAGCTCCGCCTCCCGGGTTCATGCCATTCTCCTGCCTCAGCCTCCCGAGTAGCTGGGACTACAGGCGCCCGCCACCACACCCTGCTAATTTTTTGTATTTTTAGTAGAGACAGGGTTTCACCATGTTAGCCAGGATGGTCTCGATCTCCTGACCTCGTGATCCACCCGCCTTGGCCTCCCAAAGTGCTGGGATTACACTCATGAGCCACCGTGCCTGGCCTGATATTCTTTTATATTAATCAAATACTGTATTTAGTCCAGGAGCAGTGGCTCACGCCTGTAATCTCAACACTTTGGGAGCCTGAGTTGGGTGGATTGTTTGAGCCTAGGAGTTCAAGACCAGCCTAGGCAACATGGCAAAACCCAATCTCTACTAAAAATACAAAAATTAGCCAGGTGTGGTGGTACTACATGTCTGTAGTCCCAGCTACTTGGGAGGCACAAGAATCACTTGAACCTGGGAGGTGGAAGTCACAGTGAGCCAAGATCGCAGCACTGCCCTCCAGCCTGGGCAACAGGTAAGACTCGGTCTCAAAAAAAAAAAAAAAAAAAAATATATATATATATATATATATATATATATATAAAAAATACTACTGTTTTATCTGTTTAAATACTATATATATAATCTGTTTAAATGCTATATATAGGCCGGGCGCTGTGGCTCACACCTGTAATCCCAGCACTTTGGGAGGCCTAGGAGGGCGGATCCCGAGGTCAGGAGATCAAGACCATCCTGGCTAACAGGGTGAAACCCCATGTCTACTAAAATAAAAAAAAAAATTAGCGGGGTGTGGTGGCGGGCACCTGTAGTCCCAGCTACTCAGGAGACTGAGGCAGGAGAATGGCGTGAACCCGGGAGGCAGAGCTTGCAGTGAGCCAAGATCGCGCCACTGCAATCCAGCCTGGGCGAAAGCGAGTCTCCGTCTCAAAAAAATAAATAAAATAAAAATAAATAAATAAATACAATATACATCTGCACACACATATATATACTATAGTGTGTATATGTGTATACACATATATACTATAATGTGTATATATACCATATATATAGTATATGTGTGTGTGTGTATATATAGTATTTGGTATTTAAATAGATTAAACAAGGAATAAACACAAACTTAATTGACCTTCTTCTCCCCAGTAAAACATCCCACCCAAGTGGGTGGGTTCTGGGGGCTGAGCTCCTCTCCCTGCTACCCCTCATGGATATCCCATCACACTCAGCTAGAGGGGGTGCGAATCCCAGATCCCTTCCCCCCTCTCAATCTCCCAGCCCGACTGAATGTCCCACAAAGTTATTCTCTCATTTACCAGCAGGTAAGAGTCAAATATCGTTTGGAGTGCTAGGCTGGAAAGTGGGACAGAGTTCCCTACCTCTGGGAGCGCCAAAGTCATTTGGAAAGATAAAATGCAAGAGAAAGACGTGCAGGGTGGCCAGGCACGGTAGCTCACGCCTGTAATCCCAGCACTTTGGGAGGCTTGGGTTGGCAGATCAGTTGAGGTCAGAAGTTCGAGCCTGGCCAACATGGTGAAACCCCGTCTCTACTAAAAATACAAAAAATTTAGCTGGGTGTGGTGATGCAAGCCTGTAATCCCAGCTACTCGGGAGGCCAAGGCAGGAGAATCGCTTGAACCCAGGAGGCAGAGGTTTCAGTGAGCCGAAATCCCGCCACTGCACTCCAGCCTGGGCGACTGGGCGACACTCCTGGCAAACATCCCTCTCCTGGTTCAGTGCTCTTGCACTATATTAATAGTGATAGAGAGTACAGGAGATGGGAGGTAACACGTATGACCTGTCTCAAGCTGTTCATTCCCATCAAAGGCAGGGGGGTCAGGAGGGCTTAGTCTGCCATCCATCCATCCAACCATCTCCCCATCCATCCAACCCTCTATCCATCCATCCATCCATCCATCCATCCATCCATACATACATACATACATCTATCCATACATCTCCCCATCCATCCAACCCTCTATCCATCTGTCCATCCATCCATCCATCCATCCATACATACATACATACATCTATCCATACATCTACCCATCCATCCAACCAACCATCTATCTATCTGTAATAGGCAGACTAATGTCCCCCAAAAGATGTCTCCATCCTAATCCTAGAGCCTGTGATTATGTTACTTAACATGGCAAAGGGGGATTAAGGTTGCAGATGGAATTAAGGTTGCTAATCATCTGGTGTTAAAATAGGGGGATTATCTTGGATTATCTGGGTGGGCCCAAGGTAATCATATGGGTTCTTAAGAGGAGAAGAGGAACCACAGAGATGGCAGCATGAGAAGGACTTGGTCTTACATTGCTGGCTTTGAAGATGGAGGAAGGGGCCACAAGACAAGAAAAAATGACAGCCCCCAGAAGCTGGAAAGGCAAGGAGGACATGGATGCTCCATTAGAGCCTCCAGAATGCAACCCTGCTGACACCTTGATTTTAGTCCAGTGAGACCCCTTTCAGGTTTCTGACCTCCAGAATTGTAAGATAATACATTTGTGTTGTTTTAAACCATGAAACTTGTGATAATCTGTTACAGCAGCAATAGGAAACTAACACAGCAACTAACGAGCCAGCCCTTCATGCAACCATCCACCCAACCACCTATCCAACCATCCATCCAACCATCCATCCAACTGTCCATCCAACCATCCATCTAACCATCCATCCAACAATCCATCTGTCCATTTAACTAACTAACCACCCATTTAAGAAATATTCATTGACCGTCCCCCTTGTGTCACCTGGCAAGCTGTGAAAAAAAAGTGGGCAAATTACTGAAGCTCCCCACCCATTGGGAGCAATAGATACAGGATTTCAATCCAGGATCCTCAATGCTATGATGGTAGAATATGAAGCACTTGGGAAGGATTATGGGAGGCTTGATGGCTTTTGGTGGCAGGAACAAGGCAGGGAACGCTGTAAAACAATTGTGAGTCCCATTGATTTTTTTTCCTTTTTCTTTTTCTTTTTTCTTTTCTTTTTTTTTTTTTTTTTTTTTTGAGACGGAGTTTTGCACTTGTCACCCAGGCGGGAGTACAATGGTGCGATCTCCAGTCACTGCAATCTCTGCCTCCTGGGTTCAAGGGATTCTCCTGCCTCAGCCTCCTGAGTAGGTGGGATTATAGGCACCTGCCACCATTCCCAGCTAATTTTTGTATTTTTAGTAGAGACAGGGTTTCACCATGTTGGCCAAGCTGCTCTCGAACTCCTGACCTCAGGTGATCCACCTACCTCGGCCTCCCAAAGTTCTGGGATTATAGGCGTGAGCCACCAAACCCATCCGATGTTTTTTTCTTTTAATTTTTTTTTTTTTTTTTTTTTTTGAGACGGAGTTTCGCTCTCGTCGCCCAGGCTGGAGTGCAATGGTGCGATCTTGGCTCACTGCAACCTCTGCCTCCCAGGTTCAAACAATTCTCCTGCCTCAGCCTCCTGAGTAGCTGGGATTATAGGTGCCCACCACCACGCCCAGCTAATTTTTGTATTTTTAATACAGACCGGGTTTCACCATTTTGGCCAGGCTGGTCTCGAACTCCTGACCTCAGGTGATCCACCCACGTCAGTCTCCCAAAGTGCTGGGATTACAGGTGTGAGCCACCATGCCCGGTGAATTTTTTAAAATTTTGAATAAAAAAAGCCAACAATTGTGAGTCTCTGCAGCCAGCTCCTCACCTGAAGGCTGCCCCTTGAGGCCACTGTCCCTTGCTACCTCTTTCCTCACCCCCGTGTACCTGGAACTCTTTGCCTTGTCCAAGGAGTAGGGCAAGAGGCCTGATCCAACCAGGATTTGTCCTCCTGTTGTGACTTCTGCCTCCTGCTCCTCAGCTTAGGCCTCATGCCTGCCATACTTTCTGCACAGCCCTGAGGCTCTGAGGTTCACTCTTGCTGCCACCTAAGCCACCAGCCCATCAGTTAGCAGTGAATGGCCATGACACCCACATTCTTGGTACCAGTGAGGAGCACCTGCTCAAGGGTTAGGCTGAGCCTAGTTCTTGGGCTGTGTGATCTCAGGACTGCCCCTGTCTGGGTCTTCACACCCTCATCTACAGAATGGGAATAATGATAGCTCCTCCTTTCAGGGCTGTAGTCAAGCTCAAGAGAACTCATGTTGAAGACCAGCCTGCACAGATCCTGGCATACAGGAACCCTGCCACCATCACCGCCTGGAAGGTGCTAGATTATTATATTGGGGGATGGAGTTGTTGGCACTTAGCTCCTCCCCACCGGAAAGGACCAGTTTCCTGTCCGTGAGTTGTTAGCTTTGACATGCTGAGCTATAGCCCCGTGGAGCCTGATCACAGGGGAGCCTGCGATCCACGGACAAGAGAGTTGCCCAGTATCTTGTAGGGCCATGGGCACAGTCCTCCCCAGCCCGGCTCATGTCACGATCTTCCAGGAACAGCCTGTACTTTGGCATGGCCCTGAGAAAGAGCAAAGACGGTGTTGCCCATCCTGTTCCAATCTTGTCACAGGAAGGATATGTGTCTGGCCATGTCCAGCAGATGTTTCAGGCCAAGTGTGTAGCCCAGGATAGCTTCCTGGGCAGCTGGCCCCAGGTTGGGTGTGGGGGAAGGGAGGGCAAAGGTCAACATTGAGAAGGGACAGCAAAAAGGGCTCAGGGTAGAATTTCAGACCCGATTGCCTAGGGCAGATTGGGGTAAGGTGTTCCCAAGCTTCTTACAGGGTCAGCCGCCATGAGGGTCACCCAGGTACCACGTTGGAGGCCTGCTTAGCCAACCTCGACTAGATGTGAGTGGCTCTTCTCTACACACCCAACTGAGACCACAAATCCCAGATGCATGAACCTGCTGGGTCTGGCCCACCCCAAGCCAGGAGGCAGTGTGGTCAGAATGCCACACCATATGCCAGGAGCTTGGTGTGCCACTCTTGGCTCTGCTATTGCATTCAGGATGTCACTTTATCTCTCCAGGACTCAGTTTCCCCTTCTGGAAAATGGAGCAATACACACTAGCCCACCATTTGTGGAATGCCTGGGTACTGTGCCCAGAGATCTTTTGATGTTTAATCTCATTGCTCACCTGATTCTGAATACAAAAGTTGAGGCTTCAGGAGGAAGCAGGCTGCCCAAGCCCATGATCCATGGAGGCAGCTTGTATGTGGGTCTGGCTGACTGGGTGCTGGTGCAGAGCTGAGCTGGGGCAGCTGCCTGTTGGCTCTGAGACCACTGTGCTTGCTGGGCTCGGTCTGCCCCACCCCATCCTCCCCTGGAACAGGTTTTCTACTCAGAAGTTGGCCTCTAAGGATCTCCCACCCAAAGGGCTGAAGCTCTGGATGCTCATTTTTCCCTGACTCGCTTGGGAGCCTGGTGAGATGTAAGGGACCCCCTGTTTTTCATCCCTCTCTTCACTCTCTCCTCCTAGCTGCATTCTCTGCCCAGCTCTGGATCCTGGAGGTGAGATCAAATGGGAGAATTCTGTTGGCCCAGGCAATGTCATCTTCCTTCAGATGTGTGACACCTTCCTAAGTCTGGCCAGGCAGCAGGGACAGAGACTCAGGCCCACCTGGGACCTGGTGACCCAGGCTGTTCAGTGGCAGCCAGAGGTGGGGGCACAGACTAGGGGTGTTCATTGTACAGACACCCTTATATCCTGAAGGGGATCCAGCTGGGATTAGGCTGGATGCCAAATAAGACAGGCAGCATGTGGAAGCCCAGGACCCGGGTTCAAGTCCTACATCCACTAGAGCAGGCTAGGAGAGCTTAGATAAGTCACTCATCTGTCCATCCATGCATCAACCACCCACAATCCATACAACACACATTTATAAGGCATCCTCTGTGTGTCAGGTGCCATGAGCAGGTGAAAACCTGCCCTCAGAGGTTGCAAAGGTGTAAGCATGGGAACAATCTCATAAGAACAGAGAGATGAGAGCAGGGTGTGTGCAAGCAGGATCCTGGTGTTGTGCAGGGTACAGCTTGCCCTAGTGGACAATGATGATGCAGCAGAGGTGGACCCAGAGACGACCAGGCAGTTGGGGCTCCAGGTTGGGTGCACACGTGTGCATGTGTCACAGGACTCTGACTCTGGGGGCTGTTGGTAGAAGCCTGGAGGCCCCATATCCCTGCGGTAGTCGCCACACTACAGCAAAGTAGTGTGTTTGACAGGAAATACCTCGGCAGCCATTGCAATTTAGGTTGCAGAGCACAGAGCAGTTGCCCCCGCGATGGTCAGGAAGCCCAGACCAGCAGAAAGGGGTGGAGAGAAGGGACTTCACCTGCTCTGCCCTCAGACTCTGCTCCCAGCTTCTGGCCTCAGGCTACACCAAGCCCCAGGATCCAGTGCGTGCATTAAAGGAAGTCCGCAAAGCCTTCCTGGCCTTCTTATCAGGGATGGCTTTGGGAAGGCGTGGGTTGGCAGCAAGGCCTCTAGGGGGCCACCCTGGAGTTAGGCTTAGGGACGAGGGGGTAGCGTGACTTTTTTGTGGCAGCTCTCAAATGCTGGTGTCCAGCCTCCCAGTGCAGTCCCATCTCCTTCCTGTCTCTAACCTACCTCGTTGTGGTGGCTTCATCTCTGGCTGGGCCAGAACCCCACTGGAAGACTACAGTGGACACCTCTCTGAGGCCCACTCCAGCCAACTGGGTGGGTGAACTCAGCTTAGTCTCTTGACCTCTTTGGGCTGGGAGTACCCTTCTGAGCAGGTACCTTTGGGCCTCCAAGTCCCCAAGGGAAACAAAGAAAGGGACTTTCAATCCTAGCACAGAACCAAGAAAGGAAACAGGTCAGGAAGGAGGTGGCCAAGGTACTTCTTGCATGCTGGACCTTGATGACGGGAGGCCCCACATCCCACATCAGCCTCCCTCTAGACTCCAGTGTGTCCACCCCACTCCCTCCTGGGGTAGGGCCCATCTAGCTGCTTCCAGCCAGTTGCCTGGTGCATGGTCGGTGCTTGCAGAGGGAGTGCCCTGCCTCTCTGTCTGTGCTTTCTGTAGGGGAGGATCCACTTTCAGACCCTCACACGCCCTGTTCCTTCTGCCTGGGACAGTGTACACCTCACCTGACGGAGCCTAAAGGTCACTGCCTCTGGGAAGCCTTCCAGGACCACTTTAGTCAGGCCAGGCCCTGCACGCTTGTCTTGCTTTGTCCAGCTCCATCTCCTCTTCTGAGTGAGGGGACTCCCCAAGGGCAGGCCTGGGCCCCCAGCATGCCCTGGGCTGTGCCGGGGCTCTCAGGAGAGCTTTTAACTTCCTCTTATCTGCCATTCCTACTCCTGAACACAGTCTGCTATCTTTCCCCTGGAAGAGCTGAGCAGGAGGGGAAGCAGCCACTTCACCTCAGCAAGACCTCTTGGATGCCGCTTTCTGGGTTTTTGCCACTCCCCTAGCAGCCATCTTCCCTGAGGGCTACCAGGGCTTCGGGCATCCATCTCTTCTCTTCCAGAGCTACCTTCTGCAGGAGAGATCGTGAGCAGGAAGGGAACAGGGCTAGGAAAGGGGGCTGGGGGCTCCAGGGGAAGATCCCTGAAAGACACACTGCACCCCAGCTGTCTGTCCCTGCAGCATGCGATGGAGGCTGGGGGTGGGGGATGGGGGAGATGGCAGGGGCTGGTCCTCGGTCCAAATCCAGGTCACTCCCAGCCTGTTCAGCAGCCGCTCAGTAATTAGGGGCCAGCAGGACGTGGGCAGGCAGGTGGCAGGAAGCCTAATTGTCTGATTTTTCAGGTAATTAACAGGCGGCTGTCTGGCCAGTCCCCACGGGGCCCAGCATCCGCCACCCCATCCCCTGGGCAGCCCTAGGTACCTAATGAGGCCAATTACTGAGTGGTGCCCAGGTTCTCATTAGCCACCTGGAAAGGTCATGTGGGACTGGCACCGGGGGGCAGGGCTCAGCCAGCCATGGTGGAGGCTGGGCCTCTCCCCGAGAAATCGGGGTGCAGCATGGACAGGCTGCTGGGCTCTGCTGCTGCCTGTTGAGGGGTAGCCCGTCCGACAGCTGGGACCTCTCTTCACAGCTCCCTTTTCAGGACAGCAGCTTTAGGTCAAACGCCAAACTCCCTTGCCACCTCCCAGCCATGTGGACTTGGGTATGTCAAGCCCCAATCTGGCCCTGGGATTCCTGGATCAGAGATGATGGACGTAAAGCCCAGTAGGTGCCCCGCACGTGGGTGGGCACTCACCTTCCAACAGTGCCAATTCCTGTCCTGACTCTACTTGTGAGGAGCAAGAGGACAGAGGGGATAGAGCCTGAGGTCACCAACATGTCAGGAGCCCACTCTGCAGGGCCCTGGAGGCTGAGGGCAGCAGGGACAGCTCCCTGGGATTCACCCCAGGGGACCTCAGCACCTGGGTGGGGAGTCTTAGGAGGGGTCAGTAGAGGTGGCCAGACCAGGCTGGGGGTGCTCTAGAAATGGCTGGACATCCAGGGCATCTGAGCTGGAGGAGGAGGGGAAGCAGGCAATCACCAGGAAATGAGGGGATTCGGAGACCATGGTGGAGCCCTCCCCCTCCCTGGGTGCTCTGGGACATGTAGTGAAAGAGCCCGGAGTCCCCACGCTCCTGTCCGAGGCAAGAGCTCGTTTTGTCTTGGTCAATTCTCGCCATTTTCAGCCCAGGAAATCAGGGGAGGTCTGCATCCTAGGATGTTGAGCCTTTTGGGCTTCTGTGGCTCTTCTGTTTTAAGAATTTTGTGACCTAATTCCATGCTGACAAATTCCATGCTGTTCCGGCTTCTGTAATTGTCAGCTAACGCTACTTTTGGTCCTGCTGCTGGCCTAGAATCTAAGTTAAGGGTTTCCAAAATGTGTCCCCCAGGAGTTCTTGGGTAGAGGCGGAAGTGAGGGGTGAAGGGATACCTGACCCCACAACTGAAGCAGCTTGCCTTTGGTCACTGGGAAAATATTGGTAGCTGCCCCTTTGTGAGCTCTTGCCTTGTGCAGGAAATCCGTCTCTATGGTTGTGTTTTGTCTTCATAAAACCCCAAAAGGAAGATAACATCACAGTCCCATTTCCCAGATGAGGATGCTGAGGCTATTCCAGGCTAAGGCTGAGCAGCTTGCCTCAGGTCTCAGAGCTTATAGGAAGAGCCGGGACTTGGATCCAGTTTCCACTCTGAGCCACCGGGAATATGGGTTCCTTAGAAAAAAAACTAGCTGCAGGGTTGGGGATGTGTGTGTCACATTTATCTAAACTTGTTTCCTCCAAGTCGGGGTGTGGACGCTGGCCTCTCTGTCCCAGGGAAGCGTGGTTCTAGTGCCAGGTCACCCAAGGACCCCTGCATCCCGCCACGCAGTGTGGTGTCTGTGTGTTTGAGGGCCCGTCTGCCTGTTTCCCTTCCCTCTGCTGTGGGCTCTGCTTTGCTCACGGTCCAAACCAATAAGATCCAGCCCAGAAATAGCATATGTTTCCAGCCTCTGCTCCTCCAAGTCATACATCGCCTGGTGTGATGTGTCCCTGTGTCAGCCTGCTTCAAGACTCAGGGCGGGGGTGGCTGAGGAGGGAGTGTGAGGAGCACGCAGGGCCACCTCCAGGTTGAGATTTAGAGGTGAAGAGCCGGGTGAGCCCAGGACACAGCCTCAGAAGGCAAGTGGGGACCAGTATTCCCTAGGCCTGGGGCCGGGTTGGGGGCTCAGCCTGGGTTGGGAGTCAGAGGTTGATGGCCCAGATTCATCCTGGGCCTAAGGGTTGAGACTTTAGAAACTAGCTGGGCACGGTGGCTCACGCCTGTAATCCCAGCACTTTGGGAGGCTGAGGCGGGTGGATCACCTGAGGTCAGGAGTTCGAGACCAGCCTGACCAACATGGAGAAACCCCATCTCTACTAAAAATACAAAAAATTAGCCAGGCGTGGTGGCGCGTGTCTGCAATCCCAGCTACTCAGGAGGCTGAGGCAGGAGAATCGCTTGAACACGGGAGGCGAAGGTTGTGGTGACCCAAGATCGTGTTATTGCACTCCAGCCTGGGCGACAAGAGCGAAACTCCGTCTCAAAAAAAAAAGAAACTAGAGTTGGGGCCCAAAGGTTTGGGCTTCAGTCTTGTCTAGCAGTCAGAGGTCCAGACTCAGCTTGGAGTTAGGAGTTAGAGGGCCGGGTTCACTGTTCACCGCAAACTGACCTTTGACCCTGACTCCGACCCCAAACTGAGCTTGGACCTTCATCCTCGTCAGGACTCAGGCTAGTCCCAAAGGCCACGACTGCCTGAGGAAGAGGTCCCCAAAGACCCAGAAGCCTTCCTATTTTCTGGAGACGACTCAGAGCAGGACTGGTAACAAAGAGATGCCTGAAAAATGGGCGTCTAGGGCTTGGACATGACCACGCACAGGGTGGTAGCCAGGTGCGGTGGCACGCGCCTGCAGTCCCAGCTACTCAGGAAGCTGAGGCAGGAGGATCGCCGGAGCCCAGAAGTTTGAGGTTACAGTGAACTATGACAGTGCCACTGCACTCCAGCCTGGATGACAGAGCAAGACCGTGACTCTAGAAAGAAAGCAAAGGGCTTGGACCGAATCTTGTTCCCGAAGGCCTCCAGCCCCGGCTGCCTGCCTGCTCCCAGGGTGTGCTTCCCCTGAAAACTTGGCTGCTCATCTCTGAAATGTGGGTGATCACAGCACCCACCTTCACGTCGATCACGCTCCCTCTGGGTTGCCGATTTCTACCCTCAAGGCTGTAGCCTCGAGGGACCAGGGGTAGCTGAGATATTAAGTGCGGATGAGTGTTTGAGGCGGGTGTGTGAGACACCTAGCGTGGGTTCGTGCCCCTTCCCTACCTCCACGGCATGGGGGCCTCAGGGACGGGGCTGAGCCAAGGCTGTAGGTCCCCAGTCACAGCCCAGGGCCCCATCACTTCCCAGGCTACCTCCAAGAGGTAGCCCTGCGGCCTGTTCAGGCCTCATATGTCCCACCTGAGCAGGGGACAGGCAGTACTGTCCAGGGAATCTTTTCCAGGCCTCCATTCGGCCAGCTGGGTTTTCCCGCCTCTTCTCCATTCTGGGCCCAGCGTGGAGAGACATTTGGGGACCAGCCCACATGGCGGCCAGTGGAGGAGCCAGGGTGGAGTAAGCAAGCAGGAATGAGAGGCCAGCGGGCAGCGGAAAAGGGTGCGAGGGGGAAGCCTTATCACAGGCTTCTCTGTTCTCACCTCCCACGGGGCCTGGTCACAAACCGGCCTCAGGCACCAACCCACAACTGGGGCAAGAGGTCTCCCCTCCCCAGGGGACCACAGGAAGATTCAACCAAGGGGGAAACCAGTCCTGTGTGAGGGGCAGAGGGGTGGGGGCTGGAGGAGGAGAGCACCCCTGGGGGACAGCAGTGGTGGAGTTCAGAGCCAGCAAGGGAGGGGTGGACGACAGGGGGATTGCTCTGCTGCCCAGCATGGGAGGCCTCCAGGGTTTGGCTGTCAAAGTCCCGGTCACCTCCTCCAGCTGAGCTATTAATACCCAGCTACGACCCACGCACCCTTGCTGGGAGGACGCCGAGTTCCTCAGGGAGCTAAAAATGGTTTCCCATGGGGGCAGGCAAGCCCTCCTCCCTCTCTTCTTGTCAGAGGAGCTAAGGCCAAAGGCCAGGCTGGCTTGGAAGGGGACGGGGCCAGAGTGGAGGGGCAGAGAGAAGCGGGTGGCTGAGGATTCCAGTTGGGAGCAGGAAGGCACTCATCCAGTCCAATCCCCATTGCTCAGAAACCCGAGAGGGAGGGGGCTTGCCAGTGGCCCGTTCCAGGAGGGGACCACACCAAGGTCTCCTGGCTCCTTGCCCCCATCCGGACTTTCTCCTTTCCCTCAGGTCTTCGTTTGGGCCTCCCCAGGCTGCAGTGGGGCTGGAGACTGAGGACTGCCTGTCACCTCCTGCCAGGAGGGGCCTAGAGGAAAAAAGGGGGCTCCAGGGAGACGTTTGGAGCCTCTGGTAGGAGCTGGGCTGCCTAAAGCATGGCCACTTATGTTTCTGTTTCATGTGCAAAATCTTGTTTATCCACAGCATTGTCTGAGAAGGGAATTACTGGCAGCACCATTTTACAGATAACAAAATTGAGGCTCAGTCATCTCCCCAGAGCTTGAGCTGGAAGGAGCCAGGCTGCCTGACTCCAGACCCTATCCTGTGTTGCCTCCTGTTATGGGTTATTGGAAAAGGAGATTTCCTGGTGTGTTAGCCGGGGGCCCACGAAAAAGGTGTTTCCATCCCAATGTCCTGGTCATCACAGTGTCCGGGCCCACTGAGGGGCATGGACCAAGAATGAGGAGGCTGCACGGGTGCCCTTCTGCATTGACCAACCCTCCTGCCTGGACCCATTGGCCACTTCTTTCTCCATTCCTGGGGCTCAAGGGCACATCCTCAAGGCCTGTGCTGGTCTTCTGGCCTCAAGGCCACCCAAGGCCACCTGTTTCCTGCTGTGTCCTTTTTTCTCATGGCAGATGCTCTAGGGTCCAGACATAGACCCCAGAAGAGTGCAGACTTGGCCAGCAGATTCCAGACAAGAGAGTGGCTGACAGAGGTGTCAGCCCCAGAGGTCCCCCCGTGCTGGAAATCCCGACAGCTGCCTGGCTAATAGATCCTGGGTACCAAGCCCTGACCCCGGGCAGCCAGCGGCCGTGTCAGGGGTCCAGAGAAGTTGGGGGAGGTGATGGCTGGAGCCAGGGCAGTCTGCCTGTGGTTAGCGAGGCCGTCAACACCTTCTGGGTTGCCAAGGCAGAGTGGGGTAGGGGTCTGGGAGAGGGGTCCTGCCCTGGCCTGGAGAGAGACAGTCTCTGGCCTGGCCTGGAGGTAAGGGTAGAGGCAGCTTCTGCCCTAAGGGTTCTGGGAAGGCTAAAGGATGTAGGCTGAAGGAGACCTGGCTCTAGCTTAGGAATGTAAGGAGGGAGACAGGCCCCTGGCCTTTGGAGCTGGTAGAGGGGGTTTATTTCCTAATGGCTGGTGGGGACTGGGGTGCTGAGGGGTTGTCTCAGACTGACTTCACTTCTCCATCCAGGAAATGAGCTGGCCTAACTCTGCCTGGATTTTCCTCAGCCCCTGGGGAGGGTCCTTGCCTTTGAGCTGGGGTAGGGAGAGACTGGCCACCCTCAGAGACCGGGTTCCAAAGGAGCCTCTCCCGGGATGGGCCCAGGGTGGCTGCCACCTCCTACCTGCTCCCTTGCCCCCCATGCCTTCGGTTCTCCTAATGTCCTAACATCCACATGCTCTCCTGCTCTGGGGCCACTCTCCAGGCAGTCTTCCTAGATTGATACAGGCTGGGAGGAACCATGTTCCCAACGCCCAAAGCAGGCCTGGAGCACCCCTGCCTGCCCCTGCTCTTAGGAACCCTCCCCAGCAAGGCCTGGCCTGAGGCCGTGGGCCTCCACCTTCCTTTTCCTGTTCTTTTCTCGGTGCTGCCTCTCTCCAGGCTGTCTCCTACACAGCAGCCCTCTGGTTCTCCCTTGTGTCTCTCCATCTTGTTTCCCTGGGTTTTATCTTTGTCCCTTGGTTTCAGACTCAGACCCGGCTGTGTCTCTGGTTCAGTCTCCATTCTGCCTCTCTGCCTCTGCAGTTGGACTGGTGACTCCCTGTCCCCTCTCTAGCTCTGCTTGGCTCTCTCTTGTCCTGTCTCTGATTATCTCCACCTCTTTGTCATTGTGACTCTGGAACCCTCCCTGCCTGGCCAGGATGCCTGCTCAGACATCTGCTCCAACTGCCACGCACTGGGCCCCATGAAGAGCTTAGGGGACTTGTAGTCTCAGCTCTGGCCCAGTGCCAGGGGAGCTCCTGTGATTCCCAGGAGGCAAGCGAGGGAGAGACGAGACAGAGGGCCGCGTGCCTGCTCTGCTTGTCCCTTGGGGAGCCTAATGATGCTGGGCCTCCCCTTGGTCAGGCCATTGGCCATGCCCCCCCACCCTGGCTCCCAACTCCCAGCACCACATGGCTCATGGTCACCCCCAACGCCCCCACTATGGCTGTGTGACCCTGGATGAGTTTCTGAGCCTCAGTTTCCTCTTCGACAGAGTGGAACCAATTCCAAGGCCAGCTTCAGCAGGCATCAGAAGGTTAAATGTCAATGCACATGGCAGGCATCTGGCACTGTGCCCAGCATGCTGTGGCGCTCAGTAGAGTCCCCGTTACCATCACTGTGGCGGTTATTCTTCAGGATCCCCAGAGCCATGGCCAGTCGGATGGGGGCTGGGTGGAGCCTCTGCTGCTTGTCCCCATGTGCACCCTGCGTCCCACGCCCGTCCTTCCTCTGCTGGGCAGTAGACGCCCCCACAACCTGGGACCTGCCTGTCTTCGGAGCCAGTCTGAATTGTACACAGTGATGCTCACCCAATTAATTTTCACTGGCTTGGGGATATATTTTTTTTAAGAAGACATTTTTCCAGGGGGAAAAACACGCAGGAGCTATAATTAGTTGGGAAGAGGAAAGAAGAGCGGAGTGTGTGAATCACCAGCCCCAGTGACAGACTGTTGGAGCCGAGCAGAAGTTTCAAGAGAAGCCACTGGGTTGTGGGTGAGTTGGGGTGGTGTGTCGTGGGGATGGCGCGCTGCCGCAGGCAGGCTGGGGTCCTGGAACACCAGGTCCAGGGATGGGCACCTTCACCCCTCACCCTGAAGAGTCTTTTGCCCCGCCTCTCCCCAGACCCTGTCACCCGACACCCTATCCCAGCGTTCAGCTTCCCTGCAGCTCCTGTCTGCCCTGACTGACCCCAGGACCTCTCCCCTCCCCAGTCCTTGCTGACACAAGCCTGAGCAGAGAGACTAGCACTCAAATGAGGAGAGAGAAACTGTAGAGGATTTGAGCTCCAGGGTTTGGAGACTGTCCAGTCCAACTCCTTATTCATTCATTCATTCATTCATTCATTCATGCATGCATGCATTCATTCACTTAGTCATCAAATACTGAACTACTGCTCTGTGCCTAGCCCACAGACAAGCAAACTGAGGCCCAGGGAAGTGCCAGGCCTTGCCCAAGGCCATACATCTGTGAGTGGTGCAGCCTCTCTGCCTGTCCGTCATCACTAGCTCTGCTGAGCCAGGCCCTGGCCAGGGCTCTGACCACCAAGGTGACCACAACTGGAACCCACTCTCACAGAGCCCCTATCCCAATGGGGAAGCAACCAGGTACCTGTTAGACAAGGAGCCTGGAGGTAGTTCCTGACCAGCCTGGTGGACATGGAGGACTTCCCAGGGGAGGAGGAAAAGCAGCATGACAGCGGCCATCATGCTGGGAAGGACCTTAAATGACTCAGTGTGCCTAAGCTCGGGGAGTGGCAGGAATTGGGGTCAGGGTTGCTAGAGAGTGAGGCTTCTTGGACCAGGTCATTACAATGCCCATTTTGCCCACATTTCTCCTGAGCTCCTGCCTGAATGGGCATGACCTGCTGGCCAGGGGCACCCTGGGGCAATGCTCACCATGTGGACTTGGTCCTTGGAGACCCTCCACTAGTTCTTCCTGATGCCGGGAGCACCAGTCAGTCAGTGGACCGGACAGTCAGTGACCAAGGAGTGTGGCCCTGGGTTTCTCCCTCCCTCCTTCTCCCCTGGCTGAGGACCGGCTGCCTGACTCTCTAGGGGCCCCAGCTCAGGCCTCAGGAGGGAGCACACTGGAGCAGTGTGGCCTGGAACTGAGAGCAGAGGCCCCAGGTCCCCAGGGAGGGGATGCTTCCTCCCCTGGGAGAGCGTGGCATCATTCGGCACACAGAGAGCTCCCTTCTAACCCCAGACCAAATTAGCCTTCCAAATTATAGGCTGCGTTTCCTCTAAATTGGAGACTGGGTGGGAGAACAGAGGCCCGGCTCTCCTTCCTGCTTCCTGTTCACAGAGGGCCCTCAGTTGGTCTAGTCCCAGATCACAGGACCACATTCAGAAAGAATTCAGGACACACACACCCTCCTGCCCCTCAGTTCAGGGATCCCCAGGTCCCAGACCAGCATCCAGGGCTCAGGGGAAGCCTGTACCCTTCTGGGGTTTGACAACGAACTTAGAGCCAGCATGGTTCAGATAAGGCCAACCCAGAGTTCTGAGGTCATTTTCCGGGGGGAAGTCATTCATTCAAAAAACACTTTCTGGGTACATTCTCTGTGCCAGGTACAGGACAGAATGAGAAGGTGCACAGGTGGCTGTGGGAATGCCTGGTGAGGTTAGGGAGGGCTTCCTGGAGGAAGAGGCATATAAACTGAGACCCCAAAAAATGAATGTGCTCTTGGTGAGGGGAAGAGAGGGGAAGACAATTATAGGAGGAAGGAGCATTGAACGAAAATCCCAGGAGCAGAGAGTGAGGGAGTGGGCATCAAGAAGTGGGTGGAAACATTGGTTTGTCCAGATTAGGGGGTGGGGAGGAGTGTCAGTCAGCCACATTGGGAGGATTGCATTTCATCAGGGAGGAGGCCTTTGAGCAGGGGTGAGGGGGTGGGGGGTGCTGTGCAGAAGCAGGGCTGGACCCATTGCCTGACCCAAACAGAGGGCTCCTTGGGATCTCTCACACTGGCCTCCCTTAGGCCCCTTCCACATGGCCTCAGGCCTTTGGAGAAATAATTAAATTTACTTCAAGGAAAACATGGGACACGGGTTTTATTTCACGTGACCTGAAATGAAGGTGGCTTCCTATGTTTTTGCTAATTGACTTGGGACTTTTTGTGGTTTTCTTTTAGAAGAAAATTATTCTAGATGTTGAGAATAAGTGCAATTATTGTTTGGTGCTGCATGCAGAAATAAAAGGAAAACACCTCCCTGAGCTCACCCACCCCTGTGTTACAGAAGAGACAAGTGAGGTGGGGAGGGGAGGCCCCATAGCCGTGGCAGCCACAGTGATTGCTCCGGGGCAGGAGAGGGATGGCTTTCAGGGCTCAAATAGGACAGAGGATGCTTAGTGGGGAATATTCCTAACGGGGTGGAAGAGAGGAACTGGGAGATCCTCCAGCTCCTGATCTCACTTGCATACCTCTCCAGACACAGAGCTCACTGCTTACCAACTGCCTGGTAAATTTGCCCAGCTGCAGCTGTTGGACAGTCCTTCTTGAGTGAGGTGCTTCTCCCCTCAAACTCCCAGCCAAGGTTTTCTGCATCCTAACCTCTACCCACCCTCTGCCCCCAACTTTTCATCTTTCCCGCCTCGGCCTGAATGGAGTCTGGGGTCAGGGTGGACTCCGTGGGTAGGGCCCTGGGCTTCTGCAGGCTGCATAACACTAGCTGCCCATCTGATCTGTCCTGGGAATATGGCCCCAGATGGCTGAGGTGGGTTCCAGGCTAGAGCCTCCCCAGCTGGCTGCCAACATGTGCGCGTGAGGAGAGGCACACAGTCTGTTTCCTGGATGCCTGGCCTGTCAGCCTGCACATCCTGCCTGGACTGACCAGGTTGAGGACACAAGCCAGCGGGTAGAGGCAGGGCCAGACAATTTCATGGGCATTGACAGACAAGTGGAGCACCCCATTAGTGACCTCCCTCACTCAGCACACATCTGTTCGGCCCCTGCCACGTGTCTGGCCCTGTGATGGACACTAGGCCCTCAGAAATGAATTAGCCATGAACCCACACCCTGCCCTCCTAGACCAGGAGCCCTGGGTCTAGACAGGCATGGGGAGACCACAGGGAACAGTACAAAACCTGCAGCCCTGGCCACACCAGCAAAATCAACTCCAGACTTTTGGGAGTAAAATCCTACCGAAGCCACCTTCCACCCAGCAGCCAGAGAAGGACCTCTCAAAATCACCCCTGACCTCCTGCTCCTTCTGCATGGCCTGTCACGGCTCCCCAGTGCTGGACCTATGAGGCCCTGTGTGCCCCTGATCCCACCCACACTCCAGCCTCCTCCCTGGAACTCGACTCCCTCCCTCCACTCCAGCTGCCCCAAATGCTCTCGGGTTTTCATGGTCCCTCTAGCCATCTGGCCCTTGCCCAGGTTTTTCTCTCTGCCTGGAATATGTTCTCTGTCCTTTTCACCTGCTAACTCCTACTTACTCTTCAGATCCCAGCCCTCTCCCAGGGCAGCTTGCTCAGCCCCCAGACTATGACAGCTGTCATGGCATCTGCTCCTGTAGCCCCTTGCTCTGCTCCTCATGGAATCTGCAGTGAGAACCTTAACTGTATGCTTATTCGATTGGTGTCTGCACCCACTACAAAAAGCAGGCTGTGTTCTCTTGGTCACTGCTCTATCCCATCACCTCACCCCCTGGATGAGCCCTGGAGCAGATGCTTAATCAATATATGTTCAAGCCAGGCACGGTGACTCACACCTGTAATCCCAGCACTTTGGGAGGCTGAGGTGGGTGGATCACCTGACGTCAGGATTTCGAGACCAGCCTGGCCAACGTGGTGAAACCCTGTCTCTACCAAACTCACAAAAAGTAGTCGGGCATGGTGGTGCGCACCTGTAATCCCGGCTTCTTGGGAGAATGAGGTGGGAGAGTGACTTGAACCCCAGAGGCGGAAGCTGCAGTGAGTTGAGATGCACTACTGCACTCCAGCTTGGGCGACAGAGTGAGACTCCATTTCAAAAAAAAAAAAAAAAAAAAAAATATATATATATATATATATATATATATATATATATATATATATATATGTGTGTGTGTGTGTCCAGTGTGGAGTAAATAAATATAAAAACCTATCTAGTATCAACTGAAATGTTTCCATTCCATTGTTGTAGTTAACATCATGAATGGACTTCCTAAGCTGATTACCCCACTGTGGGAACCAAATTGGATTCCTACTTTGTTGGAGTCTCTTTCCAGATTTTAACAATTTACCATCCCATTCTCTGCCCTGTGATTTTTTAAAAGCTTATTCAATGTTCTGCAGCATTGTGATTGTATGCTGGCTACACTGCTTTTAGAATGCTCTTTCTCATGAAGCAAGGAAATAAATTTGTTTGAAATGACAAAAATAAATAAATAAATAAATATAAAAACCAGTGTTTCCGCTAGTAGAAATTTAAGGTCAGGATATCAGGCCAATAGCATTGAAAATGCACGTCGAGGCTGGGTACGGTGGCTCATGCCTGTAATCCCAGCACTTTGGGAGGCCGAGGCGGGTGGAATGCCTGAGCTCAGGAGTTCGAGACCATCCTGGGCAACATGGTGAAATCCTGTCTCTACTAAAATACAAAAAATTAGCCGGGCGTGGCGGCGTGCACCTGTAGTCCCAGCTACTCAGGAGGCTGAGGCAGGAGAATTGCTTGAACCCAGGAGGCGGAGATTGCAGTGAGCCAAGATGGCACCACTGCACTCCAGCCTGGGTGACAGAGTGGGACTCCATTTCCAAAAAAAAAAAAAGAAAGAAAGAAAATGCACGTCCATACCCTCATGCTGAGGATGTCACAAAGATGGCTACTCTCAATCATAAAATGTAACCATCCCTGAGCCAGCCCCAATGTCACTGGCAGTGGCTGGTTCCCAGGCAGCCGGGAAGCTAACCACAGCAGTAGTAACACTGACCATGTGTTGGGAGCCACCTGGGCGCCGAACGAGTGAGGAAATTTTTTCAATGAAACACATTCGAATGTAAGAATTTAAATGTGTTTGAAAGTATCAAAGCAGGTGTAGCCAAGGTTCACTCATTGACAGCCATTTCTCTTTCTTTCTTTCTCTCTTTCTTTCTCCCTCTCTCTCTCTCTCTCTTTCTCTCTCTCTCTCTCTCTCTCTCTTTCTCTCTCTTTCTTTCTTTCTTTCTCTTTCTTTCTTTCTTTCTTTCTTTCTTTCTCTCTCTCTCTCTCTCTCTCTTTCTTTCTTTCTTTCTTTCTTTTCTTTTTTGAGATGGAGTCTCGCTCTGTCGCCCAGGCTGGAGTGCAGTGGTGTGATCGCAGCTCACTGCAAGCTCCGCCTCCCGGGTTCATGCCATTCTCCTGCCTCAGCCTCCCGAGTATCTGGCACTACAGGGGCCAGCCACCACACCCAGCTAATTTTTTGTATTTTTAGTAGAGATGGGGTTTCACCATGTTAGTTAGCCAGGACGGTCTCGATCTCCTGACCTCGTGATCTGCCTGCCTCGGCCTCCCAAAGTGCTGGGATTACAGGCGTGAGCCACCGCGCCCAGGCATCGACAGCCATTTCTTCAGTGCCAACTCTGTGCCGGGGTGGCACTGAGGTTGTGGACAGATAGACCCTGCCTTTGCCCATCAGGCTGAAGCCAGGAGGCTCAATGGACCTGACCAAAGGGAAGGGAACACATTTTCTCCCATGGAAGGTGCGATCTCTGGGCATAGCTGCCATCTACAATGCAGTACAGACTGATCCTGTCCCGCAGGGCCCTGAGAGGCTTGGGCCAGCCTGGGGCCCTAGAACCTCCTGTCCCTCTGCTGGGGGCCTGGGCCGTCGCCCACGCCATCTGCGGCCAGCATTCAAGCAGCTGCGATAGCAGGTCTGGGCAGAAGGACCCATGGAGACAGGCTGGCAGCCTGCCCTGCTCATGCCTTCCCCTTCCGCAGGGCACCCCTCCGCCACCAGCCCATGGGATGCAGCCTACAACCAGCTCCTGCTGAGGTCATGTACGAGTCACGGCTCAAAGCAGCCCCTCCCTGCTGCCAGGGCACAGCTCAGTGTGTCTCGATGACCCAGGCTGCATGATGTGTGTGTGCTGGGTGGGGGTGTGCAGGGGATGGGGGTGCTCTGGGAGGAACGAGGCCTCCCCTTCCCCTCAGACTCAAGGCAGGACTGAGTCTCCCCATCAGACCAAAGTCCCTAAGGGCCCTAACCAGGAATATGATGCAGCTGGCCAGCTTCCCTGGGGCCAAGCCTCTGTCCCCACCTGGCAAGACCTTTGGGTCAGTGGCCCGGGATCTTCAGCGGCCGTGCTGACGTGCCTCAGCCCAAGGCTGCACCCAGCTGTGCCCTGTGCAGGCAGGCAGGGCTCTGAAGGACACAGGCAGCTCTTCCTCTGCCGGGACAGTGGGACCATCTATCAGGGAGATAAGCGGTAGCCAGAGGGCAGAGCTGGTGGAAGGAGCTGTCTGGAGGAGATAACCTGGGGTCACTCAAAGGCAGCTCACGGCCCCGCTCTCAAGCCACCTAGACCTGGGATCTGACATCCTGCCCCCATGCCTGCTGGCCACAGACATCTGGTTGCCATATCTTGGAGTAAACCCTAAGGCCCTCTGTGCACAGCTTACTCGGGACCTGCAGTCGGCATGGAGTGTGGTTCCTCTTTATATTCTGTGCCATGGCAGGGCCTCTATTATGGTTCTGTCTCACTCATTTACAGACTTTACAGATGGGGAAACTGAGGTCTGGAAGTGGCTTTGGTCTGCTCTGGTCCGAGGGAGCAGGCACAGGGTCCTGACCCCACCCTCAGCCTCCCGAGCATTGGACGGGTAGGAAGCCACATGGCGCTGCACCACTGGGCATTTATTGTGTGTGTCCCCACGTGTCTGCGGTGCGTGGCCCCTGTCCTGTTCCTGCTGCCCTGTGGACCAGGTCCTCCTTTTCTAGATGGAGACAATGCCCAGAGAGGTGAGGTCACCAGCTCAAGGTCACACCACTAGAAAGTGAAGTTTGAACGCAGGCCTCTTAGAGCTGCATTCAGAGCCTCAGCTGACCCGTGAACAGCACTGTCTGCCCAGAGGGGCCTCGGGTGCCCAGCAGAGGCCATAACAAATCCCCAGGGAGAAAACGGCTAAAAGCTGTCACCCCCAAACTGTCAGAAGACCCTGGGCTGATCTGGCCACCCCACCTCTTATTTATCGAGTAAGACTCAATAAATCTTTCTGAACAGATTAATAACTCAATACTGAGCAAATACATGGGAACAAATAATACAACATTTCCCCTTTCTGAGCCCCTGAGGTTGGTCTGGCCCATCTTTAGGGCCTCACACACTGGTCCTGACAGCTCCCTGGGACACATCTGTCCATCATCTGTTGGACTCTCAGGAAGAACCATCAATGACAGTGCCACCTGTGGGAGTCAAGAAGAGCCCAGGCCTTGGATCACAGAGACAGGGAGGAGGAGGGTGAAGGAGTGAGGAGCCCCTCAGCCTGGACTGGGAGTCAGACTCATCATTGCCCTGTGGTGGAGACTTCTGCAGTCCTTGCTGTCAGGGCCTCTAAGGGCTGGAGTGTTCAGGTATTGAAGGAGGCTAGGGCCAGTCTTGGGGATGAACCCTGGCTTTCTTCTCTGCCCCAATGTCCAGGGCAGTGGACATAACCCAGAAGCAGTTGGGAGCTTTTCTGGAAAGTATTTTCCAGATGAATGGTGGGAAGGGGCACCTTGCAGAGCCTTGGAATTCATCTGGCAGGCAGTGGAGGAATGGGGGCCTTTAAGGGGCCTGGGACCTTTCTGGCCATGATCAGCATTGAGGAGCTTCTGGGTCCGCTTTAGCCTGGGCCATCCTGGGAAGGAACAGGTGTGTGTAAAAGGAAGAGTCCCTGAGGCCTGGGGAGGGAGCCAGGGAAAAAGATCATCACTCAGAAAGGAGCCCACAGGCTATCGGATGGGTGCCAGCCCCACCACCCCAGCCCCTGGGAGGCTTCCACACCGAACGGGTCCTTTTTTGAATCCGGCTGAGGGCCTCCACCTCCACCTAAGGCTGGATTCATGAGAACCTGAGGGTGTGGAAGGGTTTTTTGCCACATGACATGGGTTGAGTCACCTCATGCTAACCCAGAGGGGAGATCCAAGCCTCCAGTTGCCCTGAACCAGAGACCAGGCCCAGGCACGCTTCTCAGCAAAGCTCCCACCTTTAGGACCTGGGTGGTTGCTGGCTGCAGGATCCTAGCCAGACCAGGCAGATGACACTACTGACAAGGACAGAAACCTGGGGAACAGCACCCTTCTGCTCTTGCTCTGCGCCAGACACCGGCTGAGCTCGGCTTCCCAGCACTCCCTCATTTAACTTAATTCTCATGATCCTGGGAGATTTGCCCAATTATTTACCCCTGTTTTACAGACGAGGAGCTGAGGCCCAGGGGAGTTGAAATTCTTGCCCAGAGTCACAGAGCACCAATAACCCTAGTACACAGACGCACACTCAGAGGGACCGAGACACTCTGCTCAGCGGTCTCGTTGCTCACGAGCACACTCCTTGCAAGGGGGGTCTGTGATGGCAGAATCCTTAATGGTAAATCCCTGGGAAACTGGAAATGTCCATGGCAGGTCTTTGCACAGGACCCCAATGAGGCAGACATGGAAGCTGAAACAGAAGGCAATGCAAGCTCGTTGATGGGAGAAAGGCAGCTGCAGCTGGTATAGATCAATCCCACTTATGCGACACGAGTGTCAGAGATAAAAACCGGGGACGGGGCACAGTGGCTCACACCTGTAATCCCAGCACTCTGGGAGGCCAAGTCATGGGGATTACCTGAGTCAGAAGTTCGAGACCAGCCTGGGCAACATAGTGAGAACTCATCTCTACAAAAAATACAACAACAAAAACTTAGCCAGGCATGGGGCACTCACCTGCAGACCCAGCTACTCTGAAAGCTGAGGTGGGAGGATCGCTTGAGCCCCTTGCTGCAATGAGCCATGATCACACCACTGCATTCCAGCTTGGGTGACAGAGTAAGACCCTGCCTCAAAACAACAAAAACAAAACCAAAGCTAGGTGGCTTAGGGAGCAGATGGGACACCCTGCTACATGCCCACTGGAGGGTAGACACGGACAGGGCCCAGGACCACGCCGCCACATGTCTGCATGCTTGCATGCACACAGACCCCCCAGCCCCCCGGCGGACCCTCCAAGCCTCTCTGCCTGGGCCTCCCTGGCTGGGATGAAGGGACTGGTGGGCTGGGCCCAGGTCCACAGCATGGTGTCCTGGCCGGTCCATGGCAGTCTGGGGGCCTTGGCTCCGCCCTCTCCAGCAGCTCCCTCCTCCTTCCTTCCTCTCTTCTTTTATCCTGCTTGCTCCCTCCTCTCTGTCACCTCTGAGAGGTCCCGAGAAGGAGTCCTCAGTGGCACCAGCCACACACATGACATGTCATGCTGTTCAGTCACACACCGCATTCCTGCCCCCAGCCCGTATCTGCAACAGGCTGCCCCGTAAAGACAGCTTCCCTCACTCCATCCCTCCTTTGCGACCACAGGGTGTACCTTAGCCTTGCAGAACCTCAGTTTCTTCATCTGTAAGATGTGGAGAATGCCACACATATCTGGAGAATAGGTGTGTCTCATGGGCTATTTGTGAAGATGCATTGTACACCCCAGTTTCATTGCCTCAAAGATGGGGAGAATAATTTCTTCCCATAAAGATGAAAGCATACAAAAGGCTTCGTGCAGAGCTTGCAGAGAACAAGGCCTCACTAAACGGAGACAGTGCTCTCATGATCACGCCAGGCCCTGCACTGCCCCACGTAAACCTCTGGGGTTCTGGTCTAACACTTCCCATTTTCCTAATGAGGAATCTGGAGCTTAGCAGGGTTAGCGATGTCCCCACGGTCACACAGCTGTAGGTGGCGGAGCTGGGGCTCCAACCCAGGGTTGTCCTATACCTGTAGGCTCAACTCCACTGGATGACCTGCTCAGCCCACGTGGAGGGTGTCTGTGGCCCTCACTGGAGGGCAGCCAGTTTTGCACTGGGTTCTTTGTCTGAGCCCACAGAACACCAGGGGAGGAGGCTCAGGCACGCCTGCCTGGCTCTGCGTTCAGCCCTCTGGACAGGGCTCTGAGCCCAAGTGGGTGGCTGGGCAGCTGTCAGCTTGCAGAGAGGGGCTGAGGGCTCTGCAGGAGCTTCTGCTGCCCCTGGCACCACTCTCCCAGGTCCTGGGGTGGGGTGCGGTGGGGGCAAGAGCAAGTGGCCTTAGGTTAATTCACTCTCCTTTTCTCGTGTGAGGACCCCTGAGGCCACAGCACCTCATGCAGTGTGGAGACCAACCCGGCCTTGCCTGGAGCCAGCTAGGCTCTGGGCAGATGGTCTCTGCTGCTCAGCTTTGGAATTCCAGGCACATCCTGAGGCTGCAGCAGAGGCTGTGGGGGATAAGCCAGGGCCTGGGCCTGCACGGCTGGGAGAGGCCAGTGCAGACACCCCCAGCACC
The DNA here is from genome assembly GCF_000001405.40 of Homo sapiens. Lineage (NCBI taxonomy): Eukaryota > Metazoa > Chordata > Mammalia > Primates > Hominidae > Homo > Homo sapiens. The sequence continues at coordinate 52,033,299 of NC_000003.12, forward strand.
TGCTGCGGCAGCATGAAGAGTGACCCTGCAAGGTCTTAGGAGGACAGACGCTGTGAGTCCCTAAGAGGCCTCCACCTGGCCTGCACCCCTCTCCCTGCTCTCGTGCCTTCAAGGGCTCCCTCCCCACTGTTTGCAGGATTATAGCTGAGTTCCTTGGCTGGGTGCCTGAAACTCCCTGTACATCCCAATTTCACTGCCTGAAAGATGGGGAGAATAATCCCTTCCCATGAGGACGAAGTAAGGTGGTATGTGCCTAGAACAGAGCCTGATACACAGGAGGGGCTAAACCACGCAGGTTCCTCTTCCCTGAGACTTCTGAGTTCCCTGAGACTTCCCTGAGTTCCTCTTACCTGTGACTCCTGAGAAATCAGGTATCACAGTTTAAGCTGCCTAGTGCATGGTGCTGAATGGATTAAGTACCTTCTCACTGTGCTGCACTCCTTGCCCAGCAGCCTGGCCTGTGTCTCTCTGTTTCTCTCTCACTCTCTCTTTTTCTTTTTTTGAGACAGGGTCTCACTCTGTCTTCCAAGCTGGAGTGCAGCGGTGTGATCATAGTTCACAGCAGCTGTAAACTCCTGGGCCCAAGGGATCCTCCCACCTCAGCCTCCTGAGTAGGTTCAAGCCACCATGCCTGGTTAATATTTTATTTATGTATTTATTTTGAGACAGAGTCTCTCTGTCGCCAGGCTGGAGTGCAGTAGCGCAATCTCGGCTCACTGCAACCTCTGCCTCCTGGGTTAAAGCGATTCTCATGCCTCAGCCTCCTGAGTAGCTGGGATTACAGGTACGTGCCACCACACCCAGCTAATTTTTGTACTTTTAGTAGAAACAGGGTTTCACCATGTTGGCCAGGATGGTCTTGATCTTCTGACCTCGTGATCCGTTTGCCTTGGCCTCCCAAAGTGCTGGGATTACAGGCATGAGCCACCGCGCCCGGCCAATGCCTGGCTAATTTTTAAATTTTTTGTAGAGATAGGGTGTTGCCATATTGCCCAGGCTGGTCTCAAATTCCTGGTTTCAAGCAATCCTCCCTCCTTGGCCTCCTAAAATGCTGGGACTACATGCATGAGCCACTGCACCCAGCCACCTCTGTCTCTTGGACTTACAGGGAACAAAGGGCAGAAGTTCACTCACCTCCTGCTGGAAAAATAGACTTGTAAGCAGCAAGGGCTGGAGGCAGGGGGAAGAACAGATGACCCCCCGAGGGCCTAGAGAGGGAGGGGAAGAGGGGGGCCTTGCCTGTGTCCAGGCATCCCAGGGTATGCTATGTTGAGGCCGGGCACTGCCAAAGATGGGGAGCATGAGGCTGACCTGCCAGGTGTGTTGTCGTGGTGCCCACCCCTTCCCCCTAGGGAAGGACAGCAGTCCAGTCTCACACCCGCTAGAGACTCTTGGAATTCAGCAGGGAGTGGTCAAACAGCCCTATGGAGAGTGGAGCCACCTCATACCCACAGGGAGGACAGAGGCCTCCAAAGACCTCCACCTGGGGGCACACAGGGTGCAGGATGCCCATAGATGAAATCTGAGCAGACTCCCTGGAGGAGGGGGCCTCTAGGATGCCCGTGTTTGGGCAGAGAGAAGCCTGAGTCCCAGAAAGGTGGAGGATGGACAGGGAAGGTCCATGAATGTGTAACACAGGCCTGGGCAGTGGCCTGGCACCATGGGCCACATTCTCTGGGGAGGATGATGGACATGATCCTATGGGAGGGAACAACCTCACTGGGGGAGGCTGGACAACAGCCGCTGGGTCCAATGTGAGCCAGGGATCACGGAGCAAGTTAGAGGCTAACCACTCCAATTCTCCCTTCCTTCAAGCTGTGATTTTCTTAGGGCAGGTTCCCAGGAATGGGATTGCTGGATTAAAGGTTGTTCATATTTTTAGGCCTTTTGACTCAAGTTGCCAAATGGCCTGCAGACAGCATCTCCAGGTCCCCCACCCTTGGTTGGCTACGAGGCAGCCAGGGAGAGCTGAGACAGCATCCCACCCCAACTTCCGAAGGTCAGTTATACCTGTGGTCTGGGACGAGGCTGGCTGAGCTCTCCCTAGGATAAAAGGACTGCTGTAACATCATGGTCCACGCCATAGCCTCATGGCCCCTTCTCTGGGCTTCCCTCGCTCCCTCTGTGGGAACATAGGAGTGGGTGAGCCAGCCCTACCCTCGTGGAGTCTCATGGGTATTCCCACAGACAAACAAGCCCCACATCACCAGGACAGGGTGGTGGGCACAACGAAGGCATTTCACTCAGCCTGGGGCTGGGCAGCTTCCTGGAAGCAGCAATACCAGCCCACGCAGGAGGCAGCCAGCTGGGGACAGGAGGGATCAGGACAGGTGGGCCTTGGGGTGGCCTTGTCCCTGTGCCTCTCTAGGGCTGGGCCTGACCCCAGGATGAAGCATCCTCATTCCATCCCTTCTGTCTAGCCAAGGGCTGGGGCTTTGTGTTCCCCTCCCTCACATTCCAAGTCACTGAATTTCTCTGGGCCTCCGTCTCTATACTTACAGTCCAGTGGGAACCTCGTGGAGGAGTTAGAAGCGCTTCTGTCAAGTCTTCACCTTGGAGCAGTGGTTACTGCTAGCCGGGGTACCTGGGAGGGAGAGTTCTTCTGGCAGGGGAAGCATGGCTGAGCCCACTGGGCACTGGCTGGAGTCCCGGGACTCCCCCAGCCCAGGGTCAGGCTCAGACTGCAGCATTCAAGGAGCCCTGCTGCCAGAGGAAAGATACCTGAGGCCACCTTCCTTCTGGGCCTGACCCCTGCGTCTCTCTGCCCTCTGTTCCCTGAGACCCAGTGCCAGGGCAGAGTGGCCTAGCACCCTGATCCTCCCAGCCACCCGCAGGGTCACCAGACGGTGTCCCCCATCTTCAAGGCAGCATTTCCATCCCCCCTGTCCTCCAGCTGGGGCACACTCCACAGTGGCTGCTTGGACAGCCCCTGACGGTGCATCCCCAGGGCTCTTCCCCCAGCAGGGTGAGGCACCAAAACTCACCCCCAGCCCAGAGACTGCGGGGCGTTGAGGGGTGCCTGAGAGCTACTGCTCCCATCCCCCAGCAGGCACAGCCCAATACCAGCTGCTCTCATCCCCCAGGGCCTGGTGGTTTAGACAAGTTCCCCCACACCTGAATTGACAGGTCCCTTTATGATCCCCATTTAAATGAGGCTCAGAGAAGGGAAGTACCCTGCCCAGGGGCATACAGCTGATGCCCTCTGAGGGTGAGATTGGAAACCAGTCTGACTGAAAGCCAGACTCTCAACTGTGCCGCAGAGCTCACCCCACTGGGATACTGCCATATGTGATGCTCACCACCTGGCTCGGCTGTGTCCAGAGCTTGCTTTTTTTTTTTTTTTAATACAGAATCTTGCTCTATTGGTTGCCCAGACTGGAGTGCAGTGGTACAATCATAATTCTGTGGCCTCCACCTCCCGGGCTCAAAGGATTCTCCCGCCTCAGCCTCTAGAGCAGCTGGGGCTGTAGGTGAGTGCCACCACACCTAGCTACTTTTTTTTTTTGGATTTTTTTTTTTTGTAGAGATGAAGTCTCACTGTGATGCCCGGGCTGGTCTCAAACCCCTGAGCTCAAGCAATCTTCCCACTTCAGTCTCCCAAAGTGCTGGGATTACAGGTGGTTTTCAGAGTTTTTGTTCATCAGAGGTCTCTGATCCTTACCACAGCCCTTGGGGAGGGGATGCACTTACTGCCTACAGGTGGCAGCTGAGGCCCAGAGACCGAAGGGCTGGATCACATACCGACCACTCACCGACACCGGGTGCCAGTGGACTGACACCTATACAGAGGGAGGTGCTCAGGAGGTTCAGGGGTGGAGACTGCTGGGCTGGGGGAAGGTGGGAGGAGGGGGCTGGGCTGCAAGGGGCTTTCTGCCTATGCCAGGCACTATCCCAGGCTGCTGCACTTTCAGCAGCCCCAGTATTTTATTGACTGAGTGGCAAAAAAGCTTTCAGCATAAACAGTGCCGTGTGAGTGTGGAACAAGGTCTGCTAGGCTGGCCTTTCGAAGCCTCCCTCTATGAGGGCCCTGACACCTGCCCCAGCTACAGCCCTGGCTAGCCTTGCCATCAGAGCATCATTGTACTTTCCTCAGAGTGCCTCTTCAGCAGAGGACAGAGTCTGAGGGACAGAGTAGGATCCCCTCCCAGAAACCCTCAGGACAGGCAGGGTGACTGCTGGGGGCCTGCTGGTGTATTCTGCCTAGCAGGTATGATGCAAGAACTTACAGTATCTGGACTGCCAATAGCCCTTTACAGGAGTCCAGCCAGTGTGTAGATGGGGAGACTGAGGCCCAGAAAGGCCAGGGACCTGGCTGCGGGCCCACAGCCCTTCGGGAGCAGAGCTGGAGTCAGGATCCAGAGCCTCAGCCTCCTGGCCCCGCCTAGGAACACTCAGGTCAGCTGTGCTTCGCCCTCAGGCCCCAGCAACCACCTCTGCCTAGTACAGCCCAGCTCAGGCAGGTGCTGGCCACCTTAGGGCCTGAGCCTGGGGCAGAGGCTGGAGTTGGCTATGTTGGAGCTGCGGCCCTGCCCTGAATCCAAAAGTTGCCTGAAGCCCCATCTCTCCTCCCATCACTCCCTGACGGCAGCTGCCGCAGATCATCTAGGGATCCCAGACAGGGCAACCCCCAGTGTAATGAGGCCAAACTCCCACTTCTCTCCCAGACATCTTGGGGTAGCCTCGACCTCGCTGTTCCTTGGATGGACACAGTTCAGCGGCTACCTTGAAACTGAAGGAGGTCAAAACTGGGCTCAGAGCTGAGGCTTTCCCCTTCTGCTGGGGGCTCGGCACCTAACTCTCTCACTGGGTCTTGGGCTTGACTAGGCTCGAGGAGGCTTTAGGCACCAAGGACTCTGAGGCTGGGGTGTCAGCAACACTGGCAGCTGGGACAGAAGGGGCCCTTGGCCAGGTCTGGACGAGAGAGCACCTGCTTCTACCCCCCACTGCCTGATGTTGGCCCAGGCTGAGCCCAGCACCCTCAAACCAGGGGAGCAGCCTCACCCCTACCATGTGCTCCTGGCAGCCTCTGCCAAGGAGCCCAGAGAGAGGGTGACAGGGCAGGCACGCTCTGGGGAGGCTGGGCTGGGCATTTCTTGCCAGCAAGTGCCAGGGCTTGAATCCCCTGAAGGGGTGAGTCTTTAGCTTTAGTCAGAGGAAGTGAGGCAGGGCAAATGGGCAATGTGTGTGTAGTGCTGCCGACCTGGCAGCGACCATGCCTGCGGGGATGGGCAGCCGTAGGGACTGCAGAGCAGGCCTGGCCCTGCAGGTCTCCGGCATCCATGCAGCCATGTCTGCCCTCAGTGGCTGTGTACTGCCCAGTACCCAGGGCGGTCACCCTGAGACCAGGCCCCTGTGGTGACCAGCCTGACCCCAGCTGCATCCTGACCCAGTTGCTGAGTCTCTGTTCTGCCCCTCACCTGCCGTGTGGTTTCGAAGGTCACTTGACCTCTCTGAGCCTCAGGATTCTCATCTGGAAAGTGGGGAAGACTGTGGAACCCAGACGCCCCTGGCTTCCCCCTCCCCAACATCAGGAGTCCACTCCTGAGTTAGAAAGAGCCCACCAGGGTAGAGTCTGCTGCGTTGACAGGGGGGCCCTGCTTCATTGAGCAGAAGGGGCATCTGGGCCCAGGCAGCAGGGCCTTCTCAACACAGGCTGCCCGGATGGCTTGTGCTGTGCAGATGGCCCAGGGTGAGCCCCCAGACCCATCAGCCTTGAGAGTCATCAGCATTCTCACGGGGCTCAGCAAATTGAGCTTCCCTACTCACCCCTGGGTGATGAGTTATCAACACTATTGCCATCTGCAGGCGCAAGGCTGTGAGCACCCTCCAGGAGGCCACCAGCCTGTCCCACAGCCCCTATTTCCGAGGATGTGGCTTGGGTCCTCAATGGCTGGATTCTCAGGCATTTTTCCTGACCCAGCTCTGACCATGCAGGGTGAGAGGTGCAGTTTCTGTCTTGGTCCCCAGACTAGGGTCTCTTCATCAAGAGGAAGACAAGGCCTCCCACGCCTCTCCCTGCTAGGAAGCCTCCAGCAAACCTTGGCCACATGGAGAAGGGAGAAAATGTGGGGCTCAGGGTCCCAAACCCCCAGGCCCTAGCAAAGGCAGGAGGCAGGGCTGGGCATGGGGAAGAGAGTCTACCCTGGGTAGAGCCCTGTCCCCCTGGGCCTCTGTACAGCCTAGTATCCATGGAGGGCTCAGGCTAGCCCAAGAGTGAGCAAAGATGGCCTTGGGCTAGCTCACATCATGGAAAGTCACTGGGAACAAAAGGCTGGTCACGGGCCTGGCAAGGACTCAGACCACAAAGCCTCTTCTATTTCCTGTCCACCATGGGCCAGGGACCCCTCCCCAAGGAGGCATTGCCCCATCCCACTTCAATGCTCCCTCTTGGGGACCAGGACTGGCTGGGGACAGAGACTACAAGTAGAAAGGCTTACACCTTAGAGTCACAGACTTGAGCGGAGCGTGGGGGCCCATCTCTCCCAGCCCCCTTTCCACAGAGGGGGACACCAAGGCTCGGGGAAGGGAAAGAGCAGAGCAGAGCCAGGTGTCTTCATAGAAGGCCAGCGGTCAGCCCAAAAGGCAAAGGTGTGGGAACTGAGGAGGGTCCTGGGACGGATGTGGCTGGGCCAGATGGGAGACCGTCCCGGGCTCTGGCCAGCCTGGGCAGTCAGCCTCCCTTCCCGGGCCCGGCTGGGTGGGGGCAGCAGGGCTCAGGCGGGCGGGCTGTTGATCCAGCCCGACAATGATGAAACGGCCCCTTTGTCCTGCGGCGCCAAAGTTGCTGTGACTGGAGGAGGCGTGACGTGAAAGGGTCATTGTTCCCACTTGGGCAACCACTCAGGGAGCTGGAGGACCGGCCCAGAGCAGGCTTCATGCCAGCACTGCAGCCCTGCCTGCTGCCTGTGGCCGGTCGGGGTATCCTGGGCTCCCTGCTCCTACTGTGGCCAGTTCCTCCCTAGGGCCAGGGCCAGCTTGGGCACAGGTATCCCTCCCCACCACTGTGTCCCCCTCCCTTTCCCTCCTTCCTCCTGTCTGGAATAGATCACAAATGGGGGACTCCACATACACGTGAACGCTGCCAGGTCGGACGCCTGCAGGCACCAAGGAGAGCTGGCGGGTGGGGGGTAAAGAAGGTGCTTTATCCTGGGACAAGGAAACATGCCAGTGACATTCACATCCTGAGGCTGTGACCTCAGGAACATCTCCTTCCCACTCCCACCCCCCAACCCTGGCACCTTGTGGATGGAGGGAGAGAGGGCCAGAGAAGGGAATTTGGCAGCCCTGGGCACCTTCTGGATAGAGGGAGCGAGGGCCAGAGAAGAGAAGTGGGTGGGCCCGGGCACCTTGTGGGTGGAGGGAGAGAGGGCCAGAGAAGGGAATTGGGCAGCCCCGGGCACCTTGTGGATGAAGGGAGAGAGGGCCAGAGAAGGGAAGTTGGCGGCCCCGGGCACCTTGTGGATGGAGGGAGAGAGGGCCAGAGAAGGGAAGTGGGTGGCCCCGGGCCATTCAGCACAAGCTCGTGGGCTGATGCCCAGGCTGGACTTCACTCCCCACCAGCCCCTAGACATGATGGACCTCCATTCTCTCTGGAAACCTGAGGCCCCTTCTCCATGCCCCCCATTCCTCCCTTGTCCCTTCAATCCACTCTCCCCTGAGCAGCTGTGCCCCGTGAAATCTTTCTAAAACCAAAACTTTATTGGATTCCACCCTAGCTTCAAACCTGCCATGCCACGTCCAGAGAAATCCCAAGCTCTTGTGTGGCATTCAAGGCCCTCCCTGCATAGCAGCAGCCAGGGCTGGGAGCCCCTGTCTGGATCCTCCCTCAGCCCCTGTGCAGGAACACAGATCACAGCAAAGACTATTTCATCTTCCCAGATCCAGCCTCCACCCTTTTGCTCTCACAGGTCCCGCCTCTTGAGTACACATTTTCCCTCCTCCGGGTCCCACTGCCTCTGGCCTCTGGGGCTCAGGGCCGGGGTGGTCAGGAGTGGCTGGTCTGGGCTGAAGTGAGAGTCTCCTTCTCCCCACCCTAGGTGGCCCACTGGCTTCAGTGCACAGAACTACTCTCCTCTTGGGCTCTCCACTGCCCCCAGCAGCTGGCATCAGGCTCAGCCTGACCCAGGCTAATTAAACCCTCCCCCAGCTCAGAGGAGGCTCTGGCTCTAGCTCTAGACTTCTTTCCCTGGAGGGACAGAGCTAATTAACCGAAAGGGTTTAATTAATCAATTAGCGTGGCCTCCAGACCCCTCCACTTAGCTGTGGCCATGGCAGATATTTATAAACAGGAGCTGCCAGACCCTTCTCTGGCTGGAACCTGACAGAGGGGAGGGCGGGCGATCATGGTGGGCACAGTAGCAGTGAACACGGCTGCAGAGGCAGGACGTCCTGTCAGAGCTGCAGAAGCGCCAGCCCCAGCTCCTGAGCACCACCAAAGGCCTGGGCAGATGCAGTCAGTGATGCTGGGACATGTGAGGGGACACAGTGAGGCAGATACTCGGGGGCCCCATGCAACACCTCTTTGTGCACAAGTCACACAGTTCTGACACCCAGAGCTAGGTAAGTTCCCAGAGGTGTCCCAGACATATGGCCAGGGGTGCTGATGATGTCCAGCTGGACACAGCACCCTAGCCACCAAGACCTCCAGGGATGGGCCTGCACAGAGGGCCATGGGAGCCAGAGGAGGCACCAGAACCCCAGCTGGAGGACAAGGTGAGGGAAGGCTTCCTGGAGGAGGAGACATGTGCACTAAACTCAGGGAAAGAGCAGACAGGCCAGGCGTGGTGGTTCACACCTGTAATCCCAGGTGGGCAGATCTCTTGAGGTCAGGAGTTCTAGACCAACTTGACCAACATGGCAAAACCCCATCTCTACAAAAAATACAAAAATTAGCTGGGCGTGGGGGCTCATGCCTGTAATCCCAGCTACTCAGGAGGCTGAGGCAGGAGAATCACTTGAACCCAGGAGGCGGAGGTTGCAGTGAGCCGAGATCGTGCCACTGCACTCCAACCTGCGTGTCAGAATGAGACTATGTCAAGAAAGAACGAAAGAACGGAAGAAAGGGAAGGAAGGAAGGAAGGAAGGAAGGAAGGAAGGAAGGAAGGAAGGAAGGAAGGAAGGAAAGAAGGAAGGCAGGCAGGAAGGCAGGAAGGCAGGAAGGCAGGCAGGCAGGCGCAGTGGCTCACGCCTGTAATCTCAGCACTTTGGGAGGCCAGGGCGGGTGGATCACAAGGTCAGGAGATCAAGACCATCCTGGCTAACATGGTGAAACCCCATCTCTACTAAAAATCCAAAAAAAAAAAAAAAAAATTAGCCGGGCATGGTGGCGGGCGCCTGTAGTCCCAGCTAATCGGGAGGCTGAGGCAGGAGAATGGTGTGAACCTGGGAGGCGGAGCTTGCAGTGAGCCGAGATCGCACCATTCACTCCAGCCTGGGTGACAGAGCGAGACTCTGGAAAAAAAAAAGAAAGAGAGAGAGAGAAGGAAGGAAGGAGAGAGAGAGAGAGAGAAGGAGAGAGAGAGAGAGAGAGAGAGAAAGAAAGAAAGAGAAAAAAGAAAAAAAGAAGAAAGAAAGAAAGAAAAGAAAAGAGAAAGAAAAGAAAAGAAGCCAGACACAGTGGCTCATGCCTGTAATCCCAGCACTCTGGGAGGCCGAAGCAGGCGGATCATCTGAGGTCAGGAGTTCAAGACCAGCTTGGCCAACATGGTGAAACCCCATCTCTACTAAAAATACAAAAATTAGCAGGGTGGGTGGTGGGCACCTGTAATTCCAGCTACTCAGGAGGCTGAGGCAGGAGAATTGCTTGAACCTGGGAGGCAGAGGTTGCAGTGAGCCAAGATCACGCCATTGCACTCCAGCCTGGGCAACAAGAGCAAAATTCTGTCAAAAAAAGAAGACAGAAAGAAGAGAAAGAGACAGAGAGAGAAAGAGGGAAGGAAGGGAGGAAGGGAGGGAGAAAGGGAGGGAGGGAGGAAAGAAAAGAAAAGAAAGAAAGAGAAGAGAAAAGAAAAGAAAAGAAAAGAAAAGAAAAGAAAAGAGGGAGCCAATTGAAGGGGGTGGTGGCAGGTGGAGAATATTCCAGGGGGAGGAAATAGCATGCACAAAGGCTGGAAGCAGGAACAGCAAGAGGTTCATCTCCACTAGAAGATGTCCCCTTCTGGGAGATGCCCCCAGACTACCTTACCTGTTGGAACTGGGTGTCCCTGACTCTCTGCCCCTCCAGCCTGTGCACTCCAGGAGGACAGCCCTGACTGGACACTCCCTCCCAAGCCTCCCCAGCTGTTGCCAGCCCTTCTCTTCCATTTCCCCTGCCCCACCCAGGTAACCTACAGGTGCATCGCAGTCCCTTCAGAAAGGGAGCTCCGGGCTCCTTCCCACAACATGCTGCTTTCCTCGGGCTGGCATGGGTGGGAGCCCAGCTGGTGTCAGGGATGGGAGGGGGTCAAAACCCAAAGGTCTCCTGACCTCTCAGGCCTGGGGTAGTTGAGAGCAGGGACTCTCAAGGCAGCCAGACCTGTGCCCAGACCCCAGTGGGGCCCCTTCCTGACACATGGCTTTGCAGTTCTCTGTCTTGGCTTCCTCATCTGTCCATGTGGGATAATCCAGCACCCCCTCCGAGAGCTGCTGGGGAGATTAAGTGAGTTTATCATGTAAAGCCTGCAGGACACCTGGCCCAGCACAAGGGCCATGGCTGTGTGTTATTATTATGGCTCTTACTGCAATTTGAACTGCCAGGTGACCGACTACATCGGAACAGATCCCAGGCAGGGCCAGGCATGAGGGGCAGCCATGGCAGGACCTCACGCCGAGGAATGATTCAGCCCCCAGAGCTGTCCTGGGCCCCTGCCGTGTTCCTGGCACTGCCAACACGTGGCTTCTCTAAATCAGCAACAGTAATAGCTGAACGTAAAAGACAAACAACTCTGCTTTCCTTTCAGAAGCCAGTCTGGAAAAATGGAAGCAGAGGTGTTTGTCCCAGAAATGCCACTTCTGGGCATGAGGCCCAGGGAAAGAATCTGAGATGCAGAAGAACCACACCCAGACTCCCTGCCCAGAGGTGCTGGTGAGACCACCTGAGTCCCAGCAACCGGGGAGGGACAGTGGTATCCAGCCTGCCTCTCTCCCAGCGGCTAGGGAATAGGGCTGCAGGGGCCTGGTGCCAGTGGTCTGGGGAGAAGTGTGAGCTGGGCCTTTGCTCCTGTAGTTCCTCCACCGGGAGCCTCATCCCAAGCCCCCATGCTAGGTTCTGTGGGGTGAGGAGAGAACTAGGTTTGGGGCATGCGAATTGGGGGACCAGAGGCAGGCTCAAAGGGGTGTGGTGCTGAATCTGAGGGCCAGATACCTCAGGGTCATTATTCTATCTCTCATCAGTGGAAACAGGGAATTGGAGAACTGAACGGGGGAGGAGGCTTGTCCGAGATCACACAGCAAATTGACAATAGTTGGGCCGGAGAGGTGCCCCTCAGCAGCGGTGGGGATGCCACAGCTAAATGAACTCACCTGGGCTCCTGTTCCAGAGGTCTAGGTGGGCAACAGGCCCTTCATCCTGCTCTCTCCTCTTGAATTGGCAATTCTTATCCCCACTGTACAGATGAGGAAACGGAGGCTCTGAGATGGGCCGTCAGGGCTGTGCTGTCCTGGGGGACTTCCAGGACGCTTAAGGATCTTGGGGCCCCTTGGCTCTCCCTGGGCGCCTAGCATGTGGTGGCACAATGAGGGTGAGGCAAGCTTCCCTCAGGGGAGGTGAGTGGGGGCTCGGGGTCCCGTGGGCCCACGCATGCCCGGGCTAAGCTTAATCCTTCTGCGAGGCACAGCGGCTGGCTTTCAGGCTGTGGATGTGGCATCAGACAAGCTGGGACCCTCTGTTCACACCATGGGTCTTGATTCCCATGGGGCCCAAGTCCTGCTGGTCTGCAGATGTGTCCTTCCCACACCCTCTCCAGCACTCCTGACCCACCCTCAACTACTGTCCTGGCCTCCTCCCTGTCCCCTGGCCTGCGCGCTTGCCTTTCAGGCCGCTCTCACTCACCAACTAGATCTTCATTGTGACAGCCAGACCCCATCAGCCCTGTGCCTGATGCCCTCTAGGGGCTCCCCTGTCCCCTAAAGAGGCTCCTCCCTGGCCCATGACGCCCTGTGGAAAGGCACTGCAGCTTCTCCTCTGCCTGCAGCCCTGAGGCCAGAGGAGGAGTTGAAGGCATGGAGGGAGGCGTGTGGAGACCCCACACATGCACGGAAGCTACACGGCAGACAATGGCCCCTGGAAGTGTGCGATAGGACAGCCCTGGGAAGGGGGCTGGCTGCCTGGGCAAAGAGAGGTTCTAGCAAGGGGCCGGAGTCTGTGTCACGGTCACCTGTGGGGGCTCATCTGACCCAGCCAGAGACAATGGGGCCAAGGCCTCTAAGAGTTGCTAATGATAGTCTTTAATGACCATGCCTGGAAAGGGATGACTTCACCCAGGACACACCCTGATGAGAGGAGGCTACAGTCACAGGCAGGCGGCTCCTCCATTGCTATGAGACCTGCATGGGCTTGTCTAGTCAGAGGATGGCAAAGCTGTGTGTGTGTGTGTGTGTGTGTGTGTGTGTGTGTGTGTGTGTGTGTGTGTGTGTGTGTGTGTGTGTGTGTCTGGTCCCTCACAGAGCCAGGGCCTAGTGAAAAGCCTCAGGGCAGCAGGGTGGGGGGCCCAGCTTCTACCTTGCCTCACTCTATGACACCCCTCTGCAAACCTCACCTTCCCCATCAGCACAGGGCTGGGAAGCAGAGTGATTCCCGAGCCTTCCCAGGGCTCTCAGGTAGGCTGGGTCTCAGGAGTCAGGTGAGAGCACTGTGTCCTGGTGGGGCCCAAAGAAAGCAGGGGAAAAGATGTCAAGGATCAGGACCTGAACACCCTCCATCGGGGCACCCAGAGGTTAACATGCTACTGTGCTCCCTACAGAGAAAGCTGGCTCCCATATCAGGCCCTCTGGCTTCTGCCAAGGATCTGGGGGTAGGTGTTGGTGTCCCAGACACATCCATTCTGACACAGAGGGAGGTACAGTGCAGTCATGCTGTTGGCCCAGGTGCACAGCACATGGGCAGTAGCAGGGAGGGGCAGGCTCCAGTGCAGGCTTGCCACCTACCCCCACCCTGGTCCATTCATGAGGAATGACTTTCCTCTGGGGAGGGGCCCTGTGGGGGTGGCAGGCAGAGCAGGGCCCTCTCCTGAGGGCTCCCTCTGCCCCCAGGCTCAGAGCGGGACCACCCTAGGGAAATGTTCATCTCTCCTGCGGTCTTGTCGGAACCCCTTCAAGGTCATCGCTCCACAGCACTCCAAGTGCTTCCTCGTATCCAGCCTTAGTCAGTCCTCATGTTGCACTTGATTCATTTATCAGAGGACAAGTTGAGGGCCCCATTATCCTGCCACCCAGTGTGACATCACCGAGCTTCCCTCGGGCATGTTCCCTCCCTGGGACTGCCCAGCCGGCACAGGAAATGGCTGCTGGATGAATGTGCAAGTGAGTAAGTGTCTTGGATCCTCCTCCCATGGGAACACTAAGCGGCTAAGGAGTGGACCAGCTCCCCGGGGTCCAGGCTGAAACGGAGGCAGAAACAGGGACCAAGGAGGCAAACAGGCTCAAGAGAGCAACAGGACTGGGGACAGAGATAAAGCAGGTGCACCCCCAGAGAGCCAAGTGTCCAAGAGCTCAGGACGGCTGCGCTGAGGGCCTCAGCCACAGATGGCCTGAAGCAAGCAGGGCCCGCTGGGGAGAGCATGGCAGAAACGGGGTGGGATAGGAGGAGCTCAGGACACGGGGCCATGAGATGGGAGCCCAAAACCCAGGGGTGGGGGACCACAGTCCAGTAAGCGTGGCCCGGCCCAAGGTCACAGAGCAAGGACCCAGGGCCCCAGCCTCTCAGCCATGACCTGGCCCTCTGTCCCCCAGCAGGGAACCTTAGCCAGGCCCAGTGCTGAGGTAGGAATTTCTACAGGTAAGGAGGACACAGACGGTCAGAGAGACCACTGGCCCCAGAGTGCACAGGGGTAAGTGGCGGGGCTGGCCCTCTTCAGGCAGTCCCAGTCCTCCGTCTGAAGAGCCGGCTCAGGAGGCGGCTGCCACTCCCACCCCCACCCCGTCCTGTGCTTGGGCACGCTGGCACTGCCAGGCACTTACTCGGTTTGTCGAGGGCCCAGCCCCCAGCCCAGCACCCGCGGGCTTCCCCAGGCCTGGGCGAGGGCAGCAGGAGGGAACAAAGGCCCAGTCTCTGCCTGCTCAGGCCCCCACCCCCTTTGCCTGCCCCTGGCACAGAAGGAACAGGGCCCTGAGGGAGCCCAGGAGCAACAGCAGCACCGCCCCCTTGTCGAGGATGCAGCAAGAAGCCCCCTCCTACCCACAGAGGCCTGCCGGCTGAGCGGCAGGATTCTTCCACGCTCCACATGGGAGTGTTAGGGGGTAGAACTGAGGGACTGCAGTCACACAGCTGAGATTTGCACCCAGGCCCCACAGTGGGCAGAACCTGCCCTCTACCCCTCTCCACAGGCTGCGCATGATGGTTGTGACTGCGTTCTGGTGCAGACTAACTGAAGAGCAGAGATGAGGGAGAGAAGAGAAGGAGAGCCTTGGGCACCCCAACAGAGCAAGTCCCAGGCTGAGCCGCCCTCACCCTCTCGGCCCTACCTACCTACCTTCCACCTGGATCCAGCTCAGTGCTGATCACACAGTTTGCTGAAGGGATAGAGCTGGGGAATGTCAGAAATGGGGAAACTGAGTCAGCTTCCAGGCCTCTTAAGTCCTTGACTGGGGCTCACCTGATCCAGCCAGAGGCAAGGGAGACCTAAGCCACTCTGGAGCCTCCATTTCCTGATCTGTAACTCGGGGCTTGTTGTCCACTGGGGCCTCACTTCCCCAGACTGTGGCCCCCATCCTTCTCCAGACCTCCTCCCTGCTCTAGCCCAGGGCCTCGCTTAGACCCCCACCCCCAGGGGAGCCTTGACAGAGGCCCATGCCCACCCTTCCTTGTACACGCCTGAGCACGGCTGATTCCTCCCTGTGAGCCCAGGCCAATAATGTGCTCTTCATGCCACAAAGCTGAAAAGCACTCAGGAACCAGGTGCAATCGGCCTAAGGGACCTGTCCAAGGCCACCCAGCCCTTAAGAAGCAAAGAAGGGCTGACCTGTCACTACCCACTGATATCTCAGGACCTGCAGGGGCAGGGTTAAATGCACATTCCCCTCTCACCCACACGGCAGCAAGAGAAAGAGTTAGGGTCCTGGGGGCTGCAATCTGGGCAATGCCTAAGCAGACAGCCTCAGACAATGAAGGGCGAGTCAGGACTCAGTTGTGTCAACTTGGTATATACAACCTCTCCAAGCCTTGATTTCAGCAGAAGCCCACAGAGAAAGCCCTGATGCCTCTGCCTGCCAGTGCCTAAGGGCTGGGGAAATGCCACCTGCCCCAGCTTCATCCAGAAACTGTGGCTGCTCCCTCCCATCTGCGGGGCACCTTGATTAGTCTAAGTGGCCAGCAGACCCCAAGCAGAACCAGGCCAGTGCCTCACACAGAGCAGGCACTAGGATGCCTGTCGACAGCACTCCTTCCCCTCCTTCCCAGGCCCCAAGCCCTTATCGGACACGACTCATTTTAAAGAAAAAATAATATTTATTTGCAATATAAACAAAGTCCCGTTGTTGGTTCGGGATATATATATATATGTATGTGTGTGTATATATATACGTAGGGTCACAAATCTTCCTTCATAAGATCATAAAGCAAAACTGGCCACCTTCTGGCATACCCTCATTTACACAAATCTGGTACATCTTTCTGGGTTTTCTTTTTAAAAATAAAAGAGAGAAAAAGAGAACCATGTACAGCATGGAAGCTTGTTGTCAATTTCTCGACTGTGGCAAGATTTTAATCTGCTGCGCTAAAGAATCCCTGAAAGCCACCCCCGTGAGGTAAGAAGCAGTGGGGCAGAGTTTTTCTGTGGCCTCACTCACATGCTGAGTGCTGCTCCGTCAGGGACCCTGGCCTGACTCCTCTGCCTGCCCCAGGCCCCCATGCAGTCCTGACACCTGGTGGAACTGAGGCTGGAGAAGGAACAAAACTGGAGGAAGATAACGGAATCCGTGGCTTCGTTCTGTGGAGGCAGGGGGAAGTGAACAGAGCCTTACCCCCCTTCTGCTGGTCCATCCTTGCCCCACTTGCCCCCGCCCTAGGGTTGAAATGGGTGCAAGTCTCCTGGCAGTAGAAGGCATGGGCAAGATGAGGGCAGGGCAAGCTTCCAAGGGGACAAGGGGGCTGGGAGTGGCCAGACCAAAGCAACAGCTAGGGAGAAGGAAGAACCTGGAGGTCGGGCTGGGCCCCACCACCTAATGTCTCCCCAGCCACTGGGCCTCCACTCCCAGTTACAACAAGAGAGAGGAAAGGAAGAGAGAGGGAGGGGGGGAGAGAGAAAGAAAGAGAGAGAGAGGGAGAGAGAGAAAGAGAGAGAGGGAGAGGAAGAGAGAGAGACAGACAGACAGACAGAAGTAGTGGCTAAGTATATAAAAGGGCTCAGAGCCCAGGCCTTCTTAGGGGCTGACCCCAGAGGGCTAATGCTACTGCCTGGCAGCCCCCTGCGGCCCACCTCCTGGGGGACAGCGGCAGGGCCCCAGGGTCCCCACCTTCTGCCTCAGGGAGGTCTGCAGGGACCACCAGAGGGATGGATGAGACGGCAGAAAATGCAAAGACCACCATCCAGCCCACCAATCACAACTTGCAGCAGTCATCACAGGCGAATGCAGAGCTAAGTCAGACTGGGCCAAGGGTGGGAGGCGGCACGACTGGGGGTCCCAATACCTGAAGAGCAGTAAGCCACCCCTTCAAGAAGGGCCCGCTGAGGAAACAGAGGCTTCACACATGTGCAAAACGCATTTGGTCAAGGTCAACATGGCGTCTGTCTTTTCCATTAAAAAACAAAAACAAAAACAAACACGATACTTGCTTTTTGAAATTGAACGAAAAACAAAACTGAACATTTCTCTCTCTTGCAGGATCAGGAAAGGGATGAAATACTGGGTTATACAATCCACTGTTGCATGTAGCCTGAAAATAACACTTTTTGTTAAAAAAAAAAAAAAAAAAGAAAAATCAAGAAGAGCTCAAACACTCTTTGTGCTCCAGGGAGCTTGGATTTACCTGCCAAAAGTAAAAAGTAAACTCAGGTCCGTGGATGTGTCTTTAAAAAACAGCCAAACTGGCTGGGCTGTCAGCAGAAAGGAGCGTCCTGGACAGGATGAGGCCCTGGTGGACGCCCAAAGCCACGTGTCCAAGAGCCGAGGCCTCTCCAGCAAGCCCTGCAGTGGGAGACCTTGCCTGCGGGCCCTGCCCCCAAGGATGGTGAGGGGCGCTCCGACACCGATCAGCCTGGGCCTCTGGGCACAGGTGACATCTGGGGGTTCCTCAGGCCAGAGGTGGCGGGCTTGGGCTCTCCCACCTAGCCCTGTGGAGAGCCGAGCAGGGGCCTGGTGCCATGCCCCCCGTGCACCAGGCCTCACGTGGACTCCAGCGTATTGAGTGGGAACAGGTTGTGGTTGGTGGGCGTGGAAAAGTAGAGCTGCTCACTCGACGCGTGGTTGTCGCACGGGCTGCTTAGCCCCAGCGTCCGCTCAAAGTCCAGCAGCTGCCCCATGAAGTTGAAGTTGGGCGAGATGTTGGACTTTTTCCTCTTGACAAAGTCGTAGGCGTCGTTGAGTGACAGGTTCATCTTCTGCATCAGATAGGCCACAGTGACCGTCACTGAGCGGCTGATGCCTGCCAGGCAGTGCACCAGGACACCACACTTCTTGGAGCGGGCTTCGTCTGAAACACATTGGCATGGGTCAGGGAGGTGCCTCCTTCAAGGAGCCTTCCCACATGGGTGGGCAGGTGGGGCTGGGGCACAGAGGGCAGCATGGTGGCTGGCTGGTCTTGCCCGACCCCTGAGGGACCTGGCCAAGCCCAGTGTGGGTAGGGCAGCAACTTGGAATAGAGGTCAACAGCACTGCTGTGGAGAGGGCTCTGCACACTTTAGCCCCAAGGCACTGGACACCCGTGTCTGTTTCCTCATCTATAAAATGGGCCTATTTATGCACAGTGGTCTCATAAGGACCTGAGCCAAGTGAGGGGTCAACAAACATGAACTACTGTAATGCCTGTGATCATGGCTAGTCCTACCACTGCCATGTGCGTTAACGACTGCTGTCACGGGTGTCACCTGCATCCTCTTGGGTCATCTGCACCATGGCCAGTAAGCCCATTTTATCAACGAGGAAACAGACACAGAGACAAAGTGGCAAGCCCAAGGCCACACAGAAGCTCCTCCTAGCTCAGCGCCCGCTGCTGCCAGGCCATGACCTGGGACTGGGGGCTGGGCTGGTTCTCTTGGAGCCGCTCCCATGGGTTGTCCCTGAGAGTCTTCTAGGAAAGTGGCCTGAGGGAGGCTCCTCTGGAAGGAAGTAGGTGGCCTGGCCCTGCATTTCGCTCTGCCATCTGCCCAGCTAGTCCCCAAGGCCTTAACTCCAGCTCCTAAGACACATGGACTGGGATGATGGCCACACTATCACTTGTGATGGGGCTTCATAAGTGAGGTGTGCTTAAATGGGCCCCACCCCTGCCACTTGCTAGACCTTCCTCAGGAGGCCCATGTGTCAGTGATATCTCCTACCACAGCTGACTGGATGGGGCCAACCTTCCTGTCCCCTTTCCCCTCCAACCCTCCCAGCTTCCCCCAGTGCCACCCTCAGACTCCTCTGTCTGACACATAGAAGCTCAATAAATACTGGCCGAGCTACTGAACAACTCAGTCCTGTAATCTCTCCTGGACCCCGGGGCAGCTGCCTCTCTGTGTGCCACAGCTGTGCCAGGGACATAGATTCACAAGAGGCAGCCATGGGGTCCTTGATGTCCCCACCACCCTGACTCTGAACCCTCCAGGAGCCAGGCACACAGCTAGCACGCAATCAATGCCTTCCTACAAGATGACATACGGGTTCACCCACTGTTCTTCGTTGCCTTTGTCCTGACAGAGCTTCCTCTCCCATCCCCTCCCAACCAAGGAGTAAAGCATACAGTAGGTGCTTCCTCCAGACTCAGGGACTGACAGGGGGCCCCATGGCTAAGGCACTGGGGCAGGATCATCTGGCAAGGAGACAGACATTGCAGCTTCATGAGGAGCTGTGTGGTCAGACCTCGAGATTGGGGGTGGGAAAAGGGGGTGCTGGGACCAGCCTCCAGTGGTGACACCAGGATGTGAGGAACGCCTGGCCTCCAAACCCACCTCCAGGTGATCCAAAGACAGTCTGTTTCTGCTGGCTTTATTTTTGGCCTTTTCAGGGTGTAGCTGGTGACTGATCCTGTCCCACTGACTCCTAAGGGATGCCTGGGCCTCAATTCCTTCACTTGTCAAATGAGGAAAAAGGTCCCCCTACCCAGACGGGGAGGAGCTTTCAGGAAGGATAAAGGTACCCACTAGCCAGGCCCAGCCTGGCGAAGCCTGCTTCCCTCTCTCTATTCCCCTCCCTCGTTGGGGGAGTTCAAATGCTGAGGCAGCACCCCTAGCCCTCTTGACCCAGGGGGTGGTGGGCAGGGCTGAGAAGCTCCAGGCAGCCCCAGTTGCAGCCCCTCCCCCAGGCCTCAGCTTCCTTCCTTCCTCCCAGCCAGGCACCTACTTTTGGTTCCCAGTAAGCGGATGAGGCGGGGAAGCCTCCCACTTCCTGTTGTTAAAGCTAGCCCAGCCCAGCCGACACCAAAACGCCCTCCACTGGACACAGCCACCATCGGGAAAAGACAGCCCGGGCCACCCCCACACCTTGCCACTGGAGGCTGGGCAGAAACATTGGGTCACCAGGCTCAGAGATAGAGCGTTTACATTCATCCTGAGCCCTCGTGCCCCTTCCTTGCACCCTGGGCCAGGGGAGATGACCTGTGGTCTCAGCCTCCAGCTGGCCAAGGAGAAAGCAGTGGGGACCCGAGTCTGCTGAGGCTGGGGATACAGGGACTCGAAGGGCACTAAGCCAGACAGCAGGACACACTGCTCTGGGGAAGGCCTTTCTCCACTCCCCCACCTTCTCTTGCACTCCTCCCTACACTCCAAGCAAGCCCTACAGGCTGCAGAGAGCATCTGGAGGCTGACTGAGCTAGCAGTCACCACATTTCAATAGCTGCCTGTTTGGGGTGTGCCTCTGGCTCCAGGGCTACCTTTCAGCCCTCTTAGGTCCACATTAAAGCCCAAAGAGGCACTATGACAACCCCATCCTGGAGAGACACGTGTGCTGAGGCGTGATGCGGAGCAAGTGAGACCCGTGGGAGGTCTGTGCGCTGTGATGTTTCAGCTTGCTAAGCCCGAAACAACATCTAAGCCAGGAAAACACAAGCTGGACAGCAGAGAGCCCATGACGTGCTGTCAGCTAGGGGGAGCTCAGGACTCAGGAGACTGCTCAGGCCCCAACAGGTAGAGGGGCCCAAGGGACTCGGTGACTCACAGTAGGCCTGGGTACACCCACGGGCACACGCTGGCACACGTAGGGCACACACAGGTCTCAACAGGCCCAGAGGTACCCAGTCAGGCGGGGGCGCCACCCAGAGTCCTGCATACACCTTGATGCACCCACACCCCCCTGCCCAGCACACAGCACCTACCAATGAAGCTGATGGCCTCAGGGAAGAACTGGGAGAGGTTCTGGCTCCAGTGGTCAGAGATGGGGATCTGCTTGTAGGTGAACTCGCCGCCGTGCTCGAAGGCGTTGGGTAGGTTGGGTGTGACATTGAGGATATACTTGATGCCATACTTGCCGAGCACGTCCAGGTTGGTGGAGTCCTTGGCGCAGCCGAGGTAGAGGTAGGGCAGGATCTGGACAGGGAAGGCTGGTTGGCTGGATGGCACAGGGCTGCCGTCTGACTCGGTGGCACTGCTGGGCAGCTCTCGGTCCGACTCGCCGTCGGAGCAGTCAGAGCTGATGCGCAGGCCCCCCAGGCCCAGCACTGAGGTGGGTGGCGAGCTGCTCGGCGAGGAAGAGCTGTCCACGTTGGTCTCGCAGTGCTCAGAGTACTCTGTTTGAAACTTGTTGAAACCACCTGTGTCCAGGGTGAGACAGGGCCTGGGTGAGAGGCTGGTGAGAGCCCAGATGGGCTGCACAAGACCAGAGATGGCCAGGACTCTGCACGCCAAACACCACAGCACCCACGGTCAGCATGGGCCATGCCAAGCATGTTACACGTGTGCCCTCTCTCGTGTTCTCTCCATCTAAACCATGACCACTTCACAGATAAGGAAACTGAGGCCCCAGAAGGTGAAGTGACGTGCCTGGACTCCAAACTGGTACCCATAACACTTCGGGGCCCCCAGCCATGGCACCAGCTTTAGGGCACTTGAGGACAGGCCCCAGCTAATTCCTCTTCTGCAGCTCCCACGCACACCTAGCACCCATGGGTGTTCAGTAACAGCTAAGTGGTAAAGAAAAGCAGACAACCCCATCTTAGCCAGCACCTCTGGGTTGGCAAACTCCTCTTATAGATGAGACCACAGGTGCCAGAGCCACATCTGGCTCAGTTAGAGGCAGAGAGGTCCTGGGCTTCCTGAACGGGAGTCTAGTGGTTGCCCAGCCCCGAAACTACAGCTGGGGAGGGTAGTGGGAAGGTACTGGCTGGCCCCTTCCCCCAGCAGGGGCAGGTTTTTGAAGGGGGTCCTGGCTCCACTTCTCTAGAACCCTCCCTTAGAACACAAGCCCCACCCCCAGCCTTGGACCTGCAGCGGGGGAGGGCCACTGGGGCGATACAGGGACAGGAGAAATGGGGAGCCCCTTGCAGCGAGGCATGGGCCCTGCGCCCGAGGGTGCCGCAGGCCTCCCCTCCCCTCCCGCCCGCCCCGCTGCCAGCAAGAGGCCATTTTGGAATGTTAATTGGAAACACCGGCCTCAGCCACTCGCCCCCCGGTGCTACCTCTCCCTTCTGCAAGCTCCGGGGCAGCAGGCTAGGGACCTGGGGGTCCCGAGAGACCCGGGCCAGGGCAATGGAGCCTGCCCATACCCTGCCCCAAGCGCCTCCTAGAGGCGGCAATTCTCCGGTGGAAGAAGCAATTCCCGGATCCAGGAGACCCCAACCCAAATGGTCTCCATGCGCTGGAGGTGAGGATGGTGCTATGAAAGGTGCCCTTCCTGATCCTGGCCTTCCAGAAACACGAATTCTAGGCTGGACTTGGGCGCCCTGCCGCTTTTAGGGTTCTGGGAGGCGGCGCCTTCCACCTCTGAGGGGCTCCACTGGAGCCCAGGCACTACTGTCGCCCCATCAACAGGAAAAAAAAGGAAACCCCAGGCAGGGGAAAGTTTGTTCCACCCACTCGAATCGTGCCGAGAAAGGGGGCGCAGAGGGAGCCCCGCGCCTGCCAAACCACACAGTGGGGACCCGGCTCCAGGAGGGCGGATGCGGGCCGGGGACGACGTGGCGCCCAGAGGGGCAGGCCGAGCGCGTGGAGAGGAAAGCGCCTCCAAGGGGGGCGTCAGGGAGTCGCGGGGGGGCCCCGATCCCGTAAGGCGTCTCGGTGCCGCCCTCACCTTGGAGGTAGTAGGCCTGGCAGCCGTCGTCGCGCAGCTTCTGTAGGAGCAGGCCGAGCACGGAGGCGGGAGCGCCGGGCTCGGGCTGCCACTCGGCCGTGGCCTCGTCGTAGAGCAGCACGGTGGCCGCCTTGCAGCGCGTGGCGAAGCGCTCCTTGTCGGCGTGGTTGGGGATGATGGAGCGGATGGGCAGGTTGCCCTTGCGCAGGCGGCGCAACATGAGGCCCGGGATGGCCAGGTTGATGGCCGTCTCGATGTGCGACGACTCGAAGAGCTCGTGCGGCCGGCAGTCGAGCAGCAGCAAGGACGCGCCGCCGCGCGCCTCCAGCTCCTCCTGCAGCCACTCGGCGCTCTTGCAGGGCATGGCCCCTGCCCCCGTCGCCGCGCCCGCCCCGGTGCCTGCGCCGGACCCCGACCCCGCACCGGGCTCGGACCCCGCCCGGGTGCCCCCAGCCGCCGCCGCCCCCGAAGTCGACATGTGCGCCCGCGCTGGGGGGCCGCGGAGCTGGTTTTTCATGGGGAGCGCGGGCGGCCCGGGGCCGGGGCCGGGCAGCCCTGCCCTGGGACGGCGCCCCGGCCGCGCGGGCCCCAGCCGCGTCTCCGGGCGCCCGCCTCCCGCCGAGCTGCGCGCCCGCCGCCCCGGCCTCCCGGCCTCCCGGCCTCCGTCCCGCCCGCCCGCCCGGCCCTCCGCGCGCACCGCGGCCTGACAGCCCCAATTAAACGGCGGCTCCGGCGGCCGCGCGCCGAGGCGTTCTCCGGGGGGCGGGGCCGCGGGGGCCGGCGCCCGGGCTTAAAGGCGCAGCGCCTCCACCGCCCCTCCCCACGGGGTATGCGGGCGCGCTCGCGACCCGAGCCCGGGAGACCAGCGGCGGGGCCCTCCCCCACCGCCTCCGCACCGTTGCCCCCTGGACTAGCTCGGAGCTGACTACGATCCGCCTAGGGACCCCGGCCTAGACGCCCTCATGGGTTCACTCTGCGCGTGCTCCCAAGCTCTTCTGGACACTGCGGGAAGAGAGGCCCTGGGGGCGTCCTATGCCTGGCACCCCCACCCCACATTCACAACAGCATAGTTTTCCTGGGACGGGGCGTGGTGGGGGGGATGGTCAAGCTGAGCAACCTCTCCTCCTCCCGCCTGTCATCCCATTCATTTTTTCTGTCATCGAGTTCATTCAACAAATGAGAACTGAACGCCTACTACGTGCCAGGCACTGTGCTAGGCGGTCACCGTTTCAGAGGACCTCATCGTTCCCCTGACGGTCACAGGCTCCAGACCTGAGGGAGAGCGTCTCACGCCAGCAGGCCTGATGGGAAATCAGGACCTGGGCAACTGGCGGGGTAGGAAGACTCAGGGCCGTGCCACCTTCCGTGGGCAGGTGTGGAGAAATCCTAGAAAGGACCAGCTTTGGGAAGGGATCGCGAGCCCTTTAAGAAAGCTTTACAAGCGGGGTGGTGACAGGCGCCCAGTGAAGCGCCACGTGACTTTTTCCACGGGGCCGGTGGGAGGGGAATGCTCCTTTATAATCAGCTTTCCTTCCCCTGCCTCCCTCTCAACGGACCAATCAACTTCCGCGGTAGGCGGGCGCCTGCCATGCAGATGGCCAATCCTGGCCGAAAGAGGCGGTGGCGGAGGGAGGCGGGGCCCGCCGCGGTTTCCACCCAGGGCGGGGAAGTGGGCGGGGCCTCCGCCCGCCCTGTGTGTCGATTTGCAGGCAGGCGGGGCAGCGGAGGTGAATGGACCCGCAGGTAGCGCTAGAACAAAGCGGCTAGACGCAGGCGGCGCGCTTGCGTAGGACCTGCAGTGCTTTCCCTACGGAGCCAGGGTGGCAGCTTGAGGCTGGACCCTGCCGTCTATCTGGTCCATTCTTTTGCCTGGCGGGGTGCCCCTCCTTGGGGCTTAACCCCCCGACTCCGCCCGAGGCTGGTCGGCTCTGAGACACCTTGCCCCCATCCCTGACTGGGGGAGCGGTGGTGCTTGAGGGACGGCCTCTGGAACCCCGAGGATTTGAGCTTTCCGCTAACCTCTGACCAGAAGGCACGAAAAGGGGTGACTCAGGAGCAGTCCCCGCCTGTCTTTCAAGCGAGGGATAGTCTTTCGGAAGAGTTTCATCCTGGGCCACAGGGCTGTATCCCAAAGGAGCAGGGGTCTCTCCCACAGTCACATTCTCAGAGTGTGAAAGGAGAAGCAACTCTCCGCCCAAGGTTGTCCTGGGGGTCCTGGGCCTGTGGAAAGAGCTTCCAGGGCCCAAGATGCCAAGACCCAGATTCTGTCCTGCCACTTGCAGGTGTGTCCTGTGACCTTAGTATGGTTCTTCCCTCTGGGCCTTGGGTCTCCCAGTGTAGGAGAGTGCTAGTGTGGACTGAGCCCAATCCGTCTATGAATCCATCCGGCTGGGAGGACGTGGTCTGAGGACAGGCCTCTCGGCTGGCAGGCTGGATGCTGCTTGTCAGGGATGGAGGCAGCACTCAAAAAAGAGGCCTGAGCAAACTCCCAGGGGAGGGTGAGCTGCTGAGCAGTGCACCATTCACTCAGCAAGCCTTGCTGAGGGCCTCCTGAGTACCAGCCTGCCTGGAGCCGGAGTGACAACAGTGGAGCCTCCATCCTCCACTCAGGCCTGGCTACCTCTCCCCTCTGCTCCACCATGGGGTTGGATGCCGGTCTGGGTGCTCTCCCAGGCCTACCACAGGATGAACACAGACCCCTCTTTCTCTAGGGCAGAGACTGGTCTTGGTGTTCCCTCCCCAGACGGGTCCATGGTAGCTCAAGAAGGTGTCAAGTGCCCAATAAGTCAGGGTGACATCCCTGAGGGGCAGGCCAGAGTCACATCAACAGAAGGCTCATGCTGTCCTCAAGTGAGACTGGGCGCGTGTCCCACGGCGCTGAAGCATACTCGCTTCTGAGTGCCTGGTGAGGAATGGGCCATTGCTCTCACTAGCAAGGGAACAACTGAAATGGGAGCCTCCTCTGAGCCTCCCCAGCCCCCACTACCCAGGCATGAGGAAGAACTACCCTAGAGAGAGGAAAGGGGTCCCGCCATCCCTCACATTAGCCTGCAATGACTCCTGTCTCTCTCCCTTTAGACTCCTGTAGTGGGGGATACACCCTGGAGGAGAGATCTGTGAGAATGTGTGAAAAGCTCCTGCAGCAGGAGGAGAGGGCGTCCTCTAACAAGGAGGTAAAGAGAGGCAGATTTGGATGAGTGCAGGAGAAGGGGGAGCATGTGGAGAGGGGGTGACAGTGGAAGCAAAGGGTTGGCAGGAAAATTAACCAGCCCCTGATGTGCCAGCAGGACCCTGGGCCCCCACCGGGCAGGTTGGAGGAGGTTGGAGGAAAGGCCCTAAGTCTTGGTTCTCACTGTGGGGAAGAACCCTCAATCCCAGACTTACAAGGCCCAGAGCAGGGCAGGAACTCGCCTATGGTCACATGGCAAGAGACCAGAGCTGTCCCTGTCCGGGGCCTTGCCTGGCAGCTGTAGGCTTCCCTCAAGGGAGAGGGTCGTTCTTGGCAGCAACCTGGTGCCCTGGGTGATTCCAAGGCCTTGGAATCATTCTTCCTCTTTAGAAATGTGGTCTTTCCTGCCTTTAGGGTTCAGGCCTTCCCTCACCTGCAGCTCCCAGGAGGGGTGTCCAGCTCACTAGGGTCTCCCTGAGGGGCAGGGTGGGGGAGTGGGAAAGAGGCTGCTGGAAAAGCTCTGTCCCTGGGGATGAGCTTGTTTCAGGAGGGAGAGGGGAAGTGCAGGTGGGACATGCTTGAACTCTCTGAGGGCTGTCCCTCCTTCCCACACAGCCCCAGGCCTTTGCACAGGTATTTCCCCTGCCTGGACAGTTTTCATCCTCAGCCTTTGCCTGCCTTCTGATCCCAGCTCAGTCTCTGAGCACAGAGGCCTCCTCTGATCATCCGGGCCCAGATTAGCTTCCCTGCTGGGTGCTCCAAGGACCCCGTCCCCTCCTCACCCCATCTTTGCTCTGCACCCTATCACAGTCACTGTCCACCACCCAACACCATCCACTACCACACCACACTGGTCACCCGGAACGCCCAGGGGCAAGTCTGCCCTGCCTCAAGCCTGCTGCTCCTCCTGCCATCCCTTCTCATCGCGATCAGCCAACTGCCAGGCCTGAACCCACAAGGCACGTCTGGAGCTGCCTTCCCTGTCTGCACACATCCAACCTCAGAACCACACAGAGAAGGGGCCTTCCTGGCAGCACAAGGCCTCGCCATGGTGGGTATGTTTCATGGCCCTTTGCTATTCCTCTGGGAGGAGCTGAGGGTCCCTAAGAGCAGATGTGAGCTAGTATGTACCCCCTTCCCCCCAACACACACATTCATATGGCTGGTTGACCAAGGAGCTGTGTCATCAGAACAGTTCAAGTGCCTAAGAAACAGATTTACCTTTTCCCACTACTGCCCATGGATTTCTTGCAAACGGGCCACCATGCTTCTAATGGACAGGCTGAGGCGAGGGGAGGGTCAGCTCCTTGCCCTCCTGGTCCTAAGGAGGCTGGCACAAATCTAAGCTAAGGAGGCAGCTTTCTACTATGGGTCTGTCTCACATCCCACTGTAAGGGATGAGCAAGGGCTGAGCAGTCTCTGGTGCCTGTTGCTGGAGAGTAAGCCAGCCTCTGCCCAGACCAGCTCCACCAGGCTGGAGAGGTGCTCCGATGGAGGCCTGCTGAGACCTAGACTTGGTCTGCTTGCCCTTGAACTTTGGGACAGCTTCTTCCCCAACCCTTGGTGGGGTGCCTGCCTGGGCCGGTGTTCAGACAGCAGCATCTAAGCCAGGCCAGGAGAGGACTGTGAAGGGATGGCAACTCCTCTGCCCTGTATAGAACTCCTGGCTGCACACATACACATATACATGTAAGGATACATACAACACAGGCACCAACACACATAGTCCTACCCATATAACCACATATGCTCATGGGCACATAAGTGTATGTACAGAAATACACAGATAAGGACCTATACATGTGTGCAAAAATACACAATACACGTGCACACACACTCTGTTGTATGTAGATACACACGCTTCCAGACCCACATCTGGGCGCTCGCCACTCCTATTGGGGGATACCCACAGACATGTCCTCCAGAGGGGTGGTTACCAAGCTGGCGGGATGCACGGTCCTCTCCCCTCAGCCCTCTAGTCACCTAGGCTCACATTGTCCTATTGGCTGTTGCTGGTATCTCCATAGCAACAGGTTCTGGATGGAACCGGGGTCCACCCCTGCCTTTCCAGCAGGGGCCTGCCAGGCCCTGGGTAATGGCAGTGTAGTGTGGGAAAGCTGGGACAGCTCTGGGGTGGGGGAGCCACATGCCTATTTATCTGCTCCCTCTCCTGCCCAGGTGTACAGGGCAGACCTGGTGAGAGTGCAGGGCCTGGGGGAGCAAGTAGCCCTGGCAGAAAAGTGGGTCACACCCAGGATGATTAGAGCACAAGACATGGCAGGACGGAAGCAAGGGCCTGGGAGATCTGTGGGGAATCCCCAAGGCTGCTTGGAGAAGGCAAAGGGAAGAGGGAGGAGAGAGCCCGGCCAAGAGGGAAGCCTCCTTGTTCATTCTCAGACATTTTCTCAGCACCTGCCCCATACCAGGGAGTGTGCAGGACAGTGAAGGGGGGACTCAGATGGCACAGACCAACATAATTCTTCTCTCTCAGAGCTCCCCACCCAGCAGTGACAGGGCAAGCCCTTGGCCAGCCTCTCCACGTGGAGTCCCTGGGGTCACTCACTTGAGGGTGTACCTTTCCAATCACAGCCCAAGGGGCCAGCCCAAGGATGGAAAACAGAGGACACACATCTACTGCTCTTCCATGCTTTGTCCCTGGCAGACATTACTAGTCAACCACAGCACATTTTCTTGCTGAGCCATGCCCTGGTCTCAAAACCCTTCCAAGCAGGCATGACCAGCTGATTGTCATAGGCAAGAAAGCTAAAACCTATTTGCTTAGGTTTTAGTTCATAGCCAGACCAGCTATGCCCTCCCTGTCCCCACCGCTAGCTCAGCTCACCCTGACTTTCTCCTGCTTGCTCCCTACACTGTGTGCCAGATACAGTGCCCCTGCCTCCACATGTGCCTTCATTCCATGCCCCCACCCTCTGAAATCATCTCCAGCTTCTTAGGGGCCACAGCTTCAGGAGGCCTTCCCTGCCTCATTGCAACAGTCTGCACCTTCTCCTAATCCTTTCCTGTGGGGCCCAGCATTTTACTTCATTTTGTTTTATTTTTATTATTAGTTTTTTTGAGACAGGGTCTTGCTCTGTCATCTAGGCTGGAGTGCAGTAGTTTGGCCACAGCTCACAGCAGCCTCGAACTCCTGGGCTCAAGTGATCCTCCCGCCTCAGCCTCCCAGAATGCTGTGATTACAGGTGTGAGCCACTGCACCGGGCCAAGTCCAGCATTTTCTACCCTCTACCCACTTAAGGGCACCTCAGCCTGCAGGGTCTAGGGTGGGGCTTCACCTCTGTGGCTTCTTCCCCTAGATTAGCCTCCCTTTCATCATTGAAGTCCCATCTCCCATGAGGTCACCAAGGTCCTGGGCCCCACCCTGCCCTCCATTCCAAGCTCTCCCAGGCATGGGGTCCCCCCTCAGAGCAATGGGGATCTGCTGGGCTGGTCAGCCTAGGCAAATGAGCATTTAAAACTCTGCTGGGAGCCAAGTTGGGACTGATGTCGAGAGGGCCTGGTTTCTGTTCCTGCAGAAAGGCCACACCCTGCTTTGTCCCCACTCCATTGCAGCCTCTTGCTTTCACATCCTCAGCCCTGTATTCACCCCGGATTCCCCAGTGGGGTGAGCAGAGCAGGACTTGTCTGGCCGTTCTACAGATAGGAAAGCTGAGGCCCAGGAAGGGAAGTGTCTTGCCCAAGGGCCTGGCTCCAGCCCCAGCCAGTTACTCACTCACCCACCAGGCCTGGGGTGAGTCATGGTGGCCCAGGTGATGGGAAGGAAACACATAAACATGGGCAAGTGGGAAGGACGGTCTGCAGGGAGGGTGGATGCCCGCCTTGGGCTCCCAGTGATGAGTTCCCACACAGGCTGTCTTGGGCTTAATGGGCTTGCACACTCCCATCTGTCTCAAAACATCTTTCCTTCTGGCCTCGAATCCAGGCTTTGCATCAGCCCTGGGAGCACTGCCAGCCCATTTGACAAATGGAGAAACTGAGGCCCATGGCCACAAATCAAGCAGTGGCAGCGGGCTGGGCTCCAGACTAAAAACCTAGAGCTCCTTTCCCGCGCCCAGGGGTTCCCAGCTGGCTCTGACTGTGGCTCCAGTCTCCTCCAGGCTCAAGTACAGTCCACAGGGAGCCCTGCTCTGCCAGCTCTTTCCCGTCTCTGGGGAGGCCCAGCGCTAGCAGGGTGGGAGACAGACTGGGAGGACAGGCAGCTGTGCATGCCCATAAAGAGAAGGGCTCTGTCTTCCACAGAACATTCGTGCTACCAAACGCCTTTTCCACTTCCATGACAGAGATGGCTAATCCATCCCAGTACTCAATTTCAGAAGCCATCTGGCCACCACTACACAGCCCAGATTCTCCCCCTTCTCCCCTAGACCACCTCCCGTGCCTCCTCTCCAGGCCTCTGCCTCCATCCCGACAGTCATTCCCCACACAGCAGCCAGAGGGATCTTTTGAGAAGGTGGAGGCAGCCTCTCCTCCTCCACAGCCTCCCACTGTCCCCAGCATAGAGTCTACACTCTGCATAGAGTCTACACGATGCTCTGTGACCCCTCCCCTCCCTCTTCTCCTCGTCCTGGATTCTCCAGCAGCTTTCACTCTCTCACCCGCACTTCCCCAGCCCGGGCTCCTTCTGCAGGGCCTCTGCCCTCACTGATCCCCCTTCTGAAACCCTCTTCTCCCAGCTCTCGCCTTTGACTACCTTCTTATTCTGTCCCCCAAACCCACTCATCCTCTGAGGGCCACAGTGGGCACCTGGGAAGTGGCAGAGCCAGGATTGGAACCCTGGCCTACTTCTAGACTCTTCTGTGTTGTCAGCCATGAGCACATGGTCCTATGATTTAAACATGTTTGGGGCCAGGCGTGGTGGCTCACACCTGTAATCTCAGCATTTTGGGAGGCTGAGGTGGGTGGATCACTTGAACTCAGGAGTTCGAGACCAGCCTGGGCAACATGGCGAAACCCCATCTCTACAGGAAAAAAAAAAAAAATTGCTGGGTGTGGTGGTGCATGTCTGTAGTCCCAGCTCCTCAGGACACTGGGTGGAAGGATTTCTTGAGCCTGAGGGGCAAAGGCTGCAGTAAGCCATAATCATGCCGCTGCACTCCAGCCTGGGCGACAAAGCGAGAGGCTGTCTCAAAAAACCAAAGCAAACAAAACCCACAAAACAAAACAAAACATCTTTGGCCCTCCGTTGCCATACTCGATGATTCCAGAAGCCTCTTACTTCCATTCCCTCCTTGGGCCTCAGCCTGTTCTGTATGACCTGCCCAGAGTCACTCAGTGAGAGTCTCTGGAGCCAGAGGGCTCCCTGACATGAAGGGATGGACCTGCTGGCACCTTGCCTGGCAGGCCTCATCCTGGCCTTGGACCATAGCCCTTGATTTCCCCCACCCAGCTACAGCTCCTCCGTCCTCCACAGAATGAGCCCAAACTCCCACCTCTTCATGGACCTGAAGGTCCCTGGGGTCTTAAGCCTGGGTTTTAGTCCTATACCCCACCGCCACCCCCCTTCAAGCCTGGAGGAGGGGCTGGGCTGGGTCAGGGGTTCTGACTCACCTGGGCACCCCATCTGCTGACACGGAGGTCATCCCTAGAGAGCCAGGAGAAGACACTCAACAGCCCAGGGAAATCAGGTGTGCTGCATCTGATGTCCTCGGGCCTCAGAGGCAGGCAGAGGAGAAGGGGAAAGGACTCAGATAAACCCAGGTGGACTGGGTTCCCTGCTCCAAAGCCACGGGTGAGGGCTACACCCTCGCCTCTTGCATCCCCTTCCCCACGATCCTCAGCATCTCTGCCCTGGGATGATCTCTCGCCTGCCTTACACTCCAGGGCTTGTGGGCTGCACGCCATGAGCCCACCTGGGAGCCTGAGGGATGGGAGCCAGGGCTTTGCAGGAGCAGGAATCCTTAGCTGCATGCCCACGTGGCCACCATGGCACTCTTGGCCCCCTGCTCAAAATTTCTGATCTTTCGAAGGCCACCTCTGCCAGGAAGGGCCTGGAGCCCAGGTGGTTTGAGCAGGGGATGGGGAGGGGGAGAAGACATCTCGGGCAGGCATTTGCTCAACCAGAGCAATGGCAAGAAGTAGTGATGGGGCTGGGGGTTGCCCTGGTTCTATCTTTGCCAAACCAACCTATGGTTTTTTGATTGGCAGAGCTGGCAGTGGGAGGTTCCTGACAGTGAAGACAGTCCAACCTTTGAGGCGGGGAGGGCAAAAGAGGCCAGGAGTTCTCATGGCACCTCGTGGGCGGATGTGCCAGGGGCTTAATTGCCTCATTAGCATCTGCCTGCTGCCTGGGCCTGTCTGGTCCCCTCCCTGCCTGCCCACACGGCCCCGTTTTTCAGGAATCCTTCCTATGAGGCATTGATGGTGACAGTGAGGGTGACCATGACGAAGCTGGGAAATGGCTTGGGAGCCGGCTGGCCTGGCCCAGGTGCAGGGTTGCTGGCTTGAGGCCTCATAGCCCAGCACCATTCCACGTGGTTCAGCTGGCCAGCTGCCTGCCGGGACCTGGATGCGGACTGTTCCCAGGTAGGCAACAGCAGGAAATAGTCTAAGGACTCCCCTTCCTGCCCTGGCCCCACCCAGCCTGACTCCGGCCACAGGCGCACATGCTTCAAGACTTGGATGACTCCCTTCCTGAAAAGATCAGGCCCTCGAGGAGGGAGGAGTTCAATGGCTCTCTCAGGGCTCCTAGTGGGCCCTCCAAGGTGGGGACAGGATGGACAAGGGCCTACTCTGCCTGGGCCCCTGCCCACCTCCCTGCCCCTCCCCGTGGCTTACGTAGTCTCCCAGCAGAGGACAGCACTGCCCTGACACCCATCTCCAACAGGACAACCCTCTAGCCTGAGCCCTAGGAGCAGCTGAGCCCAGGGCTGGTGGGCTGAAGAGTGTTGGGAGGCATTTGGCTGGAGCTGGAGACCTCCCCAGAGACCCTGAAGCATCAGCCAGCCCACAGCCCCAAGGCCCGGCCCAAGAACTCAGTCTGAGGGGTAGCTGGATTCCCCAGGCCATGGGCACTACCCAGACTTGGAGCTCCCAGGAACAACAAAAAGGCCCAAGGAGCTGGAGCCCATGGAGCTGGGGAAACACAGCTCTGCTGCCTGCAACACACTTGGGGGGCCTCTGCAGTGCCCCAGCCCCTGGGCCTTAATCTCTCCATCTATAAAGCAGGGCAGTACCTTCTGCCTCCCCTGACTCCCAGGGACTATGGGGCAGCCAGGGAAGTTCCACATTGGGCCCATCAGAGGGAAAGGAAAGGCCTCTTTGTCCTAAGTGGCTGGGTATGGGCCCTCGACTACCCCTATGCACTTTGGGCAGCAGGAGTGGCCTTGGCCTGACCCACCTGTGCCAGAGAAGGTCAAGTGCTGACCACCTGGCAGGCCCTTTGCCAGGCATAGCAGGACAGCCCTATGTGGCCCTCAGGTGACCAAGGTGTGAGTATGCCATGTGTGTTGGGACAGGGCAGGGATAAGATTGGGTTGGGGTGGAGATAGGGGAGCCTGACCAAGACACTTGGCTCCAATTTTGACCACCACTGGCCTCCCCTCTCCAAGCCTCAGTTTCTTCCTCTATAAGGAGTCCCCAGATCCCGGGCTGTGGAGAACCGCCTGAGCTCCACCTCCTATCAGGTCAGCGTTGGCATTAGATTCTCATAGCAGCGCGAACCCTATTGTGGACAGCGAATGAGAGGGATCTAGGTTGCATGCGCCATATGAGAATCTAATGCCTATGATCTGAGGTGGAACAGTTTCATCCCGAAACCATGCCTCCAGCCCAAGTCCATGGAAAAATTGTCTTCCACGAAACTGGTCCCCGGTGCCAAAAAGGTTGAGGACCGCTGGTCTATAAAATGGGGCTTCAGTCTACCAGGCAAGAGTGTTGCAAGGCAGCAGATGAGCTATGTAAAGAGCCTGGTCCTGCCTTCTGCTCAACCTCTTTGTGCCCAGAAAGTAGAGAGAGGACCTAGGGGTAGTCAAGGACTCCGTGTGGGAAGCCCCCTGGAGCAAAGGGATGAGAGGGGGCCTGTGAGCAGCTGTGCCAGGCAGTGTGGGCAGACGGGGCTCTAAGCAGAGAGGCTGGCCCCCATAGGGAAATGGGGACAAAGGAGCTCGTCCAAGCCTAGAGCCAGGGGCTGCCCATCCCAAGGCTGATGTCGCAGTAGGAGAGTAGTGTGGACACTCCCAACACCCTGGGCCTGCCCGTGCAGGTCCCATCTCCTGGGGAAGGCCCTGCCTGCCAGCCTCTGCACCCATGCCGGCCCACTCACCTGCTCTTCTCCCACGGGGAAGAAACATCAGCGTAGGGAGAAACTCTGGGTCACCAGGACCCAGCTGGCTCAAGTGAGGTCCCACCAGCCCCCGCTGGCTCCTGCTCACCCATCCTTTGCTGTCACCCCCATCAATTCCTACCCTTTGCTCAGACCCAGCAGGTAACAATTCCTGATGGGACACTCAGGGAGCTTTTCCTGTTGTGGGATTTTGACCCATCCTTACTGCCTCCTCACTGTTCTTTCTGTACCATTTTCTAAAGTGGGTTCTGTAGAATCCCAGGCCTGCCAGGTATGCTGCAATAAAAAGGACCATGTGGTCAAATGTCTGGAAACACCATGAACTCTATGGCCCAGTGGCTGCACTGCATGGGAGTGTATTAAAGGCTCTGACAATCCTTCAGGGAAGTGGTTGTCTTTACTTTGTTCATCCTGGCATTTCCCAAATCCTGGTGACAATAGCACCAGTTTGTTTTGCATAACCTCCGCTAACAGCCCATGGAACCGGGCCTTCACTGTGTCCTCCAGGGAGGATGTGGAACTCTGTTGCCTGGTGGCTGTTCTACGTACCATATTCTCTTCCCTGGACTTCCCTTCCCATTTTTCAGATGGAAAGCTGAGGGCCATCGAGTTCATCACTCAGAACCCCATACCCTTGGGCCTGCTCAAGTGGCCCTGGGATCTGCTTTTCACACACAGGTCCAGCTGCCCCGGTGGGATCAGAAACCACCCTGGCCCAGCTGCTGGGGCTAAGATGTCTCACCAGGCGCCGGGACGTGGCTGGAGAGGAGAGCAGTGAGATGAGCTGGCCGCCAGGCCATGCTTCCTCCACCGGCACCGGCTGGCTCCTTGTGCTTTCCAGCCTGTAACTGCACAGGGCCAGACAGGGGCCAGATGTGGGGAAGCCGCTGTGGCTCAGCATGGGGGCTGCGGACAGGGCCCCCTCCCCAAGCCTGGGCCAGAGTTGGGTTACGAGCCCTGAGGGTCTCCTAATGAGTTCCACATGCTAGTGGATGCCTCAGAGAGGAAATGGGAAGGGGCTGGGGAGGGGAGAGGGGGCCTGAGAGGGAATTGGAAACATGTGTTTGTGGAGGAGGAGGAAGAAAGGCAGGAGGAAGGGAGAGGGAGGAAGGGAGCAGGAGGTGGGAGGAGAAGACTTTATCCCCAGGCGTTCTGGTGCTCATCCCCAGCGAGGTTGGCTGCCAGGCACACAGGCCCCTGCAGGAGGCCCCCAGGCCAGTGGTCTGCTGCGGGAGTGGTGGGAGAGGCCCCTTAGAGGCCCACTCCTCTCCTTCAGACAGAAAAAGCCCAAATCCCTGGCTCTGCTTGGCTGGGGTTCGGAGCCACTAGCCGGGGCAGGATAGAACTAGGTGGGTGGGAGGGTCTGTGGGGGCATGAGAAAGCCACCCCACATCTCATCGGCCAGCCAACAGTGAGATGCACATTTGAATCCAGCCCAGCCACCTGCACCCTACGCGAGAGGCCATGGTGCCTCGAGGCCACCGATCCCTCCAGCCCTGACACCACCTCTGCCTCTCTGAGCCAGCAACCGGCAGAGAGGCGGCCCCACTCTCGCACCCTGTCCTATAGGGCTGGGCGAGGCACCTGGCTTGGCCTGGTGGTTGGAAGCCTCAGTAGGAAAAGGCTGTGCAGGAGTCACGCGGGCACGTGGGGTGGGGTATCCAGTGAGCAAGACCCATGGCAGTTACTGAGCAAAGTCCAAGGGCCTTACAGGGCACAATGGCTCCCACTCCCAGGAGCCCTGATTGAGCCCCAGGTTGGCCCAGCCGAGCAGCTGAGGCTGATCCTGGAGTGGGCCTTGTAGCCAGCTGGTAATCCGCTCCCATTCCCACCCATCTCCCTGGGCCACCGATTGCAGCCCAGCAGGGACAGTGCCAGCTCTTAGTGCTTTGTGTGTATTGTCTCAGCAAGTCTTCCCAGCAGTCTTATGGGGTCACTTTTGCTCTTACCCCATGTTATAGATGAGGAGGCCGAGGCACAGAGAGGTGAAGTCAGAGTATTCCCAGCAGCAGGAACAGCAGGTGCAAAGGCCCTGGGGCTGGAATGTGCCTGGTGTGTCCAAGGAACAGTGAGAAGGCAGGTGTGGCTAGAGAAGAATGAGGGGAGGGGGGCAAGAGACAGGGGGTAGAGGTGGGCAAAACCGAGCAGGCCTCATGTGTGGGGAGCACTCCTGTGGCCTGTACTTGGAGGAGGCTGGGAACTGCTTGCGAGGTTGTGCAGTGATGGCATGAGCTCTTTTACACGTGTTCTTACTTTTTACTCTTGCATCTCAGCAGACTGGCTACTGTGTTGAGAACAGATGGGGTGGGCTGGGGGCAGAAGTGGGAGACAAGGTAGGAAGTGAGCAGGCAACATCTCAGCAGGTCTTGGCTCCTTGAGGGTCTCGCTCCAGATGGCCTAAGAGGTGGGGAGGCCTGAAGGTGGGGCGGCTGGAGGTATGCTCACCTGACCTGTCCCAGCCTGAGGCTTCCATCCCCCACCAGAGGGGACCATGGAACTGAGACTCCCCTAAACCAGAGGCATTTATCCCCAACAGGAGATTTTGGGATACCTCTCAAAGGGCCACGGTGGGGCTTCACAGTGGCCCTATTCCTGGACACACTGTAATTACCTGGGGAGCTGGACCCAACCCCAAGAAGCAGAGGCAGTCCTGGGAGCACAGGTCAGCTTCACAGTTTCAGCCAAGGCGGCTCAGGGCAGCAGCCTAGATATGGGCCATTGCTGGCCTCTGCAACAGAAAGTACCTTCTGTTTCCAGTTAGCAGGCGCATGAGTGCTGCTGCCTGGAGGGCCAGGGAGGACTAATTACATTGCTTCTCTTGCTTCAAGTTTCAGAGGCTTCTGAGGAACAAATCCAGGCGCAAGTTGTCTTAGGAGGGAGGTTCTGGGACCTGAGCTGGGGTGGAGAGGGGGGATGTGATGGCCCTAGAGAGCATGGCTAGCACTCCCATTCCAACCTTGGGCACGAGGACATGTCTTTGGGGTGGCTGTGGCTGGGGTCAGAGTTTGAGGGGCCCAGTGTAGAGGTGGCGTGGGCACCATGGGAACTTCTGAGGGAGCTGGATGGTTCTAGAGAGAACTTCCAGGTCAAGGCAAGGACCCTGCCCAAGCCTAGCCAGGGAGGGCAGAGGTCTGGAAGAAGATACCAGGTGGGTAGGGCATCTGCAGGGCACATATGGCCTCAGACAGGCTGGAGACCAAGACGACATGGGCTGGATAAATGTGGGCCCAGGTGCTCAGGCCGCCCATGTCTCTGAAGTCAGTCCTGACTTCAAAGTTGAGTCCAGATGCCAAGCTGGGAAGCATGGAGACGGACAAGGGCTGGCGTCAGTATGTGTGGCTGAGTGACACTGCTCAGCATGGGCCTTGGCTTCTGCAGGCCAGGCCTCTGCCCACTGGGTACCCACAAAAGATGCCAAAGTCCCACTTTCAGGAACACACGCTGGTGCCTAAAAGAGAAGCCTAGGGCTGAGAAAAGGAAGCTGTAGCAAGATATCACTTCCTTTCCTGCCAATGTTCCTCGTACCAGCATTCCGATTTCTCATGGGTGGCAGGAGAGAGCCGGCAGGGGCAGAAGTGTCTGCCGCAAGCAGCACTCCAGGCGGACAGGGCTCTAGATGGCCTCACCTAAAGTGAAAACAACTACTGGCCTTGCTCTATAAATAGGTTCTTGGGAGAGTGTTTCCACACGGGTAGCTCCTGGCAGGAGGAGAGGTTGGCACGGGATGCGCTTCCTAATGACTTTCCTGCAGGCTCTATGGGCTGGCTTCAGCCTCGTCTTGAGCATGGCCGTGGGGGCCCCATGGGTCACGGAGGCAGGGTGAATCTTCTAGGGAGGCACTCCCCACAGTGGCCGAGCGAGAGAACCCAGGGTGCCAGGGCGGCCTGGCTGGGGCAGGCTGAGCCTACCAGGCAATGGGAAGAGGCCCTGTTCCAGGACGGCAATGCTCACAGGAAGTGGAGCCATGCCCCAGGGCACCAGGACCTCCTGGCCTGCCACCGCTGCCTTAGCACGTGTGGTTTCCTCAGCAGCCTGGGCGGGCAGAACAGGGGTGGTAAGGAGAGAACCCCCAAGGGTTCTCTAGGGAGATTCTGCTCCCCCTTAAATGACCACACACCAATTAAATTTGGAGCCATCAGGGGCCCATCTCAAGCAAATCATTTCGGAAATGAGGTTAATGACAGGGCACTGGGGTGACAGGACCAGTGTGACTCACCATGCCCTCGCTTATTCAGTGGGCTGGACTTCCAGGATTCGGGGCAATCACAAACACCCACCCTCAAGCCTGTGCTCTCCCCAGAGGTGGCCTTAGTGACAGCAGAAGAGATAGCCTTAGAGTGCTTGCCTTCTCGGGTGGGGAGGGGCCCAATCCCTTCTCACCACCGGGGACACCCATGGCAGGGGCCATGGGATCAGGAGATGAGAACTCTAGCTGCCTAACATTACAAAGCCAGAGGGACCCTGGGACCACGAGCCCCCCCACCATCCCCACTGGCACATGGGGCCAAGTTTCAGGGAAGGGGCCTGACTCGCCAGGCCAGTGGTGGGATAACACCAATGGTCACACACTAACCGCACTTAACTTGCACCAGCCACTGTAGTGAGTGCCCAATGACACAAGCACTATTGTATAGAGGCCCAAAAAGGTCACAGAACTAGTCGGAGAGAGCGAGGGTTTGGACCTGGGCCATGGGTTGGGGGCCTCCTGACCTCACCACTTTGCCCTTGCCCCACAGAGCACCCCCCCGCCCACCCACCACTGAGAAGTCATGATGCTGTGGCAATCAAATCACAGGACAGAAGGCCAAGGACTGTGCTGGGTGGCAGGATGGCAGAGTTCCCACAGCAGGCTGGCATGTGCTACCTGAGTCTCTGAAGTGGGTGACTAGGTGGCCACAAGCCTGTGGCAACCCCTCGACACAGCCTGTCAGGCGCTCCCAGGGTGTGGTGACTTGGGTGAGAGGCGGAAAGCCTTGCCACAGGCCGGGGCTGGACTTGATGGCTTCTACCTGCAAGCTGCCTGCCTTGGTCATCTCAGCCACCTCTCAGCTTCTCCAGCAGGAAGTGCAGGTTTATCCCAGGAACCCACAGAAACTGGACAATGGTAGGCAGCAGGCTGCAGTTTAAATCACAGACATCTATTCTTTTATTTCACATTGGGAAAATTAGGGCATGAAGGCGCTGGGGAGGCAAACGATGGGGAATTGCTGCTGATATGCACTTACTGACAAAAATGCTAAACTAACTTCATCTTCCTAACACAAAAGAGATTCCTGCAATTTGGTTTCTGAGAGCTCAGTTACCAAATCCAAAATTAGGAGAGATGACGGCTGAGCCGAGCCATTTGCATTTCCAGAAGGGCTGCTTTTGTGCTTGGCAGCAAGAGTGGGGGATCAGTAGCAGCCCCAGCTACAGGGAGCCATCGGGTAGGGCTGGCAGAGCGTCGCTTAGGGAGATTCTGCAAGAAAGCTCCATCATGTGGCCCCCACACCTCGCCAAGCCACCTCAAGCCCACCCAGGCCCCACACTCCTTGCTGCCTGTGAGGGCCCTACACTCCCAGGCAGTGTGGTGTGTAGCTCAGGGGGCCTGCAGCATCTCCACGGGGAGGGGGTGAGGGTACAGAACTGAGGCTAGAGGGACAATGCCCACAGCAGTCACAGCTGCCTAGGACCCCGTTTCCCTCCCACCAGATTCTCACTCAGAGCAGTGAGGTCCTGAGTCAAGCCTCGCATGAGCAAGAAAAGGAACTCAAGAAGAACTCAGGCCCCAGGTGAGAGCCTTGGCACCCACCCCACCCCCAGCTCTGCCCTCAGCATGGTGATACACATTGACCCCCTGGCTTGGTGGAGGCAGTCTCTGTCCTGTTTTGTTTTTGTTGTTTGTTTTTGAGACGGAGATTTGCTCTGTCCCCCAGGCTGGAGTGCAGTGGCATGATCTCGGCTCACTGCAACCTCCGCCTCCTGGGTTCAAGCAATTCTCCTGCCTCAGCCTTCTGAGTAGCTGGGATTACAGGCGTGAGCCACCATGCCCGGCTAATTTTTGTATTTTTAGTAGAGACGGGGTTTCTCCATGTTGGCCAGGCTGGTCTTGAACTCCTGGCCTCAAGTGATCCTCCCGCCTCGGCCTCCCAAAGTGCTGGGATTACAGGCGTGAGC
This sequence comes from Homo sapiens, assembly GCF_000001405.40. Lineage (NCBI taxonomy): Eukaryota > Metazoa > Chordata > Mammalia > Primates > Hominidae > Homo > Homo sapiens. The sequence goes on from NC_000003.12 coordinate 52,073,474, forward strand.
CACCGCACCTGGCCTGTGCTGTTTTAAAGAGCAGCATTCCAAGAAGAACATCCTGCCTACAAATTCCAGGTCTGGCTGGTGGCTCCATCAAGGGAGGGGTGTGGGCGTGGACACCCAGACCACTCTAGCAGAGCCCTCTGACAGTCCATGGGGCTTGAGCGTGGGCCTATCCAAGCTTGGCGCTGGCGCTGGCTCTGGCCTGTCTCTATCTGGACAGCCCACGTCAGGCTGTCCCAGGACACGCCGATATCATACTACAAGAAGTGTGTGGGAGTGAGTCCTTCCTCCTGACCCCTTACATCTAGTAACCAGTGGAGCTTCCACTGGCAGTCAACAATCAGGGACAAATACCACACCACTACCCCTAAGACCACCTCCTGCAACTCCACATGTCCTCCAGCAGAGAAAGGTGGATTTCATAGAGATTCCAAACTCGATCCTGGTGTAAACTGAAGACAGGGGTGATGGCAACCTCGGTCTGGCCTGAGAGCAAGACCTGCCACACAACGCCTTGGAGACCCTGCACATGTCCTGCTGCCCCCAGAGGGGCCGTCATCTGTCTCTGGAGATGACCTTGCCCTGGGCTGGTTGCTCAAATCATCAGAATCTCCACCCATGGTAGGTCCAAGCCCAGGTCCGGAAGCCACAACAGGCAGCCCAGTGCTGGTCTGGTGGCAGGAGGGCTGGCATGGGAGGGAACCGACACGGCTGGCCCCATAAGTTGCACCTCCTCTTAGCAGGCTGACCTGCAGTTGCCCAGACTCTACTTCAAAGCCTCCTGAGGTAGCCAAGAGACTTACCTGCCAGCATGGACCAGCAGGCCTGCCAGGCTCGTCCACACACCGGCAGGGCCACGTGGGAAAAGTGCGGCAGGTCCCAGCAGCTGCCAGAGCACCCTGAGCCCGCAGCTTCTTCCCATCGACAGTGCAGGGGGAGGATGGTGTTGAGAGCAGACCCTGTAGATCCAGTGGGACTGGTGGGGATGGGGAGTCCCACTGGGGGACTGATGGGGGATGGGCTTCTCTTGAGCACCTGCTCTGCACTGAGCACAGTGCATTGCTTACCTTGTCACCAGAGGAGGGTATCACAACCACTTCACACAATAAGAACCCAAGATTCAGAGAGGTTAGGTCACAATGTTGAGGTCACACAGCTGGCAACAGGCAGCTCCCTCCCCACCCAGTGTAGGCCAGAGAAAGCGTCCCGTCATCAGGACTCAACACAGCTGCCCTCTAGTCAGTCCAGGCTCTGAGGCATGCAGGCTCTGCTTCCACCTGGAGGCTGCAGAGGCTGTGAACCCACTGACCACGTGGTACTGACAGCTCCTGGGACGATCTAACACCACCTCCCATTCCCCAGGGCAGGGCAGGTGTGTTTGAGGATAAAGACCTCCTTGGCTGGCTGAGCCCCAAGAAGCTGAAGACGGAAGGCACGGGCGACACACAGACACAGGGAAAACATTTGTCCTGGCTTCCCCAGCACAGGGGCAGAGGGAGGACCCTATGGAAGCCCTCAGGAGCAAATGGAAACTTGGGTGCCTGAGGCCTCTGAGTCCCAACAGAAGCAGTCAGTGGGGGCCAGCCAGAGGGAGGTGGGTGCATGCAAGGGCTCTGACTGCCCTTGTTCCCCGACACCCTGAACAGCTGCAAACAGGGGGGTCCTGGCCTCAGAGGCAATCCTGGCAGAGGCCGTCCCAAGTCACCATTCTCATTCTGTTTGGGCCCTGGGGATGGGAAGATTGATTAAGTGTCATCCAGCATAAGCCACTCCTGCAACAAGTGCAATGAAGTCAGGTTTAATTTTGAGATTCCTGTGCCCTCACTCACGCAAGGAGGAAGTCACCTGGCTCCAGTGAACACGTGTGGAACAGAAATCAGGGCCACTGAAAAGCCACCACCCACTTGAGAGGGCTTGTTCTCAACAAACCTGACTCAGATGGGCCCACTTTGGGCCTTTAGTCAGATTTAGAGAAAACCCCCGGCTCATCCAATCAATGTGCAATCAATTTCTACACCATGGCAGAGGTAGGAAAAGCCAGTCACATGTCCAAATGATGAGTGAAAATCAAGGCATCGTGGAGCCACCTCCTCCAGAGGGGGAGCCACAATCTCAGGACCCCGAAGGAGCAGACATTTTCAAGTGGCTCCTTTACATTAAGCAAAATGTGGTCCTCTCATTCGGGTCTGAAGCATCATTTGTGTGTGAGCCCGGCCCACTGGGGACCTCTGGCTGCCAGGTGGAGAGCCTCCTGGTGCAGATAGCAAGGTGGAGGGCAGAACTGCAAAAATCCAGGGCTCCAGTATGGATGTGATTCCCACAGAGTTCAGTCCCCTTTATTTACCCAAGTCCCATGGTACAAATCCCTGGCCTGCCACCTGCAAATCCACCGAGCTCCTGATTCCTGCTCCCCTGATCATGGTGTTGCTCTCTGCATGATTAGCTGCTGGTTCTCCAGACACTGCTTCAGCTTGTCTTCTGTCAGTGTCAACCGCTGCTCCAGAATGGAGACTGTCTGCAAAATAAACAGTGGTTGGGTCAGAACACAGAAGGGCCGCCAGGCTGCTCTAGGGACCCCCTTGGCCAGTCCCCACTTGGCTGCCTCAGCCACTGCCCAAATGCCAGCTGGCTCTTTCCACCCAGGGGTTCTGCCAGGCCCCTTGTCTCTGGTGCTATTGGGATAGCCCTTGCCTTTATGTCTGCTTCTCCTGGCTCTGGATGGCTGATCTATAATGTTTGTGGGCAGGGGGTGGGGACACAGTGAGGGAAACTAGATGGCAGGTCCCATAGCCTTTGGTCATTTCTCAAGAGAACCAAGGGGTCAGGAACCCCCCACCCTGGTGGCCTGGCATTTATATTGGAGTTCTGCAGCAAAACCAGTTTCCTTGTCTGAGCCAGGCACTGTCCATAAACAACTGGAGACCATCAACCACCTCCACTCCAGAGGTGAGAAAATTGCACCCACAAATGATGGCACTCCACTTGGGTCCTTCCCCTCACACCTGGAAGAGCCTCCCAGGCTGGCAGGGGACAAAGGCAGGGAGGTGAGTCCCCTGATCCCAGGAGGGTCTCTGCCTGTCCAAGTCCAACGAATACTACTATAGGATATGTCATGTGGGACTTCAGCCCAGGGCAATCACAGGCCATGACAACTTCATCTCTCTGAGCCCACTTTCTCCTCCTTCGCCCAGTGCGAAAGACAACCAAGCTCATGGCCTAGGTAACTCAGCAGCCCAGCAGTTGCTCACTCTGACCATGCTTGTCAGAGTGCTTGTCAGGCAGATCATGCTGCCTTCCTGAAGCTGGGCCCTTGCTCTCCTGGCCTCTCTTACACACCCAGCACAATGGCTCACCTGCGGACCTGGCTGCCTGGCCTGCCAAAGGCCCCCAGCTGCTGGAGCTGCATGTGCTTCATGGGCCAGGGCCAGTCTTGCAGACATAGCTCCCAGACAGGCTGGGAAAAGCTGCCCTCCTCCTCTGGCTTTGGATAGAGTGTCAGCAGAGGGGCAGCACTGTCTGGGAGCCTGCATGCTCCCCAAAGAGGGGCTGGACCAGAGCAAGCCTGCCCCACTCATCACTTGCGCGGGTTGGACCATGCTGGCCATGACGCCTTTGGCATCATTTCACTTCCCTCTTTAGGGTTGGCTGAGTGCCTTACTGTATGCCAGGCCCCTGCTGGCCAATGGATGAGCCCATGTGAGTATGGCAGCCTTGACTCCGGTACTGTGCAGCCCATAGGCATCAGGAGGGTCAGATTAACCTCACCCGTGTGCTTTCCCAAGAGGTTTTGCCCCCTTCCCTGGGGCTCCATGAAGTCCTGGGCCTTGGTCCAGTGGAAAGGAAACTTTCTTTCATACATTTAATAAAACATTGAAACATTTTAGAAGGGAGTCTCCCCCTTTAAGGCTGCTATAAATTCTTGCAGCGTCCGGCACAGACATTAGCTGCCATGGAGGGTGCTCCGCCTGGTGGCTGGCCCCTTCTAAATGGGCCAATCAGGGCTGTGAGGGCTCTGAACCCTCTGTCACTGGACAGAGCCTGGAAAAATTGCTGCCCATGGAACACAAACTGCACCCTAAGAGGCAGAGCTGAGCTGAAAGAGACCATCACATTCCCCCTGTGCTGGCCAGCCAGCCGGGGAGGGGGTCTGCAGCTCGTAAAAGTGGCAGCGGAAACAGCCCCTGGCTGGCCCGGGGCAGCATTCCTGGAAGTTTCCACTGGCTGCTGTGAAACTCATAGGGCCAAAATCATTCTTCATCCAGACTTTTTCCGATGGCCCCAAACTCAAGGCCGCAGCAGAGGAGCCTGTTTTTCCTCTTCTGCCTTTTTTTTTTTCTTGAAACTTTTCACAGGAACCCAATTTGCAAACGTGGAGATAGTGGGCCCAGAAAACGTGGGTGAGGTGCTGGGCCAACGTCAATACAAGGGACTCCACTTAGTTCCATAGGGGGCCCATACTTCAGCTCAGTAGGAATGTGACCACTAAATGTGTCTAAATTATTTGAAAAGAGAAGCATCACCTGTTTCACAACCAGCCCCCTGCATGAAGGGTGCCACCCCGTTGAGGCCTTCCTCTGAGAGCTTTGAGGATCACTTCACAGCACAGTAGACAAACAGGCTTTTATGAGGCCCAACACCCCTCAAGGCAGTTTCTCCCCCTCCAGCCTAGCTTCAGAGGAGCTGTGTCATCTCTGTGTTTGGTCTCAGCTTCCCCTGTTCCTTCTCTGCCAAGGTGCCTCGTGGTGGCCACCATCAGGGAGAAAGAAGTCCAACCAGGCCCTTCCCAGCACACGTGATCCCAGCTGCCCCCACTCTGAGCCAGGAGAAGGCCTGGGAGAGCAGGATGCTTTTTGGATTTCTGTACATTAGAATGCTGTCTGGCACTCTTTGCTCCATGTAGTTAAAAAAAAAAAATCCTACTTTCTTAAAAATTTTTATATTTTTCTTAAAAATCAAATTTTCTTAATAAAGCATAGGACCTCATTTTCACAGAAAATGGTGACTCCTCATAGACAGTGAAACATGGAAATCTCTTTTTTTTTTTTTTTTTTTTTTTTTAAGACTGAGTCTCGTTCTGTCGACCCGGCTGAAGTGCAGTGGCGCGATCTCGGCTCACGACAAGCTCCGCCTCCCGGGTTCATGCCATTCTCCTGCCTCAGCCTCCCGAGTAGCTGGGACTACAGGCACCCGCCACTGCGCCCAGCTAATATTTTTGTATTTTTAGTATAGACGGGGTTTCACCGTGGTCTCGATCTCCTGACCTCGTGATCCGCCCGGCTCAGCCTCCCAAAATGTTGGGATTACAGGCGTGAGCCCCTGCGCCCGGCTGAAACATGGAAATCTGAAATGCTGCTGGTGTGCCTTCCCTCTACAAGGGGAAGGAAGGGGTTCCCCCATGATGGAAATGCCCCACTGGGCATCCAAGTGGCAAAGTGGAGACACACTCAGGGCTGGTGGCACACACAGGCAGGAGGGCTGGCAGGCCACCTGCAGGGAGTCTGTCTGGGCCACAGGCCCAGAGCAGCCAGGACAGGCCATCACAGTGCCACCGTGCTTCCCCAGCTGCACGGGAGCTGTGGGAGGAGGGCAGGAGAGCATCTGAGGTGGCAGAAGGGGTGTGTGGGGAGTACCCCTGGCACAGACTGGTTTGGAGCCATATCACGTGGCCTTGTTCAGAATGTATATGATCTTTACCTGTCGGTTCACAACAAAAAGTAAGCACATCCCCACATACCCATACGAGGGTTCAGAAAATACATGCTACCTCGGTGTACACAGGCCACTGCCATTTCCACCTGCTGCCTAGTGGCCCAACTCCCAGCGGGGCCCAGCCAAGCAGGCTGCTCTCGTCGCCTCATGCTCCGTCCAGCCCGGGAATTATCCTGCTACCAGCGCCTGTCCTCACCAGGCTGGAGACAAGGCCACACCTGCCCTGGAGGGTGAGGAGGAGCGCTCTGCAGGCAAATACCTCTGCGGCCTCCCCGGGTCCACACTCCATGGCCTGGAAGCCACGACTTTCATTTATTCAAGGAAAAATGAGCGCTGACCTTCCAAACAGTTCCTTGATCACACTGCCTCTCACCCTGTGCTCTGTACAGGGGAGCAGGGGCCAGAGGTCTGGTCCTAGCCCCTCAGAAGGTCCCCAAAGAGGTACAGGCTGTGTCAGGTGCCAGGTGTCAACAAGGGAAACTGCTTTGCCTGACACAAGCGTCCATGGCTTCTGGCTTTGGGGCAGGGTAAAGGGAAACTGACGAAGGGGTTGAGGAGTCCAGGGCTCTGGCTGCTAGAGGGGCAGCCTGGGCAAAGTGGCCAGGAAAGATGGCCCATCTCCCAGAACTCCCTCTTGCTGGGGTCCAACTCTTCCACAGTGCGGCCCCTTCTGTCTGCTGACCTTGGAGAAACCAGGCAGCTCATTCCCTTTCCTTGGACCTGGTGCTACCCTGGGAACATTCTTAAGTCCTCCATGTAATTGGGGTGTGGAGCTTAAACATGAGGGGGACCAGCAGGAGGTCCTGGGACTGGGCTCAGGGCGGTTCACCCTGATCATTGACCCTCTGCTCTGTGGGCTTCTCTTGGCAGCTGACTTTCACGGGACGCTCGTGTGTGCCAAAAACTTCAACAAACCTTCAGCGTGGGAGCTTTTATCATCCCCATTTTACAGATGAAGAAACTGAGGCACAGTGAGATTAAGTAACTTGCCTAAAGTTACACAGCTTATCAGTGACAAGCCTAGGCTGTGAGCCTAGGTGGCCTGGCTGCAGTGAGCACACTAAAGCACTGGGTAGTGTGCATCTTGGCTCTGTCCCCATCAAGAATGCCAAAGGAGAGGCCTGCTGGTGTCCCATCCCACTTCCAGCCCTGATGCCCAAACTCAGGCAGCCTGAGGAAAGACTAGGGGATCCCTGTCCTCACCCAGCAGCAGCACCTGCTGTCCTGGTTTAGGCTGCCTGGCCTAGCTGCTCTGAATTAAATGAGCAGAAACTCCTACCTCAGCCACAGTGGGAATGGACAGCCCCCAGGGTCACCCACCCCCTCACATTGTCAGGCCTCATGTGTCACCTCCCCCTGAAAAGCAGTCTCTTACCTGGCTAAACATTTAGGTTTGGAATTATTACAAAGGTCATAAGGATAATTCATGTGAGCCATGAAAACTCAATATTATAGGAACCGAAAGGACATAGTGACAAGAACCTCCTCCTGGATGCACCACGAGAAGCTGCCCCAATCACTTCACTGTCAACGCTTCTTTCACTGGCACTTGTGCCACTGCAGCATTAAGTGATCAGCCCCAAAACATGCTGTGGAACTCGCCTGGGTCACTGCTGGGTGGCCCATCCCCTGAAGACAAGGTTCAACTTTAAACAAGGTACCTCTCTCTCCCTAAATCGGAGTGACAGGAAGCCGGATTGAGGACCCTATGGCCTGGGCACTGTCACTCCTCACCCGATACTGTCCGCCTCCCAAGTCAAGGCCCTCATGGCCAGTGTCAGGAAGCCTCATGGGGTGTGGTCAGCAGGGCTCCAGAAGTTTTATCTTCAAAGTCACATCTGCCGAGGTTCACCTGGGGGCTCATTTCTGAACCCTTTTCCTACTCTGTTACCAGCAATTTCCTGGAAGCCATGGCCCTTCTCAAGAAAGCCTTGGCCTTAAAATCACTTGTTTGCCATCGAATGTATTCTGTTGTTTCTCTAGACCAAGGGTTAGCAAACTACGGCCGGCTGCCCCTTTGTGTAAATAAGGTTTTATGGACACGCCTGCTGGCTTCCGTATGGTCTCTGGCTGCCTTCTGGGTCCAGCGACAGGTTGACAGAGGCTGTATGGTCCACAAAGCCTAAAATCTTTACTGTTTAAATTTGCTGACCCTTGCCCTCGCTCTTCCCTTACTCAAACTCTCACAAAGCACCTCCCCAACGCTGGCCTGTGCCTGGCCCAGGATGATAATACGCAGACTCGGCTGAGCCCACAGGGTGCACCACAGTTCAACGAGGCAGATGCCACGCAGGCGCATAGACAGTGGGCTGCACTGCTGGGACGGAGGGGCAAGAGGGGCAGGAAGAGGATCAGGACCCAAAGAATGGTGTGTGCAAAGGCCCTGAGCTGGCCAAGGTTAAGAAACGGGAGGGATGGACCATAGGAGGCACGTGTGCTGGAGCAAGAAGAGGGGGCCTCAGGGGAGGCAGGAGATGGGGTTGGGCTCTGCAAGTCATGCCTAGCAGCTTCATCTTCACCCTCAGAGCAGGAGGGTGCTGGGGGGTGCTAGGCTGAGGGGATTTGAGACTCCTCTGGCTACTACACAGGGACAGTCTGGGAGTGGGTTCATGGCTGTGGGAAGGTGAGGTGCAGGCAAGAGAGAACGAGAGGGGATGACAGTGGCTTGGACTGGGGGCAGGAGAAGCCAGGAAGGAAAGTGGACAGAACCAGAGATAGCCACAAAGAACGAAGCACCAGTACCTGGTGACGAGTTAGATGGGGGTCTGAGAGAGATGTGCTCCAAGGCCAAGAACACAAGACAAGGACTGGCCCTGCAGGAGAGGCAGAAGACGGGCTCCAGATTACACAGGCTGAGTATGAGGACCCCCAAGAATGTTGAGAGGGTCTGGCAGGCATGGGGTGGTCTGAGAAGCCTGAGCCAGCAGCAGAGTTGCACTGCATTTTTAAGACTGGGATTACTGAGGATCCTATTGAGGGCAGCCAGTGGGTGAGGAGGGAAGGAAGAGGGGGGAGTGGGGAGGGCAGTGGACCCACAAGGGCCCTGCAGGCTGGAGAGCAGAGTCCAGCGCAGGGGAGCTGAGGGCCTTGGCAGGACCCAGGGTGATGTCAGCGATGGGCTGAACGTCCTGGAAAGCTCCTTGGTGGGGATGAAGGAGGGACTGCCCAACCCAGGTGACCCAACAGGGAGGATGCCGAGATGCTGGGGACCAAAACCAAGAGCATGGTGACAGGCTAGCTTGGGCTGGCTCTCAGTAGCTGGACAGTGGATCTAGGAGCTCGGACCAGGTGGTAGGGCTTCCAGCCGTGATTCATCCGCCTGAGCTCTCCAAGGAAAATCCCCCCAGGAGAGGGTGAACAATGGCATTCTATCTGAATCCTAATTTTTCTGCTCAGGGGAGACACTGTGATCTGTCCTATTGGGGCAACATTCAGAGGGCGAGTGTGCCTTCTCTCACTCACAGTTCAAGACGTGTAAAACGTTTTATGTAACACCTTAAAGGGCCTTCTGAGCATGGTATAAAAAGAACTGATTTTAAAATGACAGGCTTTTATTTTTAGCCCCCTAAAAACTGTAGTGATGCCCAAAGAAATTGCACTGAAATACAAGTCCTCAGAGACATGTCTGGCACCTGGGCCCCCAACTCCAAGTAGAAGAGGAACACTGGCGACATCTCAACAGATACCCCCAGTCTGCACCTCACTACCTCAGATGCGTCCTTCTCTACTGACATAGAGTAATTAGGTGTCTGCTGAAAGCCTGCTATGGTCCCCACAGGGCTCCGAGATTGGAACAGTTGAGCCCAGATGCCGTATCATCCTCCACGCCCACCAATGGCCCAAACTGACCAGTTCAGGTGTCCTGCCTGGGACAGAGCCTGGGTTTATGCAGCTCTGCTGGCCTCTGGGGTGGCTGGGGGGAGAGCCTTAGCTCCTCTGAGGTATGTGATGGGGACTCGGGCATCTGGGGCATCACGAGAGTTCAGAGAGGTCTCTGTATGACCCTCCAGCTGGCAAGAGGCATGGGCGGTGTGACACTCCCACTGGCTCTGCAGAGGTACAGGAAGAGTTCCTCTCTGGACAGGCACAGAGGAGGTGGGAGCATAGTGCTTCTGGAGAGGGTGAGGCCCCCACCCTCATACGTGGCGAAACAGAGCAAACAAGGACAGGTGTGACTGACCTGGCTGCACCTCACACCCCGTGGAGTGACGTACAGTCCCTCATGCCCACTTTCTCCCCTCAGGTCTAGTTACACCCCAGCGCTCTCCCTGGGCTACGTGGGCTTTTCCTTTGTCCCTCCTTTCTCCTGCTGGCCACCTCCTCCCAGTGTGACCTCCCCTTCTTTCAGCCCCAGCCTCTTTTTCTCCCTGGCCTGGTTTTCTCTTGAGGTGGGCTTGTCCTGCACTTTTTTCTTAGCTTTTCTCCCAGTTCTCATTTCTATTTCCTTTCAAGGCCTCTTCATTCCCTTTCCACTCTGTGTTTGGTGAGAGGGCGAGGGAAACAGGAGCAGAGTGTGTGTCTGGCCACCTGGGACTGAGCTCCAGGTGGAGTCAGGCCCCTGCCACGGCTCACCTGCTATGGGGCTGATGCCAGGGCTGCCCGGCCTGGGAAGGAGAGCATCAACTCTGACAGGAAGGCCTCTGGGAGAAAGCAACACAGGATGAGCCAATGCAAATGCTTTCCAAGTACTAGGTGCAGCAGGTGCAAAGGCCCTGAAGCACACTCTTGGAACTGTCAGGAGGCCAGGGTGCTTGGCCTCAAGTGGTTGAGCAGGGAAGAGATATGAGCCCTAGGGCCCTCAGCTCGAAACAGAAGGGAACAGAGAAGCCTCCACTCCCTGGCACTGCCTCACCAGGCTCACAGGTCTGAGTAGGCACAGCCAGGGAGGATGCTGCTCCCACGTGCCTGTGGCCAGTTTGTAGAACGCTGGTTCCAGAATAAACTCTGGGAGAAGAGCCTCGACCTAGGAACTGACCACAGCCACCTGGTCCTACAGTCCATGAAACGGAAGTGAATGGACAGACTGGCACTTCAGAGCACAGACCAAGGGCACACCCTCAGAGACAGGTCCCTTCCAGGAGCTGCTCCTCCTCCCATGACCATTGTTGTCACCACCTTTGCTGAAGGCTTCCCTCATGCACTCATGGGCAAACATGGCAGGGAAGCTGGAGCCGTAACTTCTCCAAAACTGAGGAGTTGTGGGACACTCACGACCCGCCTTGGGGGCAGCCAACAACATCATTCACTCCCATACCTCTGTCAGGCACCCACCACAGGCAGCAAACAAGGGACCCTAGCTCTTGGGGGCTTCCGAGCACTGACACAGCTGCAGCACCGGTCCTGTCTAGGCTGCGAGGAAAGCTACTCCACCACCACTGACAGCAAAGAACATCTTAGGGGCAGGAAAGAACAAGGGTGGCCAGATCCTTAAAAATACTTCTCCAAGTGCAGGCTTCACTCGAGGCTTCCCCAGTCCATCCCCCTGCCCCCCCAGCTCTGGGGCAGCCCCTCTTCCCAGGGGCCTCCTGCTCACCTTGGCCAGGGCCCTTCCCCATATCCACATCCTGCTCTTAGCAGAGCCCTGGGTGGTGGTACCTGGGGCCCTCCTTGGTGAGTGGTACTGGTTCTTATGGGAGCGTCCTCTGAGCTGGAAGACAGGTGGCATGGAGGTGGACAGGGTGGTTGGGCCAGACTGATGGGTGAAGGCGGAGCCAACATCCAGGCATGTGTCCCACCAAGCACTCTGCCTGGGCTGGGGACACAGTGGCAAGGGGAGCTGCAACTGTCCTGGGTTGGCAGGTTTGCAGGGAGGCCAGGAGATAAGGCACCAGTGGCTGATGGGGCAAGATGGAAAGCCACACTGACTGAGAGAAAGGAGAGGCAGCAGCTGGGTGAAGCCTGGGAGAGGCAGTAGGAGGGTGAACACACAGGACCATGCTGTCCCAGGCCCCCCTGGCGGCCACACTGGGTTAGTCGGCGTACCATTGGCAGGGGCAGCCACATCAGGGCTCTGCCCTCGCCAGACTCAGGCAGGCACCCCATCCCCTGCCCCAGCTGGGCTCCTCCTGCACTAGGGCCTCCCAGGCAGGGCTCGAGGCACTTCCCTCTTGGCACTCAGGTGCCCCTCCGGCCTGCTCCTCTCAGTCCCCATCCTCACACCTAGGCTTCCTGGTGACTCCCCTTGCCCTACTCCTGGGACACCCTTCACCCTCTGCCTCCTCACTGCTTCTCCGTGCCCCTTTCCTATCCAAGAGCTCAGGAATAAAGGCCAGACTCTGCGGCATGGCATTCCCGTGGCCCTCCAGGCCCTATGCTGCCCACCAATACTGCCTTCCCTGCCCAACCCCGCCCACCTGAGGCCCGCCCACTCTCCTACCCTAGGAGCCTCCTTGCCCTGGCCCCGCTGCTAGGATGCCTGCCTTCCTCCCCTCATGGGTGTGGGCCCTTGGAAAATGCCACTGAGGGATTCCTAGTGGGGAACCTTGGTCCCACGTGGTAAGCACGAAGGCTCCTCAGCTACATGGCCTAGGTTCAAAGGGAAACTTGACCACTAACTCGCCGAGCAGCCTTAGGCAAGTTACCAGACTCAGGGCTTCAGTTTCTTTGTAAAACACACCTCTCATAGTCACTGCAATATTCATATTAATAGCTAATATGCATGTAGAACTTGCTCTGTCTGGCTGGGCACAGGCATGCACTATGGGGAACATGACTCCTCTAGCCATTGCCCTGGCTGAGCTCCGGGATGTTGGGGGAGCCATGGGCACAGATGGGGCTTGATGAGGCCCCAAATAGGGCAGCCTGTGGTCAGGTTTGGGAGGGTGTGAGCCATTGATGCACGTGGTGGTCTGGCTGCTTCTTTAAGTTCTCCTGTGATGAAAAGCTCCTTTTACTCACTTCCCGGGTTGTGGTTGATGTGGGCGCCCCCATGATGTCTCCCTGGTGGGACTGGGGTTCTCCAGTCTCCTCCCCACCAACACAGGAGCCAGATAACTGGGCCAGAGGTGGTGTGGTCCCCACTGCTCTGAGTCTCAGGGAGAGGGCGCAGTCACCCGGCCACACTGAGGACATTTGTGGCAGGCCAGGGCAAACGTCCTGGGGCTGGCCATTGACTCAACACCCCTGGTCTCAACTGTGCTGCACTGAATGTCTAACTTTCCTTTGGCTTCATTGCAGAGATGAAAAATGTTGAATTAATCTCCCCTGTAGCATGGTTTTGACTTCACTCAGATTCTCAAGATCTAAAACAGATACAATAAAAGGGGAATCTCTTTGCTGTGGGGTCTCATGAGCTATCAAAACAAAGCAGGGCTGCCGGGCCCCACTGCCTACCCTAGCTCTGCGTTGTATCCTGCCAACTCCAGCTTTGTCACTTGGTGTAAGCCTGTGTGCGTACACACGCAGGACCCTGACTTGCTGGTGGTGCCCTTGCTAGCCTGCTGCCACATGTCAGCAGTGACTAGGGGGCCAGCCTAGCCCTCTGCAGACAGGGCCTGCAGCACCTTCACACCACCCAAGGCTCTGCCTCCTGGCCTCAGCCACCAACCAGTACCTAATGGTCTGCAGCTCAGGGGCCTTCATGTCACAGGGTACAAACGATGCCCCTCGAGCAGCCTGTGGACATCAGTCAGCCTGCATGCCAGTGATGAGGACAAAGATTGTTCTCTATTCTTTCTCATCACTGTCTTCCTGCTCCTAGACAGCACCTGGTACACAGCAGGTGCACACTGAGTACTGACTGGATGGACAAATGCCCTGAGTGCTATGGAAATGCAGGGAACACAGGTCCGGTGCCTGCCAGCCCAGGTCCCCCAGGCCAAAGGGCAGGTCTAATCTAGGGATGGGCCCACCCAGCTTGTGAGGAACACTCACCCCAGCGTGGGTCTTGGACCTGGTGAGCTTGAAGGGATAGAGGGAGAGTGGGGCGGGCAGTAGGAGGGGCAGGCCCCACCAGCTAGTCTTGGGAGGGAGGAAGCCTCATTGCTTTGGCAGGAAGTGGGGGCGGGAGTAAAGGAAGCAGTCCAGTTCCTCCCCTTCCCACCTCTGTCCTGGTCTGATGATGACTAAAATCTTTGAGGCCTGAACCTCAGAGGGGAAGGAATGGAGCTCCCCTCTCATGCTGATGTCTGACATGCTAACATGCCCAGGATCACACAGCCAATTCACACAAAAAAACAATTTCTAAAAAAATTCCTCCCAATCTCTCTAGGCCCAGCAACTGTCTTTTTAACCACTCCCCCTAACCCCACAGTCTGCTGCAAACAACAGAAAATGAGCTTTTGGTCCCTTGAGCCTATGGTCCGCGGTTGTTTCACATTATCTCAGGGATATAGGATTTCTCTGACGGTTTTGCATCCCCCAGCCCCAACCTCTACTGAGGATTAGCTCTCTTCGGGAAGTACACGAAACACTATTTTCTATTAGTGGATTAGCCACCAGATTAAGGAATCTTGGCTATTTACCTTGCTCATGGCTTAAAAACAACTCCTTTTAAATGAACACAGCTCTCTTTTCCATATCACTCTTTCCCCCAAAAGGAGAAGCTATAAAAAGTGGGTCCACTCAGACCATTCATAAAACCGGATGCTCCTGGGACCCATGGGGTGTTGCTCACACCCAAAGGGAGGACCTGAGCCACAGCCCCACTGACACTGGGGTGGGTTCAAGCACATCTCTGCCAGCCATGTACAGGCCACCAGGGAAGCCAAGTGTCTGACCGGGATAGGCCCCAAGGTGTAGGACACCAGTCATGCTTGGCCATAGGCTTTGCTGGACTCTGACTCCAGGGTGAGTCCAAACAGGGCTGAGCATGGGGTGTGGACCTTGACCTTGGCCGCCTTCTGCAACCCATTTCTTCAGAGGCTGACTTTTCCAACAATCCATATAAAGTAGTTAGTTAACTACTTTCCCAAGACCCAGCAAGACATGATCATCCTAAGCCAGACATCTTGATAGCTTGCTGGAGGCCTGGAAGTCTCAGTATAGCCTGGCGAGTCGGGCTGCAGCTACCACCCAACAAGGCCACCTCCGGGAGGAAGAAGGGCACAAGCCACCAGGGATGGAGTCTCAAGGCTCCCCCATCCTGCCAAGCATCCACTGATCCACAGTGGGAAAACCTGAGCAATCATCTTAGCGAGCTTTCTGGAGCCACTGGCTGGGCCCAGATCAGAAGGGCAAGGGGCACATAATTGCTTCCCAAATGCCATGCTAAGTTCAAGGCTTCCTGTGCTTCCTCTGCTTCCTCAGCCATGGCCACTGTGGGCATGATGAGGTTCTATACCCATAGTACAGGCCTGGATCAGGGCCCTTTACAGAGCGCATGGGAGGAAGCAGCAGGCCCAACTACAGCCCTTCCTGGCCCTGCTGTGGTGGTGCCTCATTCAGGAAAGCACCAAGAGGTCACGGGGTCAGCTGTGATGAAGTAGGCTGTGGCTTGCTTAATCTCAGAGCGGTGCAGGCCAGTTTGGGGCTCCTGTCATAACACAGGCCCCTTTCTTGTGGCCTGTGTTTGGCCTTTCCTTGGAGGGCCCAGGTCCCCGAGGAGCAAGAGCAAATCATGTGGAGTCCCCTCCCTTCCTCTTCTCAGAGCAAGCCTAGATTCAGCCCGAATGAGATGTCCCTGCATGGGCCTCTCTCCCTGCTCCCAGCCTCTGCTCTCCACCACCTGCTCCCTCCCGCCATCTCCCAGCCCTCCCCCAGCCCTCCCCCATCTCCAAGCCAGCTCAGAGCCTCAGAAGAAATCTCGTATGACCGACCATGAACATTCCCAGGCCCCAGAGATAACCACGGCTACTGTCGAGCCCATCTGGCAGGCAGGGGCCTTCAATCTGCAGCCTCTTTGGAAGGGGGTGCTTTCTGCCACAACCACAGACGGGATAAAAGATAGAAAACCAGAGTTTTTTGCCTGACCCCCATGGGAGCTGCCACCCAGTCCCCCTGCAAACACGAGCTTGCCCGTTTTTGAGTGCTGTTCGCAGGCTGCATGTCACGAAGGAGGCAGGGCACTGGCCCTGACCTGCGACTTGGGGAAGACACAGGCTCCCCTGTCCCGCCACATTTGCAAAGCCAGAGGAGCCTTTGGGAAAAATGCCAAAAATAGTAACAGGGCTGGGGAATCACCAGGGGCCCAGGCAGACAGACATTTCCCCCAGTCCCTCTGCCACCAAGTGTGTCCCTGGCACAGAACAGACAGTGTCTTGAGTCCCCTGTCCCCCAGAAGTAGCCTCTTAACAGAAGGAAAACAAGCCTCTTGTTTCCAAACCCCCACAAAGAAGTTCAGGTTGTCCTGAACATGACTCTGGCCAAAAGGGCAATCCATGAAGGTCCACAACAAGGAGGGTGGCTACATCCACTCTGGACCAAGCAGGTGAGCTGGCTAGATGTGCTGATGCAGAGAGGGGGCCCATTTTTGCAGAAACAACCCACCACCACCCTTATGGCCCTGTCTGCGAGTGGAAGCAGTGTTAGGAGGGCTGCACACGCCCTCCTGGGATCATGGGAAGACGCACTGGGTGACTTTCACTCTATACCCTCCCAACAAATTCTGTCTGGGTGCACGTGGGAGGACCGATCCCCATGGAAAACTGTATAACTATAAAATTGGGGGTCTATTTCCATAAGCAACAGCAGGTCCTCCCAGGAAAGAGGGATACAGAGAGCCCCTGAGAGTAGTGAGGCAGCTTGGCCCACATCAGGGCCAGGCACTGCCAACTTCCCCACCAGTGTGGAACCAGATGCCTCACCTGAGCAGCCCGTCAAATAGGAACTTCCAGGACTACCATGGGGGTGGGGGTGGGGGAGCAGGTTTAAGGTATCTCAAAGCAAATAGGCCATTCTCTATCCCCAAAGCAAACAGGCAAAAATCCTTGGCCTTGTTGAGTTAGGACAGCAAAACGCAATGACTTGAACACTTAACAAAATCGAATGCCAAAGAGACCCAAACAAGCAGGGCTGGTGGGCTTGCTCCCTGCCTGCTCCCCACCGCATGCATTTTCAAGTCCTGGAGCCCAGCAGCCTCCATGAGTCACAGGAACTGGAACGTGACATCACAGCATTGCTGTGGCCAGCCTGAAACACTGGGTGCCATAAAAAAACAGTTGGAGCAGGAATTTCATGGCTCGGTATTTTTAAAAAGCAGCAAGACGTGAAACTGGAGTCAAAAATAACTTTGCTGTGGGCTTCTGAGGCAAAACCACCAAGCCGCGTGTTGGGCCTATGCCGGGCCCCCTCACAGCAGCCTCCCCAGCTCCTGGGTCATTGTCCACACCCCAGAGATCCACCCCCTTGCCCTAAGGAAGGCCCAGGGCCTCTGCAACTTCCAGACACCACTGAAACCTGTTACTCCTGAGGGCAGCTGAGCACTGTGCAGCAGCCCTCTGGCCTCTTGAGGGTCCATGAAGGAAGCCACAGAGCCAGCGTGGAGGTGAGCTCATGTAGCAGTGGCTATTTGTGGAAACAGCCTCTCTCCCTGCTCACTGGAGAAGTTTTCCGGCATCTGTGAAAAAGACCCCTAGATCACCTGGCATCACCCCCAAGAGCACAAGGGGAAACAGTACCAGGGTCAGGCCCAGGGCCTCTGCTTGCACACCTACTGAGCGCCCATCCCTGGGCAGGCAGGCCTAGCAGCCTCGGGGTCCGGCCTAGAGTCCTCCAGGGGTGCTCAGAATGGAGGAGCCTGGCCTGGGGGGCAGGCAGATGAAAAGGCCCCAGGGGAAGTCCTGGCCCCATGTGAAGAGGCTGACCTCTGCTGCCCACCCCATGGGACAGACAGACAGAGGGGCAGCGCTTAAAATCTCCCCTTGGTGGAAAGCCAAAAAGAGGCAGAGATGGGTCTGAGCAGCTGCAGTTTCTGACTCCTTGTCTGGGTTTTTCTCTGGAAGCCTTGGGCCTCTGGGGTCAAGCCAACTTTCTCAGAAGACTTGAGGTAGGCCCAGCAGGTGAGTGACCCCAGGGCAGCCACAGGACAGGCGTGTGCTCTCTCCAGAGGGGATAGGGGAGGGGTGGGTCTCAGGACAGGATCAGAGCAGGGCCCTTGGACCCTGAGGGAGAGGCGTGCGATCTCTCAGTGGGGCGGGGAGCTCGCAGCATGTGACGCCCACGCTCCTGACCTCAGGCCTAGCAGCTCCTGAGAATTCCCATAGGGGGCTCAAGGAACAAAAAGCCCTCCAAAGAAAATCTTCAGTTCCATTGTTAGGAAATACATGTTCCCTAAAAAGCATTACAATATCTACATTCAAAGAACAGAAGTATCACATACATCTTCAAAGAGCTTCCATCTTGGGCCCTGTTGCCTAGGTCCAGGTGGAAGGGTCTGATCTAATGGGCCCCATGACCCATGCCTGATTTTCAAGTGTCTATGTGCACCCCAGTGCCTCTGTCACCTCCTGTGCCCTCCTCCTTCCCGGGGTTGGGGAATGACTTCTTTCTCCCCTCTCTTATCCTCCTGCCTAGCCAGACACTAGAGTCTCACTGGCAACTCAAAAGCATTTCTGGGACTTGAGTCCAGCGGTATGGGGACTGTGGAATGTCCACTCCTGTCATTCCTGTGCCACAAGCCTGCCCCAGTGCTTTCCCATATTGCTCCCAGGAGAACATCGACTCACTGCTGTGCTTCACAGAACAGCTGGCACCAGTCTAGCACACTCAGTTAACCAAGAGCCGCACAGCAGAGCTCAGAGGACCCAATGAGGCATCTCTCCCCATTTTACAAGGGAGGAGACTGAGGCTCTGGGATTGATGTCACCTGCCCAAGGTCACCCAGGTGATGAATGGTGGAGGTGTGCCCAGGCTGACAGGCAGGTGGCTCACTGGGTGAACAGAGCAGCCCTGAAACTCAAGGAGGAACAGTTGCTCCCCACAGCTGGTGGGGATGTGTAAAGCTGAACAAACCCCAGCTGCTCAAAGCATGGCATCAGCTGGGATCAGGGCCCAGAGAAGCTTAGCGAAGAAACCAGTGATGCCCCAAACAGCAAGCTCAGTGTTTACTGGGGCAAGGAGGGGTCATCCCCACACAGGGGCAGGCCAGGGCAAGGATGTGTCTGCTCTTTGGCTGGTGACCTAAGGGACTCGGCCTGCTGGGCTCTCTGATCACAGAGCCCTGGGCAAGAGCTTCTGGCCTTACCTTTCAGGGAGGTCAAGTTTGGTTTGCAGAATTTCTTGATGAAGCCATCCCTAACTGCACCAAAACTGTTTGGCAAGGGAAGCTAGGGATGCTCTGGCCCACAGTGGTTGAGATCAGGATCACCTGGCCTCCTGGAGAAGCCCCAGGCTGGCTGGACCCCGAGGCTGGTCCAGGCACAACAAGCCATTATTAACACATTATCTGCACCTGGCATGATGTTGCTGCCATGTGCCAGGTGGGAGGATAAAGTGAGGTCCACAAAGGGAAGTCCTTGGAAAGTGGCAGGCCTCAGATAAAAACCAGGAGGATGAAAACTATGATGAGTATGTGATCCCCACACTCTGAGGACTTTTCATCTAAAACAACTACGTGGGGAGGCCTGAAGACTGCACCTGCTCGGCTCACAAGGTCACCCCAAAGTCTATTTTCCCCATATAAATACACTTTTGAAAAATAATGTATGGATTTTATAAAAAAGGCTTTCATAAAAAAGTAAAACACCAACCCCATTTCTGGAGTTAAAGGGTTTCTGATGCTGTGCAAGTCCCAAGGGCAGTTTGGTTTCCTCTTCATCTGAAAGGCCTCTTGGCCTGGGAAGGCTGGGGGAAGCTGCCCCACTTGCTGGCTTGCTCCGGAGACCAGGAGCCTTGCAGGGGCCAGCCAAAGTGCTGTTTGTCTCATCGCCCCTGGGATGGAGCCATGATAGCACTGCCCTTGCTCGCGTCTCAACTTCTCTGTGTCCCCATCTCCACTCTACCCCAGACCCTCAGCATGGGTCAGGCCTCGACTTTGCCTAGTGTCCCGTCAGGTGAGGGTGAACTCCTGGGCTGCTGCTTCTGTTACCCCACACCAGAGGACCCATGGCCTTGACCCGGTGTCTGGACTCCCACTTGTTTCCAGTTATTCCAGTTGCCAGCTCCTCTGGGGAGGCCTGGCTCTGACCTTGGCAGATTCAGTCCTGAGTTCTTCCTGAAGGTGGGACTGGGTCTCACACAGGGCCCACCACACAGAGTGGGCTCAGTGAATGTGTGTGCATGGAAGGAACCTGCCACCTCTGCTCTGAGGGCCAAGGAATGGCTCTCCTGGGTAGGGAAGGGTCTAGCTTCATGAGGCAGTGGAAAATTGGGAGAGCTATTTCTGGTGCTGTCATGCAGATCCCCCTGGCCCCCAAGCCTTGGATAACGACAATGGCAGCAACAGGAGCAGCACCCAACACATCAGCAGTGCACGGCGTTGTCAGGTACTATTCAAGGAGCTTCCCAAGAGGCCTATGAAGTGGGTATTATTATCAGCTCTGTGTTCCAGATTTGGAAAGTAAGGCACACAGACTCAAAGTGACTTGCCCAAGGTCACTGAGCTAGGCAATGGGGAAGCCAGACAAAACCTGAGCCACTCCTCTCCATTGGCTCACTCAGCTTCCTGGCTTCCAGGCCTTTCCTTTACACAGAGGAGCCGCTGAAGGGGTCACCCTGGGGAGGACTGAGATTGGGTCCCTGACCCTCAGACTGGTGCCAGACAGGCCACAAACATCCACAGAGGTGACCTCGCCACATGGGGCCATACCAGCCTGTTGAACAGGAAGGCAGGCTTTGAAGACTGTGAGCCTCTGAAATAGGGTGTCCTACCCAGGGGCTGGAGACTCTGTGACTCACTCAGAAAACATCCCTGGCTACGGCCCGCTGCATCCCCATGGCTCTCCCCTAGAAGGATGTTCTGCAGGATGGAGGCCTGAAGGACCCAGAAGGCAGCTTCCCTCTCAAAGGCCACTCTGAAGTAGACTTCCCTGTGGGGGAGGGAAGGGATGGTGGAGGCAACAGAGGAGAACAGCACAATTCACATGGATGACTTTGTAGTAGGAATCAGTGTTGGGGTGGCTGGGCATCCTACCCCTCCAGAACACAAAGGCTCTTCAGGACTGGGCAGATGGCAAGGAGTGCTTGCTGATGGGGTGGCACCCGAGACCAATATCCACAGACCAAGTAGGAAGCCCAGCTGAACAAGCCGCTTGGGAAGATGGATGGTGGTGGCCGCCTGGCACTAAGCTTCAGGGGAGGGCTGGGTCAGTCTGGACCATCCAGAGCGGGGCCTGCTGTGGGCCTGCCTCTGCTGGGCCAATGCCAAGAGAAAGGCACAGGGAAACTTTCAACCCCCTGGTGGAGATAGCTCTGGCTGTGGCTGGAACATCTCAGCTAGAGAAAGCCCCATCTCCAGGAGAGAAAGGTTGGCCTAGAAGACAACCAACAGTCAAGCCCAAGGAGAACTTGCCAGGATTAGCACAAAGGTGCTATGCACAGTTCTGAAAATGGGTTGAACTTTAAGGCCTCAACTGGTGCTTCATCTGCAGAACTCAAGTTTCCTCGGGACGCATTGAGTCCGTCAAGAACATGCCTCGCTTTATGGCATCCAGAAACACACAGACACTGTCAGTTTTGCAAAGCAGGTGACTGGCTGATATTGTTGGCATCTGGTCGGGGGTGGCCTGCCAGTTGGATTTGCAAAGGGGCTGAATGGTGTGAGGCAGGACCAGGGTGCCACAGAAGCATTGAGACATCTAGACACCCAGCCATGGGCCAAAGGCCACAGGCCACAGGCCAGCCTTCACTTACTCTCTGCGATGCAAGTTTTTTAAAAGTTACTATCATACTCCTAACTGTGAACACATAACAAAACCTTCCATGTGCACCCCTAAAACACAGTGACAGGAAATGTTTTTAGTGTTATACTCCTCTGGATCCAATGAAGCTATTTTTAACCACCTTCTCAGACTTAATTTCCAATTTTATCCTATAAAGTTCTAATTGATTCCACCTCCCCTAATCTCTCACTTGGCGAGGCTGTGAAAAACATGAGGCAGTTGCTGACGGGTTTGAAGTGGGGTGGCTTTTAAGTCTTTGCATGCTGCTCACATCTCTCTCAGCACATGCCTTCTTCTCAGGGCTTAGCAGCCTCTCAGCAAGGTCTGTACACTGGGCCCTGGAGTCCCACAGCCCCCAGTCATGACACCTGGCCTTTCCCTTCAAGAGTGCTTTCTTCAGTGGGCCCAAGGTGTGCCATCCCAGCTGGGCTATGATGACACACCCTGGAAGAGCTTTTCTCACTTAGCCCACGATCCCAAGCTGGGGAAAGGATACCATGCCATCTCAGCTCCATTTCCGTTAGTGACATCAAGGGTCCTTTGCGTCCTTCATGTGAGCTGGACTGGAGACCACTCTTCCTTGCTTCCCCATCCCCCACCCCCTGGCTTTAACACCTCTTTTCCTCGTGGGCCACATGTGTCCCTCTTGCAGCCTCGCTCTACCCATGTGCTGGCATGGTAGAGGAGGATCTGCAGAGTCCCAGCCTGGCCTCAAGAGCCAAGGAGATGAGGAATTGGGGAACCTCTAAATCCTGCCTTGCCCCCCACCCCAAGACCACATATCCACATGACAGCCACCTGGAGCTTCACTCATTCCCTGGACGTGCCCATGGCCTCTCCAGAGCCACAGGCAGCCAGGACCTCTCTTCCTCCCTCGGGTGAAATGGCCCTGCCAAGCATGCCCCTATTGCTGGCCACCACCTCTTGTCAAGGGATTTTGCTCTTACTGAAACTGCTACACTACGAGCCTGTGTTATGGCTGCCAACCTACGCTCCAGAGGGCAGGGCCCATATCCATCTCAGTGACGAGGGTGGTCAGGGCCACAACTAACATTTATTGAGCAGCTACCTAGGGCCAGGCATGGGCCAAACATTTCCCAGATTCATCTCCCTTAATTCTCACCATGAATGTGGCAGGCAGAGCCCACAACCACCAGCACATTACAGATAAACATACCAGGGCTTGGTGAACTAAAGGGATTTCCCCAAGGTTGCACAGAGGATAAGGAAAGGTCCAGGCTCAAACTCATAGCCTAGGTTCTCAGAAGCCCTGACTCACTACTCAGTTCCCTGGCATGCCCCTGCAGTGCCCATCCAGCAAAGAGTGGGAGGAATAAACAAACACAGTGTTTCTTTCAAAGCTCTTCAGTGGCCCAGGCCAGCTCTAGGTGAGCACACTCCAGTAGTACCCAGCATTGGGGATTTTGGAGTCTAGTGGTCTGGCCAGGGCTTGAATGGCTCCAAGAGCCAGGATCCCCGGGAAGGCTCTGCAATGTCATTAATATGGACTGGAAAACAGGTCCGTTATAATTATGTTTTTAAAAATCCAGCACCTGTTGTCCAACTTCAAACGGTCCAAATGCGGGACCAAGTGCAGATGACGGGATGACGGGTGAACCCACAGTGTGGCCTACCTGAGTGAGGACATCCAGCTGGCCCACAATGTGCTCCAGCGTGCTAGTCAGTGTCTGGGGCACACTCACGGGCTCCTGGGGCTGGCTCTGCACAGACTCCACACTCCTGCCTCTGCCTGGGGGGACAGGGAAGTCCACTTCTGGCTAAAGACAGAAAGAAAAAAGTTCCTCAGTCTATCCAGTGCTTGAAGAAATACTGTGAGAGGAATAGCCCCTCCAAAGGATGAAAGGGAAAACCACCAGCAAATTTGAGAAGGTAAGCTCCAAGTGTCAGTAAGAAACAGCAGCGTGGCGGTGTTCCCACATCTGGGTCCACACACATACCTTTCCAGGCAGAGGCCTTAAGTGGGGAGTGGAATCAGAATGCCTTGTGATCCAGGCAGGAAGGGGCCTGGGGAGGAGGGCAGGTAGGCAGGCCAGTGAGTGGCCTCAGCCTGCTCTTGGAGCCCCTCAGGGAAGCTAGCTGCCTCCCATATCTTCAAGCAGCTGGCACCCACCAGCAGGCATCCAGGTGAGTCCAGAGATGCTGAAGCCTGGCCTGGGCCTGAAGTCCCTCCTCTTCCTGGTCAGCTCAACTCTAATTCCCCACCCTTCAACATGGGGGTGTGCCAGGCTTCACAAATGCCTTTCCCAGGCCCAAGAAGCTGTGGCCCAGAACTTGGTGGAAGTGTGTGTGTGGCGGGGAGAGGGGTGTTCCAACCCCACCCTGGCCCAGATCCCCTGGAAAAACAAAGATTTCTGTGTGCATGTCCCAGGCTGGCACATGGCTGGCAGGAATCAGACTCCACAGGAAAGGCACCCCTGGGCTGCTTCAGATAGGACTCCAGGAGGTGAGGGGCTTAGTGTTTCTGCGTAAGGCCCTTCAGCCCCTAAATTCAGCAAAGTCAGCTCCTTGCCTTATGCACAAAGGCTTCTGTGGACCGAAGAAGTGCTGTGCACATGTTCAGTGGGCGGGATGCTGGAGCCAAGGATGTCCAAGGGCAGGGCTGGTCTTAGAGCCTGCAGTTCCTCTGTGGACTTGTTCCTGTGGGAATGTGGTTCAGCACATGGACCCTACCTGCATGTTTTCCTTTATTAGGTAAGTATTCTATTCTCATAGATCACAAACTTTCAAGGGCATGCTGATTTGAACTTGGAAAAATGCTGGCCCTCATGGTAGCTACAGGAGAACTTGAATGTGAGACATGAGCCAGAGGGATGTTCTTGACAGCATGAGCAGCACCGTGTCCACACACCTATCATCAGCATGTCGGCCACTTCCGTGGCCATTTCTAAGACTTCGGCCATCAGGGCTGGGTCTCTTCCAGTCCTCCAGGAATCAACGTGCTTCAGATCTCAATGCTTACCCAGAAGCCCATCCCAAAAGGAAATTTCAGAAGTCCACCAGCCTTGCCAGGAGAGACTTCAGCCTACCACAGTGGCCCCCAGACTAAGGCAGTTCTGTCAGGAGACACAGCAGAGTGCAGTGGTGAGGAATGGTGACTCAGACAGTCACTGACCAGCTCTGGGCCTCCATTTCCTCATCTATAAAATAGGGATGAAGACTGGGCCAGTCCTTCAAACGGCTGGGCTGTGAGAGGTGCTTATCTGAAGCTACCAGCAGGCCTTTCTTAAGAAATGTTCAGTGCTGTGCCCACTCCTTCCAGAGGACCCCCTAGCAGTGCAGACACACACTCTTCCACTGGAGGAAGGGTGTGAGCAGGGAACTCTTCTGTCCCACAGCCAGCATTGTCATGGAATGGGCCAGAGTCTGGTGCTGCTGGCTGCTTAGGAAGGAGGGAATGGAAAATGTGAGTTTCTGCAGAATGGCCCAGAAATGGACAGTGCTGAGCTCAGCCTCTGGAAGCACAGTGGATGCTGCAGGGAGGCAGGGTGAGTACCACTGACTTTAGCAATAGAAACCCTCCTGGATGAGCCAAAGCTGAGCCAGCTCCAAGGGAGTATTAAAGACAGCGGCCATGGCACTCCAAGCTGGAGAGGTGGCCTTTACAACAGAGGGTTGCGGCAGCCACCATGTTTTCCCACCTATACCACACTTTCATGGGCTGTCTCCATTTGACAATAAAGAGAACTAAGGCTCAGTCAGAAAACGACTGTCTAAAGGTAACCAGCCTCAAACTCTAGTGCTGCCCTGAGCCATTTCCCTGCCTCCTTGCCCACTCCCATCAGAAAACACCACAGCACTTAACACTCCACCAGTCCAGCAATCGCCATGGTTTACTTGCCATCCACTGTGTGCCCTCATTTAATGTCACCTCACTTAATACGTGTAACCTCACTTCATCCTTATGATGGCCCTTCCCAATAGGCATTATTAACCTTATTTTTCAGATATGGACCCTTGGGCTCAAAGAGGTTAAGTAACTTGTTCTAAGTTACCCAGCAAATAACAGAATTGGGATCTGAACCCAAAGTGCAGGCTCTTCCCGGACATGAGACAGCCTCTGGCAGGTGACATTGACTGCAGCTGGGCTTCCATGTGCACAGTTCCTCTCCAACGTCCCCATGGAGGCCTCTGAATCCTAGGTCTAATGCTTTTTGCGTCACTTCCCCAACCCAGCTGCCCTGGAATGATTGCCCAGCACAGAGCTGAACTCAGAGCAGGCCCTCCACAAACACTCAACACCTCAAAGAGCAGGGCCCACCGAGGTAAAATTCCTGTGTAATGAATCCTCCCCAATGTCTGCACTGCAGCAAAGGGCCAGCAGCCCCACCCCTCACAGCTCTGTAGCCACTCACCTGCATGCCAGCACTCTGGAGCTGTGGCATTTCCCTGAGAGCTGGGCAAATAAGCAAGAAAGCAGAGATAAGAAAATGACACACAAGAGTGGGAAGAGACAGTCGTACCAGAGCCATGAGTAATGACAGTGGCAGAATAACCCAAGCAGCATTTAAATGCAAAAGTCACATCAGCATTTTGTCTGTTCAACATCAAAGAGTCCTAGGGGTTTTGCCTGGTGGTTCTCAGTTAAGTATAACATGAATAAAATAACACAAAGAGGCCAGACACGGTGACTTACACCTGTAACCCAACCACTTTGGGAGGCCAAGGCAGGTGGATCACTTGAGGACAGGAGTTCAAGACAAGCCTGGCCAATATGGTGAAACCCTATCTCTACTAAAAATACAAAAATCAGCCAGGCATGGTGGTAGGCACCTGTAATCCCAGCTACTCGGGAGGCTGAGGCAGGAGAATCACTTGAACCCAGGAGGTGGAGGTTGCAATGAGCTGAGATCACACCACTGCACTCCAGCCTGGGCAACAGAGCAAGACTCCGTCTCAAAAGAAAAAGTAATGCTCACTAAAATAACAACAAAGATTAATCCACACATATACTCGTATAGGCCTACACCAATTCAACAACATTTCACTTTTGCCAAATATAAACATCTTAATACCAAAACAAAAAAAGGTGACTCTCAAGAGATGGCTCTAACTTTGGGAAATATCACTTGGGGTCTGCAGGTGTCTCCTCTCATGCCACCCTGGGGTGGGACTCTGGCCTCTCACAGTTGGTTAATGTGTTGCCCACCTCAGTTCCTGTTTCCTCTGCTGCCTGCTTTTCATACACCACCAGGAGCTCATCACTTCACACACAGTAGGAATTGCCTAAATGTCTGTGGCTGATACTCAGCTACCCAGACACATGAGGAACCAAACCATAACATTTCATTAAAAACAAAAGAAACAGCTTGTAGATCTTCCTTGTGACAAGAAATCAACCCATCTGGAGTTGACTTCTTGAGAGGTCTCTGAATTGACCGTGATCTCCCTCTTCCATCAAGATACAAGTATGGATAAGGAGCTGCTGCCTAGGATATATAAAGCTGGGGAAAGTGTTAATTCCTTCCTAACAAGAAAAAGACTGACAATCTAAAAGAATCATAACTTCTCTTAAATCAGAGAGCTGAAGTCACAGAGCAACCAGTAGCCTGAAATCTAAGGAAAGACAGACACTTCCAAGGAAAATAGAAAGTGAGCATCAGCTGTGGGTCACCTATGGCAAAGCATGAGGAGAAGAGACGCCAAATACCATACGAGTGGGTAAGTTACAGTTTTAACAAACTGCTGGAGACCAAGCGCAGACTAGGGTAAGAGTGCAGAACCCCCAGGTGCCACAGACACAAGTAGAGCTTGCACCCATGCACAGGTTCTCCTCCACAGACCTCCACTGGGCTTTCATGACAAAAAAAAATGGGGGCAGAACAGTAGATGGAAGAAAACCGTTCTTGGAGGTGCAGGCCTAGGAGAGGAGAGTGAGTAAGGAAAGGTATGAAGCCCTGCCAGGACCTCTCCCCTGTAGAAGAGCATCCTGAAACTACTAGGGAAAAGCAAATATAAAAACACCTCTTCCCTTGAGGGAGAGGCAGGAAACTATCCTGAGCTGAGATTATCAAGGTCTCCTTTGAATGAGGAAGGAGCAGGACCGCTAAGAATGTCTCACTTTTGAGACCCAGGGAGACAGAGTCTGCTTAAGACTGAAGCTGGGTCAAGACAACAGGGCCCACCCCAACCCTCAGCAAAAAAAAAAAAAAAAAAAATATCAAGCACCAAGCAATAAGCAACAGCAGCCTATCTAGGGAGGAGGGCCAAGAACATGGAAAAAAGCATGCCCCTCTGAGGGGCATGCCCACAGGGCTGGCTGAAAGGTGAGAGTGAGGAAAATGACTGAGAAAATCCTCCATCAACCAGACCTCATCCTAGGTACGTTAGGTAACACTAAACTAAGCTCAACTCCTGATAAGACTATTTACCTCAGTCTTTACTGTCCTAAGCATGATGCCTGGCATTTAATAAAACATTATGAGACACAAAAAGGCAGGGAGAAAAAAAAACCCCACTGTCAAGAGACAAAGCAGTCAGTAGAAGCAGACTCAGATGACCTAGATGTTGAAACTATGAGATACAAAATTTAAAATAACTATGATTAATATGGTAAAGGCTCTACTGAATAACACACATGATCAAATGGAGAATTTCAGCAGAAAGGCAGAAATTATAAGAAAGAGTCAAATGGAAACAACAGAAATAAGAAACCCAGTAACAGAGAAGTATGGCTATAATGGGCTCAATGGGAAAATAAATTAGTGATCTTAAAGATAGATCAATTCCTCAAACTGAAACACAGAGGGATAAAACAGAACAGAGCTTCCATAAGCTACAAGACAATACTGTCTCTAACACATGGACAATTGGAATCCTAGAAGGAGAAGAGAGAGAAATTAGATATTTCTTATAATACAAATTTGCTGGTAAAAAATTGTCAGCTTTGGTTTTTCTGGAGGGGAAAAAAAGGTCTTATTTCCCCATCATTGCTAAAATATTTTTGCTAAGTACAGAACTTTGGGTTGGCAGTTTTTCTTTCAAACTTTAAAGATGTTACTCTTTCAGTTTGTATAGTTTCACGAGAATTCTTCATAATTCTTACATTTGATCCACATATATATGTCTTTTTTTCTCTGGCTACCTTCAAGATTTCTTTCTTAATCCTTGGTTTTCAGAAGTTTGAATATAACTCATCTAGGATTTTGTTTTGTTTTGTTTTTCTCCAGCTTGTTTGCTGTTTCTCTGAGCTTCTTGGAACTATGGTTTGATGCCTTTCATTATTTTTTGAAAATTCTTGGCCATTATCTTTTCAATAGCACCAAAACAACATGAAGTATATATTATTAATAGTTTCCTAGGGCTGCTGTAACAAATTGTCACATTTGATGGCGTAAAACAATCTAAATTAATTCTCTCACAGTTCTGGAAGTCTGAATCAAGGCAGGGCCACATTTCCTCTGGAGGCACTAAGGGAGAATGCTGCCTTCCCTCTTTCAGCTTCTGGTGGCTCCATAATTCCTTTGCTTATGGCTACATAACTCCAATCTCTGCCTTTGTCTTCACATGGCATTCATCTCCTTTCTCTGTGTGGCTCTCTTCTGTGTGGCTCTTCTAAGGATACTTGTCATTCAATTTAGGACCACCAATCCAAGACGATCTCACCTTGAGATTCTTAATTACATCCACAAAGATCTTTTCCCCCAAGTAAAGTCATCTTCACAGTTTCTGGGGGTTAGGATGTAGACATATCTTTCAGGGAGGCTCCCATTCAACACACTACAAAATGCTTTAGTATAAATCTAACAACATATGTGCAAAATGTGTATGTTGAAAACTACAAAACACTAATGAGAAAAATTGAAGACCTATACCAATGAAGAGATATATCATGTTCACGTATTAAAGGCTCAATGTTGTAAAGATGTCAATTTCCTCCCAAATCACCTATAGGCATCAAGAAGTTGATTCTAAAATTTACATGGAAAGGCAAAGGAACTAGAAAAGCCAAAATAATTTTGAAAAAAAGAATAAATTAGAGGAATCACACTACATGATTTCAAGACTTAGTCTAAAACTATATTAACCAAGACACTGTGGTATTGGTAAAAGGATAGACACGTACATTAATGGAACAAAGAGAATCCAGAAACTCTAGACCAGTATCCGGCCAGTTAATTTTTAATAAAGGTGCACAAACAACTTAGTACAGACAAGTTAGTATTTCCAACAGTTGATTAAACAACTGAGTATCCACATGCAAAAAAATGAACTTCGGTACATACCTTGCACCACATACAGAAACTAATTCAAAATGGATCATAGACCTAAGTGTAAAATCTAAAACTGTAAGGCCGGGTATAATGGCTCATGCCTGTTATCCCAGCACTTTGGGAGGCTGAGGCAGGTGGATCATCTGAGGTCAAGAGTTTGAGACCAGCCTGGCCAAAATGGCAACACCACGTCTCTACTAAAATGCAAAAATTAGCCAGGTGTGGTGGCGGGCACCTGTAATCCCACCTATTAGGGAGGCTAAGGCAGAAGAATCGCTTGAACGTGGGAGGCAGAGGTTGTAGTGAGTCGAGAATATGCCAACACATTCCAGCCTGGGCAACAAAGCAAGACTTCGTCTCAAAAAATAAAAATAAAAAACAAAAAACAAAACCTAAAACTATAAAACTGATACACATTTTTCCTGTAAAACATAGAAAATCTCTGTGACCTTGGGTTGGGTATATTCCTTAGATATGACACCTAAAGTATGATCCATAAAAGAAAAAATTGATAAAATGAACTTCAAAATCCAAAACTTCTGCTCTTTGAAAGAGCAGAAATGTTAAAAAGGATGCTCTACATCATTAATCATTAGGATAATGGAAGTTAAAACCACAGCGACATACAACTATATGCGTATTAGAATAGCCTAAAGGTAAAAAAAAAACTGATCATGCCAAGTGTTGGAAGGGAGGTGGAGCAACTTGAACTCTCATATACTGCTGGCACGAACGTAAGATGGCATAACCATTTTGAAAAGTTTGACAGTTATTAAAAAGCTAAACATACACCTATTATATGTCCCAGCCATTCCACTCCTACGTATTTACCCAAGAAAATGGAAGCATATTTCCATAGAAAAATATGTACATGAACGTTCATGGCAGCTTTATTTATAATAGCCAAAAATTGCAAATAGCCCAAATGCTCACCAACAGAACAAAACTGTGGTATATCCATTTGATTAAATAAAAAGGAATGAACTACTGATACATATAACAATGTGGGTCAATCTCAAAATAATTAGACTGAGTGAAAGAAACCAGACCAAAAAGAATACATAACTGTATAATTCCATTTATATCATAGTCTAAAAAATACAAACTAATCAATAGTGACAGAAAGCAGATTAATGATTGTCTGGGGCTGGGGGTGGAGTGAGTAGACTGACTACAGAGAAGCAAAAGAGAACATTTTGGGATGATGGAAAGATTCTATATCTTGATTGTGGTGGTGGTTACATGACTGTTTCTGTCACAACTCAGAGAACTGCTTGCTTTCTAAAATGGTGAATGTTACTATTCGTAAATTATAAAGCCGGACTGAAAACAAAAAACATGTGGTTACAACTAAAATGTCCTTAGGGGACCAACCTACCCATCACAGGACACAGTTGACACCGTCCATCACTGCCACTCTGCCCTCAAGGTGAAAATCACCAGCTCTCCACTGGGCATTACCAATGGGCCAAACCCAAGGCTGAAGACCCCAGGTGAGGCCCACAAGGTCCATCATCAGTCTGGGAATTACATTTTCCAAATGCAAAGCCAGAGTCATAACTCAATGCAGTTCAATTCCCAAAGCCCCAGTTTCCCAGTGGAATTTGAGAGAGCCGCAGAGATTCCCAGGCAGGGCCTCCCAAGCAGCAGCCATGCAGTCCATGGAGTGTCAGGCCTCCGCTGCTTAGGAGTCTGTACACAGCTTGGCAGTCAGGAGCAAGGTCTGCACACACCTGGTCAGCAGGCTGGAGCTTGAGCAGAGATGGAACACACCCCTCTTAGGGGTTGAAATGGACAATTCTTAACACCTGCTCAAGGTGGAACTTTCTACTTTTCTTTTAATTTCTAACACTGGACCATGCCCTTTGTCCAGCCCGCTCCTGAAACTGAAACTGTAATAAACAAAAGCATCCAGGAACTGGTCCAAAGCTTGATTCTAGGCAAGAGAGGGGAGAAGAAGGTGACCTGGGGCCAAGAGCTGGACTATCTCACTCACCCTTCCTGTACAGACCCAGGTGAACAGCATGTCTGACCACTGCTCACTGAAAACCAAGGCATGTCACTACATTTCCAAAGCAGGGCTGCCCTGTGCAAAACTGGAAGAAATGGACACAAACACACCCCCATGATTAAATATTTTCAACTGAATCTTCGATTGGACTGTTCACTGTACAGCCTGCTAACTGTGGATGAGGAGACTCACAGACACAGATGTTTCTTAGTCCTGGCCTCAGGCCTTTGACAATTTGCCTTCATGAAAAGTTGACAGGCAGCCATGTCTGTCTACCTCCATGTTTGCTAAACCTGCCCCTGGGGAGGGAAGCAGGGAACACACCGAGCTCACGTGGACTCAGCCTCACGTCCATCTTCTCAAGAGGAAAGGCACGGGCGTTTTCTCAAATCAGAGCTCAAAAGAAGCCTATACCGAATTCACCACACATATCTGCAGACTAGATACACTACAGCCTTATTTGCCCTGTAATTTAGGGTTCTGGCCTAGAATCCAACAGGAGAAGAAACTTCTGATTCCAAACATAGTCCTGAACCCAAGAGAAATTCTGCTTTCCTAAAACCATCTAACTTTTGGCAGTCCTGCCAGTCCTGCCTCCAGGCAGCCTGAGCATGAGGGTGGGGTTTGGTCCCACCTCTGGCTTTCATCTAGGGGGTATGAACATGCAGCGTGCCTTTTCACATTCCCCATGCCAGACTGCGAGTAGGGAAGGTGCTAGGTCATTTTTGAAAGTTCAGGCCGGGTGTGGTGGCTCACGCCTGTAATCCCAGCACTTTGGGAGGCTGAGGCGGGCGGATCACGAGGTCAGGAGATCGAGACCATCCTGGCTAACACGGTGAAACCCCGTTTCTACTAAAAATACAAAAAAATTAGCTGGGCGAGGTGGCGGGCGCCTGTAGTCCCACCTACTTGGGAGGCTGAGGCAGGAGAATGACATGAACCTGGGAGGCGGAGCTTGCAGTGAGCCGAGATCGCGCCACTGTGACAGAGAGAGACTACGTCTCAAAAAAAAAAAAAAAAAAAAAAGAAAGTTCAGAGACATGGGGCCTGGAGGTCCACAGTCCACACGGTAACCTCCAAAACCAAATCAAATGCTCCACAACTACAGATCACAGTCAGGCCTCAGAGCCACCCCTTGACCTCAGGCCCCTGCCTATGGGAAACCAACATGGTGTCCTTTGGATTAAAACTTGTGAAGGGGCCAGGTGTGATGGCATGCGCCTGTAGTCCCAGCTACTCATGAGGCTGAGATGGGAGGATCACTTGAGCCCAGGAGTTGGAGGCTGCACTGAGCTATAATCCAGCCTGAGTGACATTGCAAGAGATCCTATTTCTAAATAAATAAATAAAATAAAAATCGTGAAGGGGTTGAGGGGTAGGTCTAAAATGAAGGATGGGGAATCTGCATGCCTGACCAACCCCTGGATTCCAGGCCTTGTCACACACAGAACCAGGACCACAGACCATCTCCCCGTCCCCTCTCAGAAAGTGGTCCCTTTGAGGCAGGGATCACAGGTGCCTGTCATCCTATTTCACCTGTGTTGCTCGCAGGCCTTGGGCATGTAGGAGATGCTGTATGCACAAACCAAGACTCTGTTCTCCTCACCCAGGCCCATGGCAAGATGGAGGACCTGCCCCAGGGCTGTGATGGCCACTCCTGGGCTTGACCCCCATCAATCTGCTGACTCCCCAGCCTCTCTCTGCAAGCATTTCCAAGAATTTTCCCCCACACAAAGGGGTGATTTTTCAAAACAGTGAAAGGATTGCCTTGATAGGCAAGAAATGGCAAGTTATTTGGTGTCCGACATGCCCCCAGGAGGAAGAAGTTGATCTGAGAGGTCTATCTTACTGAAGTGACACACAGAGGTGAGGGAAGCCAGGAAGAAGAGAGCGAGATGAAGCAGGGAGGTGACGGCTAAGTAACTTCAAACCAGTAGAGGCAGTGAGGAAGCAGCAAGAACATGCCTTGGCATGTGCGGTTCCTTCCCTGGAAGGGTTCAGAGCGGGCTGGAAAACAACCCCAGCCTTTAGAAGCTGGAGCCCTCCAGGTCATCACACTTGTTACAGTGAGAAATGCACACAAGGGTGTGGGGCAGCAAGGTGGAGCCGGTTTTAGGAACACAGAGGGGGAGGACTGCATGGTGGAGGCTAGGAAGCCTCAGGAGGAAGCAGGTCCATCCTGGGCCAGGCCCACACTCCTGCTGAGTCTGTTCTGGAGTTCCTGGAGCAGATGCACCTCTGGAGCATCCTCAGAAACCACCACACAGGCAAGCAGGCAACCCGCCCTGCCCAACACCTGTGTGGGAGCATTCTCTCTCAACACACACCCGCTTCCTTGAGGGCGGCTCTGGTTCAGTTCAGCTCCACGTACACTCCCAAGGGCTCACTACGAGCTGGTGCTGAGTATCTTAGGGTTACCTACCCAATACCTGGAGACAAAAATGCCTACCCTCCCACAGCACATACCTGAACCGAGGTACCCTGGTAGGGAGATCAAGGATTCCGATAAAGCCCAAGTGCTGACTGTAGATTTCTTTTATATTAAACTGCTTTGAACTAATTTTAGAATTGGAGAAAAGTTGCAAAAAATAGTACAGAGAATTTCCATATATCCCTCTGCCAGTGTTAATGTCTTACACAACCATAGGACAATGATCAGACCAGGAAACTAACACTGTGACAATACCAATAACCAAAATAGGGACCCCATTTGAACTTTACCAGTTTTTCTACTAATGTGCTTAGATCCTGATGTTCCAGAATCCTACCGATGCATTTATTATGTATTTAGCCTCCTCCCATCTGTGTCAGTTCCTTAGTCCTCCCTTGTCTTTCATGACCTTGACACTTCTGAAGAATATTGATCAGTTATTTTATCAAATGTTCCCTGACTTGGGTTTTATCATTAGATTCAGGTTATAAATACTGGACACCACCAGAAAAGTGATGTGCACAGTAACACAGGGTTCACATGGAAGGGCTTATTACAGGGAATGTTGACCTTGATCAATGGTGACACTGACCTCTCTGCCAGGTTTCTACAATGCAAAGTTACTATCTTTCCTGTGTAGTTAATTTTTGGGGACTGTGGATTTTTGAAAGGGAATGTGTTGCTGTCATTACAAACTCTGTGTGTCAGCTCCACTTGCAGCTGCCCCACAGATGAGGCATCTAATGAAGACGAGCGGCAGAGCCGACATCTCTGGGAGACGCCACAGCTCTCAGTGACAAAGAGGAACAGTAGCGGTTTATTTATAGATCCACTTGAAGACAGCTCATTGTAACTACTGGAGTTGAATTTTTAAAACCTCGGAACAAAGGCTGGCTATTTTAAACTCTCCTTGCACTTAGTTCAATGGAGAGTGTTAGAGCCACCGACCACACCCCAGGCATCACTCCCAAGCTCCGTAATTCATACTTTGTGCAGCATCACAGGACACGAGCAAAGCCTGCCAAGATAGATAACCAGGACTGGCTCTACCCAACCCGCAAAAGCAGCAGCCCTCCACCAGAGCCCTCAGAACCACCAGAGCAGATCAGCCAGAGCCCTCCACCAGCAGCCCCACGATTCCCAGGGAGGAGTTGCAGAAGGCTGTGTCCCATGGGGTCAAACAGCCTCTCCTTTCCTGGAAAATGAAGTCGCAGACAGCTGTTATGAACCAAGGTTACATCACGTCTTCCCTTCCCTCCCCCTGCAGGCTTCAAAGACAGCCAGTGCCCCCCAGCGGATGCCTGGCCCAAGATAGCTGGCAGTAGCTAGCCCACCTGTGCCTGACCCACCTCCAGGAAGGAGCGAGGAGCTCACAGTACCAAACTCTCCTGGAGGACATCAGGAGTGTGGTGTGAGCCCAGACGCGCCCCCTTCCCCAAGCCCAAGACAGCTCCAGGCCAAAGCCCCCTCAGCTACTCCGCCTACCAGAACCATGGGTCGGGGAAGGGGGAGCAGAGAACATGGGTTTTCTCAAAGCTTTCCGCATCCTTATTTGAACAATGACACAATGTGGGAAAATGTGAATGTGGACTAGATATCTGATATGAAGGAACTATTAATTTCATTGGATGTGATAAGAGCACTGCTATTATATAACTAAGAAATGGCCTTATTTGGAGTAAAAAATGATATATCTGGGATTTTTAAAACCACTCAAACTCTTCTTTAAAATGTGGGGGAAACAGATGAAATGAGATTAGCAGAATGTTGAAGCTAGGTGAGTGGTACATGGGGTTTGTTACATTATTCTATCTTTTGTGCTAGCTTGAAATTTCCACAATACAAAGGTTTTTGTTTTGTTTTGTTTTGTTTAATTAAAACAAACAAACAAAAAAAAAAACCTTCCTGGTGACTGAAAGGAGCTGCGGAGCTGATCCAAGGCAAGTGGGACTCCAAGAGGAAGCTCAGCCACAGGATCACCTCCACTCTGGTGTCCTGGGATTTGCAAGCATAGGAGGCAGATGACTTTGTCTAAGTCCACGGAACGTTCTGACCAGCCTTTAGCACTGCCACAGAGAAAGCCCCTGATGGCAACGAGTACTCAGCGAATCCTGCAGCAATGTCCGGACCTTCAAAGAAACTAATTGTAAGATAATCTCCATGGAAACCATCTATTCTGATTTTTTTTCCATGGCAACCAATAAGAACATAAACACAAGCACTATCCAACACCCTTACACCACATGGCAATGCTGCTGTCCAATCTGGAAAATATAAACCACAAAGGGTTTTTTTCCATTTAAAATGAAAAGAAGTTCTGAAACTTCTAATCTAGGCATGCAGACTCTACCACCCTCTGTTGCCCTGCCACTGCCCACACCACCCCATGTCATCTGCCCCCCAAAACTGACAAATAAGGCCAGAAGGTAGCTTCCTTCTTTTAGTCTGAGACCATCAAAAATGCCAAAAGGAAAGACAGCCCGCCTCTAGCCTCACACACTCAACTTATGCTGCCCACAGACGTGAGAATGCTTTGACTTCCTGAGCATTTTTTATGTGTCAGACACATACTGAGCACCATGGCAAGAGCAAGGCCCCAGCCCTCCAGGGAGAAAAGTTAGGTCTGTAAATAACAGACAACAGGAGAGCGGGGCTGCTCCAGGTAGGAGAGTGCTCCAGGCAGGTGGAGCAGGAAGAACTCACCAGCTGCCAGCCTCCCAAGGAAGCCTGCATGGAGGAGGTGCCATCTGGAAAGAGACTATAAGGATGAGCGCAACAACACTAGGAGCAGTGAATGGTGGCCCCAAAAATCAGTCAGACTTAAGCGACAGGTTTATTTCTACCTGTGGCTCATTTATTTCATTTTCAGGTTTCTGAGCTTAAAAAAATAGAATGAAAACAAAAGAACAAAATAAAAGGGAAGAAAGATCCTTAAATGCCAAAGCCCTCGGTTCTTGTGCACCCTCTCTGCTTTGCAGCAAACAATTGTTACAAGACGATTCTTGTGGCCTCTGTGGGCTCTCCTGTGGAGAGGTGATGATGGGGCTTTAGATTGCCTGTCATCACTATTGGCAAAAAGGCAGTGTCATAGCAGTGGCCCCAGTGTGTGAAGCAAAAGGTCCTTCAAGGCATGCAGCCTGGCTCTGCCTGGGGCCATGTGTGCCTTGTAGGAAAGCATCACAGTGTTGAGACTCCACTTTCTGTCCTGTGACTCAGGTTCATTTCCCCACATGCACATGTGGAAGCTCCAATAACCCTAAGCCCAAGCTTTGGCTGCCAGGGGAAAAGGAAAACCCAAAACAGTTCTGGAACTCTCGAAAGAGATAACGAAGCTCTCAAAGGAGTGTGTGTGCCTGGGTTTATATGCCAAATGTGTACTGATGCACGCAGAGCTGGACCCAAGGGCCTCCAGCCTTTGTCTGAGTTCCTGAGTCAGGTTGCTCTGTCTTCCTGATACTGTGATTGTCTTAATATGCTTTTCCCTGGATGTCTGAGAACACACCTCCCATTGGTTTAAGTCATTAAATAGGCCTTCCTTCCTCAACATCATGAACTCTCCTCTGGAGAGGAACCTACTTGCTTTTAGAATGGATGGAAATTTTTCTAGTGACAGGAAACACCATTAGCCCCTCAAGGGGGCAGTTCAGAGAAGGGAGTTCTGGCTTCCACTCCAACCTTGCCACCTCTACCCTAATCGCTGTTTCAGGGCTTGTCTCTGCTCTTGCTACCTGGAGGCACCTCTTCAAGAGGCTCTGCAGGCCGGGCACGGTGGCTCATGCCTGTAATCCCAACACTTTGGGAGGCCAAGGCGGGCAGATCACCAGAGGTCAAGAGTTTGTGACAAGCCTGGCCAACATGGTGAAACCCTGTCTCTACTAAAAATACAAAAATTAGCCAGGTGTAGTGGCAGGTGCCTGTAATCCCAGCTACTCAGGAGGCTGAGGCAGGAGAATCTCTTGAACTGGAAGGAATAGGTTACAGTAAGCCGAGATCGCGCTATTGCATTCCAGCCTAGGCAAGAATGGCTAGACTCTGTCTCAAAATTAAAAAAAAAAAAAAAAAAAAAAAAGAGGCTCTGCAAATAAGACCTTCATCTGGGGTTCAAATGTTAAGCCATATACACCCAAGCCATCTCTGGCTCAGACAGAGACTCTCACCCATCTGCTTCCCTAAAGTCTAGCAGGCTGTCTGGAGGATGGGAGCTGGCCTAGGCATCCACATGTGCAGGGTGAGAAGTGGGAGACAGGACATCAAGACAGCAAGGGAGACACCAAGGATAACACAGGAGACAGGTGGCCTGGAGAACACAGATTCAAGAATAGGTGACTGGACTAATGGCAGGAGTACTAAGGGGCAGGACAGAAGCTGGGACAGAACAACAGGGCTGGCAGAGGCTCACAGCAGAGCCACAGCAAGTCCCATCTTCCTTACTACTGATGTCCTCAGCTGGTAATAAAACCACACGCCTGCCTGTCTGGTTGTAAACAGAGCCTTGGTAGATGCCTTTGGGTTTAAAGGGCCCACGGGGCAGCACTGGACTTTCTTTCTTGCTTTCCTTCTTTTTGAGACAGGGTCTCACGCTGTCACCCAGGCTGAAGTGCGGTGGTGCAATCATAGTTCACTGCAGCCTTGAACTCCTGGGCTCATGCAATTCTCCCGCCTCAGCCCTGAATAGCTGGGACTACAGGTGCATGCCACCAAGCCTGGCTGGGCTTTCTTTAAACAGTACACTGAGATTAGAACTCAGGTTGGCTGGGCGTGGTGGCTCACACCTGTAATCTCAGCACTTTGGGAGGCCAAGGTGGGTGGATCACCTGAAGTCAGGAGTTCAAGACCAGCTGGCCAACATGGCGAAACCCCATCTCTACTAAAAAAGTACAAAAAATTAGCCAGGTGTGGTGGTGCATGCCTGTAATCCCAGCTATTCGGGAGGCTGAGACATGAGAATTGTTTGAACTCCGGAGGCAGAGGTTGCAGTGAGCCGAGATCGCACCACTGCACTCCAGCCTGGGTGACAGAGCAAGACACTGTCTCAAAAAATACCAAAAACAAGCAAACAAACAAACACACAAAAAAGAACCAAGGTCATACCCTTTTCCTCTTCTGCAAAGCAGCAGACTACAGTGGGCTGCGAGGGACACTGATTTTCTGATTGCCTCTCCCAAGCTGTACCCACGACGAGTCATAGAAACTTCGAAGATAAAGAGACTTTCTTCTTCCCTTAATTCCCCTGCCCAGGATGCCATAGTCACAACAGGCTAGACTGTTTTCCAAAAGACCAGTGGTTCTCCAAGTGAGTCCCTGGATCAGCAGCATCAGCATCACCTAGAAATCTGTTAGAAATGTGAATTCCCTATTAAATCGGATACTCTGGATATGAGGCCCAGCAAGCTGTGTTTTAACAAGCCCTCAGAGTGATTCTGAGGCACACTAAAGTTTGAGAACCACTGCAGGAGGCTTACCATGATAACTGTCAAATGTTAAAAGGCCTGTCTCTTCACCATCACTGCCTGGGAAGCCCAGCTAGCATCTCCTAATGGATTTCTGCAAATGCTGTCCTCATGCTTATCAAAGGCAACTCCTCCCCCATGGGAAACTTAGTAATTATTTAACATGTACCTAGTAATAACGTCAGTGGTAGCCTCTGGAAGAAAAAGGAGCTGGGACCCTGCCCTGGGCCTGGGTGGCCCCACTTCCAGGAGCACTGGCATCTTTGGTGCTCCTGGATCTTGCGAACACCACATTACTCACCAGCCACTGGCCAAAGGTGCTCTGTTTCAAGCAGGAAACATTCTACAAAAACTGTAGTTTGGGGCTGGGCACGGTGGCTCACGCCTGCAATCCCAGCATTTTGGTAGGCCAAGGTGGGTGGATCACCTGAAGTCAGGAGTTCAAGACCAGCCCAGCCAACATGGTGAAACACTGTCTCTACTAAAAATACAAAAGTTCGCCGGTGTGGTGGTGTGCACCTGTAATCCCAGCTACTCAGGTGGCTGAGACAGGAGAATCGCTTGAACTCGGGAGGCAGAGGTTGCAGTGAACTAAGATCGCGCCACTACACTCCAGCCTGGGTGACAGAGAGAGACTCCGTCTCAAAAAACAAAAACAAACAAAAAAACAAAACAAAAACAAAACCTGTAGTTTGGTAACAAATATTGAATCTTCTTTATTTTTAGTATCCACTCTCTTCCCACTGAAACTAAGAAACCCAGAGCACTTTCCACGAATTCTATTGAGATAAAGGTGGAGGAAAATGCAACCCGAGTATGAAAGGGGGCATCTTATCTGGAGGCCTCTGCCACCCAAAGCAAAGGCTGCTGTGGCCTCTCTTCTGCAGGAAGGTCTTTTGCAGAGTGAGCCCATGAAATGAAAAATGCACAAAGGATGCAATGCAGAATGCTGGGGAGAAATCGGGGTGCAGAGAATTGAGACAACCTGCGTGAGGTTACAGGAGACACGCCACCTCAGGCTGGGTCCCAGCCTCTGCTCAGACCAGCATACTAGGGCAGCGCAGCTCTTACTGCCAACTAAGTTCTGGAAGTGGTTCCCAGAGCCAGAAGTTTCTAGTATCCACCTTCCACCTTCCTAGTGGGGCTGCCTGAAAATCCTTTCCAGGAAAGACATGCTTGTAAGCTGCCTTTTCTCATACCAGGAAGGTGCCTAGCCAGATCCCTGGCATCCCCCATGCTGTGCCCAGCCCCAGTACATCCCATGTAAACCGGAGACGCCCCACAGAACTGGAACAACAGGGTCTGCAGGGGGATTACATGAATGAGTACAAGGGAGGTGCACTTGACAGAGCATTGTGGGAATGTAGACACCAGGAGACCCTGAAGCAGCACTGACAGGGGTCCACACATGAGCATGCATGTGCACACACACAGGGGAAGGCACGGTTATCTGTCCCAGGGGTGAGGATGCTGGGCTCCTTTTTCCCACTGAGAAATGAGGAGACTCCCCCTTGCTCTTTTCCAGTCAGGGGTCTCTTATTAGCGTTCCTGCACTTCAATCCCAGAGACAAGGACTTGGCTGGGGCCCAGGCTATTCACCAGCAGGTCACCTCTGGGCTCAAAGTTCCTCCTCTGTGTGGCATAGGGGGCAGGAATGAATTTCCCCCAGGAGCCAGAGATGGGCCACCTGGTAAGTCCTAGGAAACATGAAAAAGAAAGTCCCCACTGTTCCCAAGTCATCCCATAAAGCCTGGCCCCGGTAAAGCCCCACAATAGCCACACGAGGTGGAATGGTGCCCCTTAGAAGAGGGTCTGCTTTGCCATTTCCATCAAGCTCTCATTCACACCGATAAAAAGGACTGTGGGCAATGCCAGCTATTCAGCCAAAGGGTGTGAGCAAAGTGAGAGCCACAACACATTAACAGGCACATCTTGACCCCCAGAGATGCCCTGAGCCCAAGGGCACGGGCAGCTTGAGGCGTCGGGGGTTTGGGCTCCATGAAGCCATGCCTTTTCCAAGTTGGGTAACTTGCCTGGGCATCTTCTGACTTGCCTGCAGCAGGCAGGAAGCCAACAGTTCCCTTTAATAGTATTTTTTTTTTTTAAGAGATGGGGGTCTCACTACTTTACCCAGGCTGGTCTTGAACTCCTGGGCTCAAGCCAGCCTCTTGCCTCAGCCTCCCAAAGTGCTAAGATTACAGGCGTGAGTCACTGCATCCTACCAACCTTAATGGTCTTGAAAAAATTAGGTGCCAGGATTGGGGTCAAGTGGAGAAGGGAGAGGCTCTTCTCTAAGACATATAAATCTGGGGTTCACTCCTGCTCCAAACACCTACAACACCGCTCTTGCTAAGAATCCGTTGAACCCACACTTCTCCCCTCTACAGAAAGTGAATGCCAAACCATAAATCTGTGTTCTCATTAAGCGACCCAAGTCCTCCCAAATGAGAAGCAAATCTGCTGCAAGGTCTGAGGGCTAGTGTCCCCCAAAATTCCTGTGTTGAAATCCTAACCCCAAAGTAATAGTATTAGGAGGTGGGGCCTTTGGGAGGTGATTAGGTCATATGGGTGGAGCCATCAGGTTTGGATTAGTGCCCTTATGAAAGAGACCCCAGAGATCTAGCTAGCCCCTTCCACCACGCGAGGACACAGTGAGAAGGAGCCATCTATGAAGCAGAAAACAAACCCTCACCAGACACTAAACCCGTTGGTGCTTTGCTTGGACTTCCCAGCCTCCAGAACTGTGAGAAATAAAATTTCTATATTTATAATCTACCTAGTCTATGGTATTTTGTTATAGCATCCTGAGCAGACTAACACATAATCTATGAGGCAAGGGATGAGAAAATACTTAACCAGTATAATGTACATTATTTGGGTGATGATTACACTAAAAGCCCAGACTTCACCCCTACACAATATACCAGGTAACAAAACTGCACTTGTACTTCTGAAATGTATACAAATAATTTTAAAAAATCTATGAGGCAGATGAGGTGGAAATGGGTCTCCTCTCCCTGTTTCTCCAACTCTCTAATTCCTCAGGCAAGGCACCTGGAGTGAGAACCCAGATCTTAAAAATCCACAGGCACCCAGGACCCCCAGATCCAAAGCATAAGGGAAGATCTAGTGCCAAGAATCTCTGGGCCAGGAATCAGGGTCCCACAAATCCCTAAGTGAAGCCCACCCCTGTGGCAGTGCCCCAAAAATGGAAATGTGGGAGGTTAAGGACAAGCACAGGAGGTGGCTGGTGCTTTACTCTCAGTATCAGAGGAACTAGGAAGAAGAAATAGACCATCCTTCGGCACGGATGAGGCTCAGTTCAGATGTTCTCAACTGACCCAGCTCCCTCTTCCAGAGGACAGTTCAAGCACTGAGGCTCTGGGGATCCTGGGCATCTTGTCCTGAGGAATCCTGTGGCAGAAGGACAAGTCTGTTTCCACCCACTCACAGATCTGCTCTCTCATCTGGGAGCACAGGGGACTTGGGTCTGCCATCAGGAAACACAATTTTGATGCCTGCAAGGGTCTAGAAACCTCACTGGCCCTCACTACGATGACCTGCAGAGAGGGGTCAACGTGGAAAATTATAAGTGCTCCCATTATTGCCCACTGTCCCTCACCCCAGCAAGTTTTGAACACATAATCTCCTGGATTGGCTTTCAGTCAGGGAGGGGAAAAGAACCCTTTTTAAAGTAGCTAAAGCTTGGTGGGGCAGGCGTGGTAGTTCACACCTATAATCCCAATGCTTTGGGAGGCAGAGGCAGGAGAACTGCTTGAGCCCAGGAATTTGAGACCAGCCTAGACAAGACAGGGAGACCCTTTCTCTACAAAAAATTTAAAAAATTAGGCCAGGTGCGGTGGCTCACACCTGTAATCCTAGCCCTTTGGGAGGCCAACGCAGGTGGATCACCTGAGCTCTCGAGTTCGAGACCAGCCTGGCCAACATGGTGAAATCCCATCTCTACTAAAAATACAAAATTTAGCCAGGCGTGGAGGTGCACGCTTGTATTCCCAGCTACTCGGGAGGCTGAGGCACAAGAATCTCTTGAATCCAGGAGGCAGAGATTATAGTGAGCCAAGATTGTGCCACTGCACTCCAGCCTGGGTGACAGCACAAGACTCTGTCTCAAAAAAAAAAAAAAAATTAGCTGGGTGTGGGGGCACACGCCTATAGTCCCAGCTACTCAGGAGGCTGAGACAGGAGGATCGCTTCAGCCTGGGAGGTTGAAGCTGCAGTGAGCCACAATTGCGCCACTGTAGTTCAGCCTGGGTGACAGAGTGAGACCCTGACTCAAAAAAAATAGCTAAAGCTTGATGAGCACTTGTCATGTGCCAGGCAGATGCACCACGCATGAAATCCCACGAAGGAGGGCCCAGCCTCTCCCCAAACGACAGAAGAGAAAACCGTGCCTCACAGACGTCTGGCCACTTTCCTAGGACCACACCCCAGGCAGGGTAGAGAAAGGATTTAATCACAGGTTGGCTGGAAGCTAGAACCCAGGCTCTTAACCACAGATGAGCTTTCCTCCTTAAAATGAGATCTTGAGAGGTGAGTGGAGAAAAGCACTCAGCCCTAGAACTCAAGGTTAATGTGTGAACCGGACAGCAGCCAACCCTTAGAACTCAGAAAGTGGGTTTTTTTTTCCTCCCGTTTCACTGAATTACCTAGAACTCTGTGTTCTCCTCCCACCCCACCCAGCGCAACCTTTCTTCCCCATTGCATAATGGGCCCTCAGACATTTGGAAGGAGGGCAAAAATAAGTCAATCAAGCAAATGCATTTTTGCTATTTAAAAAGTGGTTAAAAAATGCTTCTGTGGTTGAGCAGAAGTCCGTCCTATAGTGGCAGGGGTTTGGGAGGTGTTAAATTCAAGATCAGCCAAGATACAGGGGTCTTTATGCCTCGGGGTCAGGCCCCAAAGAACAGACAGCAAGAGGGTGGACAAGAATAGAGGGGCCAGGGCTGTGGCAGGAACAGAGCTAAGCACTAGACCCTTGAAAACACGAGCACGGGCACCCAATGCAGACAATTCCCAGGGGCTCCCATCCCTTGCCCACCCTCAAGCCCCTCTGGGAGGTGCTCATTTGCCTGCAAGTGGCTCTTCC
The DNA here is from genome assembly GCF_000001405.40 of Homo sapiens. Lineage (NCBI taxonomy): Eukaryota > Metazoa > Chordata > Mammalia > Primates > Hominidae > Homo > Homo sapiens. Next base: position 52,118,165 of record NC_000003.12, read on the forward strand.
AACCTTCCCCCAGCCTTGTAGCATGTCACAAGGCTGAACATGGAGCTTCTGTCCACCCTCAGCCCAGAGCATGGCCTGGAATCCTTCATCTGCAACCTTCTAAGTAGAGAAGGTTCCCCAGCCACAAGCCCTGAAATCCCTCCTCATGCACAACTCAGCCAAGAATAGAGGGAAAATGGAACCCATTATTCTCATTCTGAATGGCTGGGAAATGGCTTTTGCTTTTCAACATGAAATGTGCCTAAAAATAAGCTGTGAATTTCAACCAGAGGTTGAAAATAGCTCTGCAGTGAACAGAGCTCTATTCAGAGTGGGCTCAAGGACAACCTTCATTCCAAGATCTGAGAGCTGAAGTACTGCAGTCAGAGAAAGGGTCATGGGCAGGGGGTTTTCCTGGGCAGAAGGACCATCATAGGCTCACAGGGCTGCCCTTGCCGTGGTCTGCTAGTGGGTAAGTAAAGTAAGGGGTCCATGCAGGGTCTGCCCCTCTGGCTTTCGACTGCTACGCTGGAATGGGGACATGGTGAGGAATTCAACACCTACACCTGCCCGATGGGCTTCCTAGATTCCCCAAATGCCCAGGAGTATTTCACAAGGCTTCAGGGCCTGAGGCCCAGGGTGCAGACAGAGCTGATGTAGGCAGAGGATCATTAGATTCATGAGTTCTTGGGGCATGGCTATGGTGCCCATGAGCTCTTTGAGAAGTCGAGCCACACTGGTCAGCCACCAAACCACTGACCAGATATTCTCCCAGAGCCAGGAAAACCTTTAGTCAGGAAAGGCAAAAACACTCTCCAATTTTTAAGTGAAGAAAACCAAGTAGTTGCTAAAGGCAAAAGGTTTTTTTTTTTTGGTTGTTTACCATCACCTCCAGAAGACTGCGACCAAATGAGATTCCTACAAAATGACTTCTGTTAGAAACCCAGGCTGAGACACCTGGGCCACTATTGCTGCTGCTGGTGGAAGCCCAAATCTGGCCCAGTTGAACAGAGTCCTCACACTCAAGGCTGCTGGAATAGTCCTCGTCCGCATGCCCAGGGCCTCTCCCACCTCATCCCCGTGCTCCTCCCACTGCTAAGACAGCCCCATCTCCAGACACATTCCCACACTCCTCCCACTGCTAGGTCAGCTTCTTTTCTGGGCTCCCCGCTGAGGCAAGACTTATTGCAGTGATTCTAAGCTGGGGACAATTCTGCCCACCAGAGGGACATTTGGCAGCATCAGAAGACTTTTTTTTTTTTTTTCCCAGAGACAGAGTCTCACTCTGTCATCCAAGCTGGAGTGCAGTGGTATGATCATAGTTCACGATAGCCTCCAACTCCTGGGCTCAAGTGATCTTTCCGCCTCAGCCTCCCAAGTGACTAGGACTACAGGGGAGTGCCACCATGCTCAACTAATTTTTAAATTTTTTTGTAGAGACGAGATCTTGCTGTGTTGACCAGGCTGGTCTTGAACTCCTAGGCACAAGCGATCCTCTAGTCTCAGCCTCTCAAAGTGCTGAGATTACAGGTGTGGGCCACCATGCCTGGCCTAGAAGACATTTTTGGTTGTCACAACTTGGGTTGGTGGGAGGGTGAAGATGCTACTGGCATCTAGTGAGTAAAGGCCAAGGATGCTGCTAAATATCCCACAATGCACAAAACAGCCCCCCACAGCAAAGAATGATCTGGCCCAAGATATCAATAGTGCTGAGGGTGAGAAACCCTGGGTTATTGGGAAGGCCAGTACATGGACAGTGCTGGAGGGACAGAGGCTCATCGGACTCACAAGCTCCTGAGACATGGCTGCAGTGCTCCTGGGCTCCCTATGGGGTTGAGTCACTCTGGCCAGCCATAGAACCAGTCCCCAGATACGGTCTCGGTGCCAGGGAAGCCCTTGGGCAAGAAGGGCGAGAGCACACTCATCAGCTTCCCTTCCTATCTCAGAAGAAAACCGAACTACTGAACAGTGTTATAAAAAGTAGCTCTCCTCAGTTTGGAAAGATGAAGATCTTCTGGAAATAGACGGTGATGGTTGCACAACACTGAGAATATATTTAATGCCACCAAATTGCACACTTAAAATGGTTAAAATGGTAAACTTTGTGTTATATATATATATGTATCACAATAAAACAAGGCAAAACAAACTAAAAACCTAGCTCTCCTCTTGGCCTGGGAGTCCTCAGATTAGAGAAGTCCTGAAGGTTGACACCACATGGCATGTGTGTGTCAGTGAAAGTGTGTCTGGAAGAGGACTTACATCCACTCAGGGTCTCAGAGGGGCTTATGACAAATAAGGAAAGAGGTCTGATCTGAACCAAGAATGATTTTAGGATTAACAAGTCACTTGGTGGGGGTCTCAAAGCTCTCATCAGAGCCTGCCTATGGGCGTATTCAGGTACTATGTGGAAATGTTGGTTTGGGAAGACCAGGTGTTTTGCCTGGGGCCACACATCCAGGGTTCAAACCCAGTTCTCTGACCCCAGGACCCACATCCTTTCCCCTATTTGAGGCCCACACAGTGAGGGCCAGTGGGCAGAGCTGTGACTACAACTCCAACGTGAGTCTGTAGATAGTATGGGAACAAGTGGTTGCTCTAAGCACTGCTGAGCTGTTCACCCACTCATGCCCCATCCTGCCATGCTGGGATCCCCCACCCACAGCTCTGGGAAGCAAAGGTGCTCCATACTCCATTGCTGAGCCAGGACCAAAGGAACAAGAAGCAATTCATCCAAGTTATTTTCCTAATAGCTACAAGAACATGGGATTCTCCCCCAGCTGGTAGATATTAACCACTCCCAAGCGGCAGATGTCAGGGCCCTCCCTTGAAATGGGGAAAAGCAGCCAGCAGTCCTCTGCCACCTGTAGTTTCTAGCTTTGCTCAGAGGCATCAGCCTGGTGGGCCCCCAGGTCCAGGCATCTGGGGAAGGTGACTAAGCCCCAGGTGTCTCATCTGTGAATTGAGCAGTATATTTACCCACTCATTCTGATGAGATAAGGAATAAACAGGGTAGCGAGCATAAAAGGCCTTGGCTATGGCTCACCAGAAGTGCCTAATAGAGAGGGATTCACAGGAAAGAGGGCAGGGACCTAGAGGTCTGCTGAGTCCCAGGGGGCCTCAACCCTGCAGTGTGAAATGCCTTTCTGGGTGGAAGATGAACTGGCAGCAAGCAGTGCATCATGCAGCCCAGTCATCCCCCAACAAACCCAAAAGCTGAAAACTGGCCACAGATTAGCAAGTACAGAGGACAGCCAAGAGACCAGCCAGGACAGCAACCCTTGTAAGAAAAACCATAAATCCCAACTGGGCCAATGCCTAGAGGCAGACCAGGACACAAAACGGGGGCATGTGTGTGTGTTGGGGTGGGGAGATGGAGGGTCTATCTGCTGCAGCCACAGAAGCCCCAGGATAGACTCAGGAGGCTTCCTAGTTCTATTCTGGGCCCCAGCCTTGACTCGCTGGAGGCCTTGGGCGAGCCGCTTCCTGTTGTTTGGGCCAGTATCCGTGTGGGGGAGGCCACACTCTCTGTATGGTCCAACGGAGAGACATCTAAAAAGCCTGTGGCCATAGGAGCTTAAAACCCTCAAGGTTCCACAACCTCGGCTTTAACATTTATTTCAGCCCAAGCTGAATATGACCTTATTTAATGAGACTGTATCAGTTATCAATTTTTTTCCCCAAATATTTATCAAAAATATTAACTATTTAAATTCAGGAACACTGAATATTCTTTTACGAACAGAGGTACTAAAAATGGTTTGTGGCTGAGGAACTTCCTCTCCATGGTTAGAAAAAAAAAGGGAGGGAAGTGAAAGCAACAGGGCTGGGCCTTTCCCACTTGTCCCAGCTGTGGCTTCAGGCCCTGAACCCTCTAGGAGCCCCACGTTTGGGTCCTGTGACCCAGGGTTCAGTATGGGACGGGTCCCTTGTCTCCTAAGGCCTCAATCAAACAGCACCATATGCCATGGCAACACGCTCCCACCAAATGGCACAGGCCTGGGGCACCCGGCAGCTTGCTGTAACAGCCTCTTTGTGTCTTATTCGTTCACTCTAGATGGAAAACAAAGCACCACAACTTCCAAAGTATTTGGTAAATGAGAAGATCTTGCTAGGGTCCCTTTCCCGAGACAGGCCTAAACCTCCTCCCTCACCGTCTCCAAGCCCAGAGCTGTTCACCATGACCTAGCCCACCAGAGTCACAGAGCTCAGGACATGCCTGCCAAGCCACTTACCAGATTCCCCATGGAGCTGGCCAGTGTGGCTGGGGGCCTCGGCACTTTCGTGACTTCTCCATGATCAACAATATCAAAGTTACTCTTCCAAACCATCACCTGCCAAAACCAACAGGCACACCAAGTCAGGAGAAGAAAATCCCCTTGCCAGTCCTTCACTGAGGAAATGGGCTCAGAGGCCATGCCCAAAGTTCTGAGCCATGGTGGGATAGTGGTCCCCACCTGACACCCCAACTCAATTCCGGGACCTACCCCACCTCCCTGGGGAGCAGGCTTTGTGGACAGGCCTCAAGAGGACCTGGATGTGACCAGGATGGACTACCACGGCGTGGCACCGCCAGGCCTTCGCACTTGCTGGTTCACCTCCCTAGGGTGTCACAGGCCCGAGCTTCATGGGGTTGGCTGCTTCGCAGGCTGAAGTGTCTGCTTCAACAGCACCACCTTCTCAGAGAGGCCTTCTGTGAATGTTTATCATAGCCCTCTATTTATTTCCTTCATAGCATCAGAGTAGGGAGTTATTTAATCCCCTTTTCATTGTTTATCATCTGCCTCTGAACTAAAATAGAAGTTCCTGCGGGCGGTGGCCTGGCCTGTTACACTGTGAGAAGTGGTTAACACATGGCCTCCAGGCCAGAACACTCCTTACTGAATGGCCTAAGGCAAGGGACTCAACCTTGTGCCTCAGTTCCTGCATCTGCGAGACTGGGATAAGCCTAGTTCCCATCTCATGGGGCTGCTGTGAGGCTCACAGGAGACAGCCTGGTGGACACGGGCACACAGGAAGTACTCAGCAACACACTCGTCATCCCAAGGCTAACTCAGCCATGAAAAACACATCCTATTCCAGGTGTCCTCCTATCAGCAGGACCATGTCCCTCGGTTCCTTGAACACAGCTGAGGGAGGCACCTGGCTGGGGAGCAAGAGCGCTCCCTGCTGGAGGCTGCTGGCCATGCATGACGGTGTGCTTCCAGGGCCACTTCCAGGATGGCTGGCTTGGGTGTCACAAGAGAACTGGGGAGTGTGTGGCCAGTGGTCACCTGAGGCCACAGAAAAACCACCGTATCCACACAAGATGAACACTCCATATGCCCTGGACACCATCCCTGTCTGTCAGGACGCAGCTGTGAGCCTCGTTCTTCAGGAGGCTCCTCACCACTGTCTGAGCAGCTCCACTGTTTCCTCTCCCAGATGGATGGCGTCTAGGGTCGTGCACATATCACCTTAGAAACAGAATGTTAGCACACACACACCCTTGTTTACAGGGTCTTCATGTCACTGCAAATCTAACTGCTGAATAAATTCCTAACAGTAGAGTGGCTATCATGAATGCAAATAGACAATGCCAATGTCACTCTGAAAAAGCTCAGAGTAGATATTAAACAGGAAGCCTGGGAGCTGATGGCAGCGCTGCTGGACCTACTTTCCACCAGGCTGCCTCTCCTACTATGTCATTTGATTCTACCATGACTCTATTTACTGTGTGAAGTTACCAGTTTCCCTGTCTTCTAAGCAATAAGCCAGGCTTCACGCTCAGGGAAGGCTCAGGAGTCACTTTTGCCTTCCTCCTCCCTCGTCTGCTAGAGCAGGACTGGTGCTGGTGTGGGAAGATGCCTGCTGTCTCTAACCCAGGCTGTGGTCAAAGAGCCTCCAACTACCCTCTGCCTTACTGGAAGAGACTCAACCAAAATTGGTAGATTTGGCTGAGACCAGGACTCGTATAGGCCAATAGGACTTTTCTAGGCTGAGCAGCCAGAACTAAGAGACTGGGCAGTAGTGGAATAAACATTCTCGGCCATCCATCAGGTCAACAGTGGCACAGAACAGCCACCCTTTCCTCCTTTCCTCATCAGGGGCTGTGGTTCTCTGGACAAGAGGACCATGCGGACACTGGAGAAAGACTGCTGATGGTTAGACTCTTCAGTGCTCCTGGCCTCCCCAGTGCCAGGGTCTGGACTAGGCCCCAGAAGCAGGGTGCCTGCCAGGAGACAGGTCATTGGTGGTTAGCAGTCAGGGCACAAGGCACCAGGGCTGACAGGCTGAAGCCTCAGAGCAGAGGGTGACAAGGTGGGATAGGACCTCTTCACAATGTCCTCTCTCTGCAGCCAAAAATACTGAAAATGCTGACCCCTCAAACAGTGTCCAAGGGGGCTGGGAGCAAAGAGCAGCAGATGACAGAGCAGAGGCTCCCAGGGCAGGAGAATGACTCTGAAGTGAGACAGGCCCCAGTACCTGCCCCAGCTCTAGCATCTGCTGGGACTTAGTTTCCTCATCTACCGCACGGGGAGATCAGAGGGCCTCATCTCCCACATGGAGATGTCACGAGAATTAAATGAGGTATGAAGCTCTTGTCACATTGGCCATATTCCCAGGCCTAAAGTAAGATCATATTAATAATAATCATTATCTATTTATTTGGAATCAGGAAAATAACTAAAAAACCAACTTTTCACGACAACCATAGCCCAGCCTCCTTCCACTAAGCGCTAGCCTGAGCAGTGAGGATTCTGAGATGCAGCCATGAGGTCGGCACCTGCAGGAGGCCCATTCTGGAGTGGCAAGGCCCCTGGATCTGGGCAACCCCACCCCAAGCGCCATCAGGGCCTTTTTAGTCGCTGAAAGCCACCAAGGAAGCTGGCGAAACCCAGCCCATCCCCCAAACACCCTGTTTGGTTCTGAGCAGAAATCAGCTCAGATTCCCTTCTTCACCATTCCATTCGACTACTCTTTACTTACTTGTTCATCAGAGCCTCCAGAAGCAAAATACTCCCCCGTTCTTGAAAAGGCAACAGTGGTGGCTGGTCCCTGGCAGAACAAACAAAAAATAACACACATCAAAGGTCATTCTCCATTCTAAATGCACAGGAAGAAAACGAGACGTTCTTGAATGAAAGCAGCAGCAGGATAAAGGACCGAGAGCCCACTCAGCCCACAGTCCTCCGTAACCTGTAGCCCAGGAGCCTGCCTGCAGCCAGGTGCAAGCACCACCGCTCAGGCTTCTGTTCCTGAGCACTACAACAGGGACAAGTCCAGGCTATGAGAATGTGGGTGACAGAGATGAGTGAATGGGACAGTCTGCACTGGCAGCCCTCCAGGGCTGGCCTCATTGTCCCCACTTTCCCAGTAAGAAACCACAGGTCAGAGAGATGCACTGAGTCACCCCAGCCACAGCACTGAGACCAGAACTTGGTCCCTTTGACCCAGACCAACCCTAACACCCAACATCTCCCCAACACTGCACAGTTGCTGACCAGAGAAATAGGGATCTCCAAGGAAGAGCCAATGGCTCAAGCAGACAGGGCATAGTTCAAGGCACAGGTGACAGGAAGGAGGTTTCCAAAGGTGCTTGGGCAGCAGAGCAATGTGACACGTCTCTCTAATGTGCATTCACTTTTCTTATGTTCAGGCCATGGGTAGTGATGTGCCCACTCTGGCTTCCCAGATGTTGAAGGTCTGCGTGACCATCTGAAGGGGAATGCCAGGCACACGCCAGGCCGCACTCCAAGGGCTGGAGAGCAGTCCAGGGCGGGGGAGATGGGGGATGCATGATCTCCTAGCAAAGGAGGGTTCTTCCCCACATACCTAAAATCCATCCCAGAAAGGTGCTCAGAGTAAGGATCTGTTTAGCTACGACACCATGACCACAGCCACCACCATCTCTTCCTCCCAGTCGAACTTTTACTGTGGCCAGTACCTGGTATTCCCAAGCAAAATCAGATAAAAGAGGTTCTCTCCTAGAAGACAGCACAGCCACTGTCACCAAGTCCACCTCAGTCCCCCCAGACCAGTGCAGGGAGCGGCAAGAGCCCCAACTGCCCATGAGATGGGCTCTGGCAGCACATCTACAGCTGACTCATCAATGAGAGGAACATTGGGAGGCGCCTTCCACTTAATGCCAGAAAAGACCAGCCAAGTTCTGGGAGGGAAAAGGGACCTCGAGGCCATGGAGGAAGGCAGCTTTTGTCTCCCAGAGAGACAGGCAGGTTGAGAGGTGCCATTCAGCCTCAGACACACTGGACAGCAGGGAGTATGCCCACCCATGCTTCCAGAGTCCACCTTCGGCTCTTCCTCTCAGAGGTGCTCATAACACCTCTGACGAAAAAAGCAAGTACAACACTGGTGAACACCGAGCACTCAGGCGCTCAGAGCACAGCACCTGCATTTACCCACTGAATCCTGAAAGGACAGTCTGTGCGGTGACCCTTTGCCTTAGTCCACTTCTGTTGCTATAATGGAATATCTGAGACTAAGTAATTCATAATGAGCAGAAATGTATTGGCTCACAGTTCCAGAGGCTGGGAAGTCCAAGATCGGGGGCCAGCATCTGGCAAGGGCCTTCTTGCTGAGTCATCCCACGGCAGAAGGGCAAAGAGAGGGTGACAAAGAAAAGCGGGCCAAAGTCATCCTTTTATAAGAAACCCACCCCATGGTAACAAACCCACTCCTGCAAGAATGGCATTAATTCATATATATGGGCATGGCCTCAGGACCCAAACATCTCCCATTATGCCCCACCTCCCAACAACCCACACTGGGGATCAAGTTTCTAATACATGAACTTTGGGGAACACATTCTAATCACACTACCCTTCCTAAGGGTGCCATGTCCAAGTGCAGGGAACAAAGCCTGAGAGGACACAAAGACAAAGCCTCTGGCCTACACTTGCCCTCCTGCCTTCTTCACACAGGTAGAGCTGCAAGGGCCCAGGAATGCCCCACTCCCAGCAGCCCTGGGAATCCTAAGCCACCATTAACCAGGATAATATAGATCCACTTTTACTAACAGAGAAACAATGCCCAATAACATCAGTGAGGGTGAAATCCCAAGTGTAAGACATCACGGGCTGTGTGGCCCCTGCTCATGCAGGGCCTGACTGCAGGATGAGGGCAGGGCATCCATCACTCAGATACCCTTTCAGGTGGACAGTCACCAAGGGGTTAACAGAGGGGTGTGAGGTAATTTCAGGTAACTTTTACTTGATTCTTAGAAATTTTTCATTTTTCCGTTACTTTGAACCTTTTTTTTTTTTTTGAGGCAGAGTCTCGCTCTGTTGCCCGGGCTGGAGTGCAGTGGTGCGATCTTGGCTCACAGCAAGCTCCGCCTCCTGGGTTCACGCCATTCTCCTGCCTCAGCCTCCCGAGTAGCTGGGATTACAGGTGCCCGCCACCACGCCCAGCTAAATTTTTTTTGTATTTTTAGTAGAGATGGGGTTTCACTGTGTTAGCCAGGATGGTCTCGATCTCCTGACCCCATGATCTGCCCGTCTCGGCCTCCCAAAGTGCTGGGATTATAGATGTGGGCCACTGCACCCAGTCACAAACCTTTTTTTTTTTTTTGAGACAAAGTCTGGCTCTATCGCCCAGGCTGGAGAGCAATGGTACAGTCTTGGCTCACTGCAACCTCTGCCTCCTGGGTTCAAGCGATTCCTGTGCCTCAGCCTCCCAAGTAGCTGAGGTTGCAGGCACCCTCCACCACACCCGGCTAATTTTTATATTTTTAGTAGAGACGGGGTTTCGCCATGTTGGCCAGGCTGGTCTTGAACTCCTGGCCTCAAGTGATCCACCCTCCTCAGCCTCCTAAAATGCTAAGATTACAGGCATGAGCCACCGCACCTGGCCTACTTTGAATTTTTTAATAATGAATATATGGCATTGCTACACTAATACGAACACCAAACAACAAAACTACTTTCATTGTGAGGAAAAACAAAGAGGAAACAGAGAAAAGAGAAGGAAACCAGTACATGGAATGTCAAAAAAGATGGGCCTTTTGCCTGCCCAGAGCTCACTGAGTGATGGCAGGTTTCCAAGAAGTCACAGCAACTAAGGGAAAAATACTTGCAGGTCACTCTCCTTTCATGTCATGACTCAACCACCAGAGGCCAAGTTGGGAAAAGGTGGTGGAGTCAGAGCAGCAGCAACAGCAGCAGAACCAACAAAACACTCAGCTCAGCAGGGGTCAGGACCAGAGCGCAGGCACTGGGAGCCCTGCAGATAAGAAGTGCTAGCGCTCCTTTACGAGACCAAACCCCAGGAAGTTCCAGGGATGAAGCGAGTGATAAGCTGTGTGGATCTGCAGTCCTCCCTAACAGTGCCTGTTTACCAAGAGGACCACGCAGCCCCTGCTCCAGGTACCTTCCACGAAGGCTCCTGTTCTTCTGCCTAGCAGCCCAGGGCACTCAGAGGACAGCACAGAGAACACCTGGGCTCTGCTGTGGGCCAAAGCCAACATGTACTGTAGAAGAGACTGTCCACTGCTGACATGCTTCAGGGCCTAGCCTTGGAGGCCCCAGATTACTTCGGCCCCTGCTAACTTTCCAGGCTCTCTCCTCCCTGCCCTAGTGCTCCTCAAACACCATGATCTAGACAGAAAAGGTCCTCTCTTTCTCTATATTCTTTCTGCTGTCACCTGCATTGAGTTCTTAATTCAGGTATTTTCAATTTTTTTGGTTTTATATAAATCAATTTAAGGCTACAAATTTGCCTCTGATGACACCTTCAATAGATCCTGGAAGTTTCCAGTATGCAACATTTTCAGTCATTCACTTCCAAATGTTTAGTTTCCACTGTGATTTCCCCTTCAGCCCATTGGTTGTTTGAGAGTGCATTCTAGAATTTCCAGGCTGGGCATGGTGGCTCACACCTGTAATCCCAGTACTTTGGAAGGCTGAGGCGGGAGGATCATTTGAGGTCAGGAGTTCGAGACCAATCTGGTCAACATGGCGAAACCCCATCTCTACTAAAACTACAAAATTAGCCAGGGGCGGTGGCACACACCTGTAATCCCAGCTACTCGAGAGGCTGAGGCAGGAGAATCGCTTAAACCCAGGAGGTGGAGGTTGCAGTGAGCCGAGATCATGTCATTGCACTCCACCCTGGGCGACAGAGCGAGACTCTGTCTCAAAAATAAATAAAATAAAATAAAGTTTCCAAACCATAGGTGCTTGAAGAGTCTCTTCTTACCATTGCCAGCAGCCAGATATGATACATGTTTTTGGAGACTGTTCTACCCTCATGATGGCTTATTCCTTTTATTTAATCAATCACTCTTCATGCATCAGGGTATCCACTTGGGGCAGGGATATTGCCAAGTCCATCCTCTCCAAAGGCAAGACCTGTCTCTGGGTGTCTCTGCACACCCCTGAGGATTCCTCTGAGCAGCGGCTCCTGGCTGGGCCTTCAGCAGTGTGGATGCCGGCCTGCCCCCAGCTACCAGAGGTACCCACCTGTGGGAAGCCCTGGTCTCCCTCTGACTCCAGGCCAGGTCCATTAGCAGGGATGCCTCACAGGCTCAATAAGGGCCTCCCTCCCTCCCTTGAAAGACCAGGCAGAATCTTCAGGGAGATGGTCCTGCTTAACCAGTCATGAACCCAGACACAGCCTGGCCTCCCTGCTACTCTACCTGCTAACCGGGCCATATCTGGCCCTGGAGCTTGGCTGGATCCACACCCAGTCATTTTACCACACATCATCTTCTGTTGCCAATTTCCAGACCTAAAAAGGACCCACATTGCCTGGTTTCTTCAAACAACAAAGTATCAACAGAGAAAGATTTTTTTTTAAGGCAAAACAAGGGAGCCCATGGTGATTAGATTTCACAGTCGTGCTGGCTCTCGCTCTGCTGCTCCGGCAGCTCACACTGACCTCGCTGCTCTCCTCATCCTCCTCACCTTCTCCCGCCTGACTCTCAGAGGCCCCTGTATGCCTGAACTCTGACTGCATGCCCACAACAGCTATGCTGGCAAACCCACCACCACCTCTCACGCGTTGCAAAATATTTTGTGTTGACTCTCATATGCACAGTCTTCCAGTGAACAAATAGGATTGTCACACCACATGCCCCTCAGTCAGAGGGAAAAGCAGAGTGGCCATCACACAGAGAATGGGACTGAGGAGGCCCAACAGGCCTCTGGGGTGAGTGCTGTGGTCTCCAGCCCCTGTGCTCAGACAGAGAGACAACAATCCAACCCACTGGGATGCTTCTTCCAGAGCCCCACCAGGAGGCTCCTGCACTCACTTACCAGGGTCTGCTGTGAACTGGGCTCTCATGGCTGAGTGGGGCCCATAGGAGGCCATCATAACTCCACAGACGGGGAGTGACCTCCTGACCCTGGCCGAAGACACCTGCTCCCAGCCCTCAACTCTGGGCTGCTGGCAGGGGACAGAGGGCCAGGCCAACTTCTTAGTTTCTTAGTGTGAAATAAATGAGCCGTTCTCTCTCTGCATGTCCTCTCACCTCTCACAGGAGGTGCCCGACCACCCAAGCCAGGTGTGACCCTCCTGAGCATCAAAACAGTCCTCCAAAATGCCTAGACAGGAGCTACAGAGCTCTCACAGAAACAAGGGAGGGGTGGCCCACTCCCAGAGCTGCCCTCCACCTGGGGTGGACAGAGGGATGGCCCACTGGCCCAGCCACTGTCACACAGTCGCCTCCCCTGCTTGAAGGTGCATCCCCTTTGCTGCTGCTATCCCAACCTCAACCTAGGGCCCAGCATGGCGCAAGCACCCCATAAGCATCAGTGGGTCTCCTACTCTGAGCCTGCAAGTTCCCACCAACTAAGTCTCAAAGCATAGCCCTGAGCACAGACAGCAGCGCCTGTGCAGGTCTGGGTCCAGGGCAGGGGCTGCTCACCCACACGGGGTCGGGGGGAGGGTGGCGGGGGCGCATGGCACCGTGTGCAGCTCAGTCACTCTACAGCGACATGCACACCAACTGCACAGCCACAAATACCAGATTTAACTCCCCACCCACAACCCGCCCACCATCCTCTCCCAAATAGCTCTAGAGAACTTAAACCAAGTAAGTGTGGCTCAAGATTATGTTTCAGAAAATACA